>NC_000011.10:52669018-52969018 GCF_000001405.40 Homo sapiens | reverse complement strand
TCCTCAGAGAGGTCCAAATATCCACTTGCAGATTCTACAGAAAGTGTGTTTGGAAACTGCTCCATCTAAAGGAATGTTCAGCTCTGTTAGTTCAATCCAATGATCACTAAGAATTGTCTGTGAATGCTTCCGTTTGGTTTTTAGATGAAGTTATTTCCTTTACTACAGTAGGCCTCAAAGCAGTCCAAATCTCCAATCGCAGATTCTACAAAAAGATTGTTTACAACCTGCTCTATCTATAGGAATGTTCAACTCTGTGAGTCGAATGCAATCATCACAAAGTAGTTTCTGAGAATGCTTCCATCTAGTTTTTATGTGAAGATTTTCCTTTTGCACCACAGGCCTCAAAGCCCTCCAAATGTCCACTTGCAGATTCTAGAAAAAGAGGGTTTCAGAGCTGCTCTGTCAAGAGGAAAGTTCAATTCTTGAAGTGGAACACAAACATCACAAAGCAGTTTCTGAGAATGCTCCTGTTTAGTTTTTCTGTGAAGATGAACCCGTTTCCAACGAAATCTTCACAGAGGTCCACATATCCACTTGCAGAATCCAAAGAAAGAGAGTTTCAAAACTGCTCCATCAGCAGGATTTCCACCTCTGTGAGTTGAATGCAGTCATCACAGGAAACATTCTGAGAATGCTTCTGTCTAGGTTTGATGTGAAGATATACCCGTTTCGAAGGAAGGCCACAAAGTGGTCCAAATATCCACTTGCAGATCCTACAAAAAGAGTGTTTGAAAGCTGAACTATGAAAGCAAGGTGCAACTCTGTTAGTTGAATGCAAACATCACAAAGAAGTTTCTCACAATGCTTCCGTGTAGTTCTGGGAAGTTTATCCCGTTTCCAACGAAATCCTCAGAGAAGTCCAAATATCCACTTGCAGATTCTACAGAAAGTGTGTTTGGAAACTGCTCCATCTAAAGGAATGTTCAGCTCTGTTAGTTCAATCCAATGATCACTAAGAATTGTCTGTGAATGCTTCCGTTTGGTTTTTAGATGAAGTTATTTCCTTTACTACAGTAGGCCTCAAAGCAGTCCAAATCTCCAATCGCAGATTCTACAAAAAGATTGTTTACAACCTGCTCTATCTATAGGAATGTTCAACTCTGTGAGTCGAATGCAATCATCACAAAGTAGTTTCTGAGAATGCTTCCATCTAGTTTTTATGTGAAGATTTTCCTTTTCCACCACAGGCCTCAAAGCCCTCCAAATGTCCACTTGCAGATTCTAGAAAAAGAGGGTTTCAGAGCTGCTCTGTCAAGAGGAAAGTTCAATTCTTGAAGTGGAACACAAACATCACAAAGCAGTTTCTGAGAATGCTTCTGTTTAGTTTTTCTGTGAAGATGAACCAGTTTCCAACGAAATCTTCACAGAGGTCCACATATCCACTTGCAGAATCCAAAGAAAGAGAGTTTCAAAACTGCTCCATTACCAGGATTGTTCACCTCTGTGAGTTGAATGCAGTCATCACAGGAAACATTCTGAGAATGCTTCTGTCTAGGTTTGATGTGAAGATATACCCTTTTCAAAGGAAGGCCACAAAGTGGTCCAAATATCCACTTGCAGATTCTACAAAAAGAGTGTTTGAAAGCTGAACTATGAAAGCAAGGTTCAACTCTGTGAGTTGAATGCAAACATCACAAAGAAGTTTCTCACAATGCTTCCGTGTAGTTCTGGGAAGTTTATCCCGTTTCCAACGAAATCCTCAGAGAAGTCCAAATATCCACTTGCAGATTCTACAGAAAGTGTGTTTGGAAACTGCTCCATCTAAAGGAATGTTCAGCTCTGTTAGTTCAATCCAATGATCACTAAGAATTGTCTGTGAATGCTTCCGTTTGGTTTTTAGATGAAGTTATTTCCTTTACTACAGTAGGCCTCAAAGCAGTCCAAATCTCCAATCGCAGATTCTACAAAAAGATTGTTTACAACCTGCTCTATCTATAGGAATGTTCAACTCTGTGAGTCGAATGCAATCATCACAAAGTAGTTTCTGAGAATGCTTCCATCTAGTTTTTATGTGAAGATTTTCCTTTTCCACCACAGGCCTCAAAGCCCTCCAAATGTCCACTTGCAGATTCTAGAATAAGAGGGTTTTAGAGCTGCTCTGTCAAGAGGAAAGTTCAATTCCTGAAGTGGAACACAAACATCACAAAGCAGTTTCTGAGAATGCTCCTGTTTAGTTTTTCTGTGAAGATGAACCCGTTTCCAACGAAATCTTCACAGAGGTCCACATATCCACTTGCAGAATCCAAAGAAAGAGAGTTTCAAAACTGCTCCATCAGCAGGATTGTTCACCTCTGTGAGTTGAATGCAGTCATCACAGGAAACATTCTGAGAATGCTTCTGTCTAGGTTTGATGTGAAGATATACCCGTTTCGAAGGAAGGCCACAAAGTGGTCCAAATATCCACTTGCAGATTCTACAAAAAGAGGGTTTGAAAGCTGAACTATGAAAGCAAGGTTCAACTCTGTGAGTTGAATGCAAACATCACAAAGAAGTTTCTCAGAATGCTTCCGTGTAGTTCTGGGAAGTTTATCCCGTTTCCAACGAAATCCTCAGAGAGGTCCAAATATCTACTTGCAGATTCTACAGAAAGTGTGTTTGGAAACTGCGCCATCTAAAGGAATGTTCAGCTCTGTTAGTTCACTCCAATGATCACTAATAATTGTCTGTGAATGCTTCCGTTTGGTTTTTAGATGAAGTTATTTCCTTTACTACAGTAGGCCTCAAAGCATTCCAAATCTCCAATCGCAGATTCTACAAAAAGATTGTTTACAACCTGCTCTATCTATAGGAATGTTCAACTCTGTGAGTCGAATGCAATCATCACAAAGTAGTTTACTGACAATGCTTATCCATCTAGTTTTTATGTGAAGATTTTCCTTTTCCACCACAGGCCTCAAAGCCCTCCAAATGTCCACTTGCAGATTCTAGAAAAAGAGGGTTTCAGAGCTGCTCTGTCAAGAGGAAAGTTCAATTCTTGAAGTGGAACACAAACATCACAAAGCAGTTTCTGAGAATGTTTCTGTTTAGTTTTTCTGTGAAGATGAACCCGTTTCCAACGAAATCTTCACAGAGGTCCACATATCCACTTGCAGAATCCAAAGAAAGAGAGTTTCAAAACTGCTCCATTAGCCGGATTGTTCACCTCTGTGAGTTGAATGCAGTCATCACAGGAAACATTCTGAGAATGCTTCTGTCTAGGTTTGATGTGAAGATATACCCGTTTCGAAGGAAGGCCACAAAGTGGTCCAAATATCCACTTGCAGATTCTACAAAAAGAGTGTTTGAAAGCTGAACTATGAAAGCAAGGTTCAACTCTGTGAGTTGAATGCAAACATCACAAAGAAGTTTCTCAGATGCTTCCGTGTAGTTCTGGGAAGTTTATCCCGTTTCCAACGAAATCCTCAGAGAGGTCCAAATATCCACTTGCAGATTCTACAGAAAGTGTATTTGGAAACTGCGCCATCTAAAGGAATGTTCAGCTCTGTTAGTTCAAT
The DNA here is from genome assembly GCF_000001405.40 of Homo sapiens. Lineage (NCBI taxonomy): Eukaryota > Metazoa > Chordata > Mammalia > Primates > Hominidae > Homo > Homo sapiens. The sequence goes on along the minus strand of NC_000011.10, from coordinate 52,965,521 downwards.
GCAATGATCACTAAGAATTGTCTGTGAATGCTTCCGTTTGGTTTTTAGATGAAGTTATTTCCTTTACTACAGTAGGCCTCAAAGCAGTCCAAATCTCCAATCGCAGATTCTACAAAAAGATTGTTTACAACCTGCTCTATCTATAGGAATGTTCAACTCTGTGAGTCGAATGCAATCATCACAAAGTAGTTTCTGAGAATGCTTCCATCTAGTTTTTATGTGAAGATTTTCCTTTTCCACCACAGGCCTCAAAGCCCTCCAAATGTCCACTTGCAGATTCTAGAAAAAGAGGGTTTCAGAGCTGCTCTGTCAAGAGGAAAGTTCAATTCTTGAAGTGGAACACAAACATCACAAAACAGTTTCTGAGAATGCTTCTGTTTAGTTTTTCTGTGAAGATGAACCCGTTTCCAACGAAATCTTCACAGAGGTCCACATATCCACTTGCAGAATCCAAAGAAAGAGAGTTTCAAAACTGCTCCATCAGCAGGATTGTTCACCTCTGTGAGTTGAATGCAGTCATCACAGGAAACATTCTGAGAATGCTTCTGTCTAGGTTTGATGTGAAGATATACCCGTTTCGAAGGAAGGCCACAAAGTGGTCCAAATATCCACTTGCAGATTCCACAAAAAGAGTGTTTGAAAGCTGAATTATGAAAGCAAGGTTCAACTCTGTGAGTTGAATGCAAACATCACAAAGAAGTTTCTCACAATGCTTCCGTGTAGTTCTGGGAAGTTTATCCCGTTTCCAACGAAATCCTCAGAGAAGTCCAAATATCCACTTGCAGATTCTACAGAAAGTGTGTTTGGAAACTGCTCCATCTAAAGGAATGTTCAGCTCTGTTAGTTCAATGCAATGATCACTAAGAATTGTCTGTGAATGCTCCGTTTGGTTTTTAGATGAAGTTATTTCCTTTACTACAGTAGGCCTCAAAGAAGTCCAAATCTCCAATCGCAGATTCTACAAAAAGATTGTTTACAACCTGCTCTATCTATAGGAATGTTCAACTCTCTGAGTCGAATGCAATCATCACAAAGGAGTTTCTGAGAATGCTCTCCATAAAGTTTTTATGTGAAGATTTCCCTTTTCACCACAGGCCTCAAAGCCCTCCAAATGTCCACTTGCAGATTCCTGAAAAAGAGGGTTTCAGAGCTGCTCTGTCAAGAGGAAAGTTCAATTCTTGAAGTGGAACACAAACATCACAAAGCAGTTTCTGAGAATGCTTCTGTTTAGTTTTTCTGTGAAGATGAACCCGTTTCCAACGAAATCTTCACAGAGGTCCACATATCCACTTGCAGAATCCAAAGAAAGAGAGTTTCAAAACTGCTCCATCAGCAGGATTGTTCACCTCTGTGAGTTGAATGCAGTCATCACAGGAAACATTCTGAGAATGCTTCTGTCTAGGATTGATGTGAAGATATACCCGTTTCGAAGGAAGGCCACAAAGTGGTCCAAATATCCACTTGCAGATTCTACAAAAAGAGTGTTTGAAAGCTGAACTATGAAAGCAAGGTTGAACTCTGTGAGTTGAATGCAAACATCACAAAGAAGTTTCTCAGAATGCTTCCGTGTAGTTCTGGGAAGTTTATCCCGTTTCCAACGAAATCCTCAGAGAAGTCCAAATATCCACTTGCACATTCTACAGAAAGTGTGTTTGGAAACTGCTCCATCTAAAGGAATGTTCAGCTCTGTTAGTTCAATGCAATGATCACTAAGAATTGTCTGTGAATGCTTCCGTTTGGTTTTTAGATGAAGTTATTTCCTTTACTACAGTAGGCCTCAAAGCAGTCCAAATCTCCAATCGCAGATTCTACAAAAAGATTGTTTACAACCTGCTCTATGTATAGGAATGTTCAACTCTGTGAGTCGAATGCAATCATCACAAAGTAGTTTCTGAGAATGCTTCCATCTAGTTTTTATGGGAAGATTTTCCTTTTCCACCACAGGCCTCAAAGCCCTCCAAATGTCCACTTGCAGATTCTAGAAAAAGAGGGTTTCAGAGCTGCTCTGTCAAGAGGAAAGTTCAATTCTTGAAGTGGAACACAAACATCACAAAGCAGTTTCTGAGAATGCTCCTGTTTAGTTTTTCTGTGAAGATGAACCCGTTTCCAACGAAATCTTCACAGAGGTCCACATATCCACTTGCAGAATCCAAAGAAAGAGAGTTTCAAAACTGCTCCAACAGCAGGATTGTTCACCTCTGTGAGTTGAATGCAGTCATCACAGGAAACATTCTGAGAATGCTTCTGTCTAGGTTTGATGTGAAGATATACCCGTTTCGAAGGAAGGCCACAAAGTGGTCCAAATATCCACTTGCAGATTCTACATAAAGAGTGTTTGAAAGCTGAACTATGAAAGCAAGGTTCAACTCTGTGAGTTGAATGCAAACATCACAAAGAAGTTTCTCACAATGCTTCCGTGTAGTTCTGGGAAGTTTATCCCGTTTCCAACGAAATCCTCAGAGAAGTCCAAATATCCACTTGCAGATTCTACAGAAAGTGTGTTTGGAAACTGCTCCATCTAAAGGAATGTTCAGCTCTTTTAGTTCAATCCAATGATCACTAAGAATTGTCTGTGAATGCTTCCGTTTGGTTTTTAGATGAAGTTATTTCCTTTACTACAGTAGGCCTCAAAGCAGTCCAAATCTCCAATCGCAGATTCTACAAAAAGATTGTTTACAACCTGCTCTATCTATAGGAATGTTCAACTCTGTGAGTCGAATGCAATCATCACAAAGTAGTTTCTGAGAATGCTTCCATCTAGTTTTTATGTGAAGATTATACTTTTCAACCACAGGCCTCAAAGCCCTCCAAATGTCCACTTGCAGATTCTAGAAAAAGAGGGTTTCAGAGCTGCTCTGTCAAGAGGAAAGTTCAATTCTTGAAGTGGAACACAAACATCACAAAGCAGTTTCTGAGAATGCTCCTGTTTAGTTTTTCTGTGAAGATGAACCCGTTTCCAACGAAATCTTCACAGAGGTCCACATATCCACTTGCAGAATCCAAAGAAAGAGAGTTTCAAAACTGCTCCATCAACAGGATTGTTCACCTCTGTGAGTTGAATGCAGTCATCACAGGAAACATTCTGAGAATGCTTCTGTCTAGGTTTGATGTGAAGATATACCCGTTTCGAAGGAAGGCCACAAAGTGGTCCAAATATCCACTTTCTGTAGATTCTACAAAAAGAGAGTTTGAAAGCTGAACTATGAAAGCAAGGTTCAACTCTGTGAGTTGAATGCAAACATCACAAAGAAGTTTCTCAGAATGCTTCCGTGTAGTTCTGGGAAGTTTATCCCGTTTCCAACGAAATCCTCAGAGAAGTCCAAATATCCACTTGCAGATTCTACAGAAAGTGTGTTTGGAAACTGCTCCATCTAAAGGAATGTTCAGCTCTGTTAGTTCAATCCAATGATCACTAAGAATTGTCTGTGAATGCTTCCGTTTGGTTTTTAGATGAAGTTATTTCCTTTACTACAGTAGGCCTCAAAGCAGTCCAAATCTCCAATCGCAGATTCTACAAAAAGATTGTTTACAACCTGCTCTATCTATAGGAATGTTCAACTCTGTGAGTCGAATGCAATCATCGCAAAGTAGTTTCTGAGAATGCTTCCATCTAGTTTTTATGTGAAGATTTTCCTTTTCCACCACAGGCCTAAAAGCCCTCCAAATGTCCACTTGCAGATTCTAGAAAAAGAGGGTTTCAGAGCTGCTCTGTCAAGAGGAAAGTTCAATTCCTGAAGTGGAACACAAACATCACAAAGCAGTTTCTGAGAATGCTTCTGTTTAGTTTTTCTGTGAAGATGAACCCATTTCCAACGAAATCTTCACAGAGGTCCACATATCAACTTGCAGAATCCAAAGAAAGAGAGTTTTAAAACTGCTGCATCAACAGGATTGTTCACCTCTGTGAGTTGAATGCAGTCATCACAGGAAACATTCTGAGAATGCTTCTGTCTAGGTTTGATGTGAAGATATACCCGTTTCAAAGGAAGGCCACAAAGTGGTCCAAATATCCACTTGCAGATTCTACAAAAAGAGTGTTTGAAAGCTGAACTATGAAAGCAAGGTTCAACTCTGTGAGTTGAATGCAAACATCACAAAGAAGTTTCTCACAATGCTTCCGTGTAGTTCTGGGAAGTTTATCCCGTTTCCAACGAAATCCTCAGAGAGGTCCAAATATCCACTTGCTGATTATACAGAAAGTGTGTTTGGAAACTGCTCCATCTAAAGGAATGTTCAGCTCTGTTAGTTCAATGCAATGATCACTAAGAATTGTCTGTGAATGCTTCCGTTTGGTTTTTAGATGAAGTTATTTCCTTTACTACAGTAGGCCTCAAAGCAGTCCAAATCTCCAATCGCAGATTCTACAAAAAGATTGTTTACAACCTGCTCTATCTATAGGAATGTTCAACTCTGTGAGTCGAATGCAATCATCACAAAGTAGTTTCTGAGAATGCTTCCATCTAGTTTTTATGTGAAGATTTTCCTTTTCCACCACAGGCTTCAAAGCCCTCCAAATGTCCACTTGCAGATTCTAGAAAAAGAGGGTTTCAGAGCTGTTCTGTCAAGAGGAAAGTTCAGTTCCTGAAGTGGAACACAAACATCACAAAGCAGTTTCTGAGAATGCTCCTGTTTAGTTTTTCTGTGAAGATGAACCCGTTTCCAACGAAATCTTCACAGAGGTCCACATATCCACTTGCAGAATCCAAAGAAAGAGAGTTTCAAAACTGCTCCATCAGCAGGATTGTTCACCTCTGTGAGTTGAATGCAGTCATCACAGGAAACATTCTGAGAATGCTTCTGTCTAGGTTTGATGTGAAGATATACCCGTTTCGAAGGAAGGCCACAAAGTGGTCCAAATATCCACTTGCAGATTCCACAAAATGAGTGTTTGAAAGCTGAACTATGAAAGCAAGGTTCAACTCTGTGAGTTGAATGCAAACACCACAAAGAAGTTTCTCACAATGCTTCCGTGTAGTTCTGGGAAGTTTATCCCGTTTCCAACGAAATCCTCAGAGAAGTCCAAATATCCACTTGCAGATTCTACAGAAAGTGTGTTTGGAAACTGCCCCATCTAAAGGAATGTTCAGCTCTGTTAGTTCAATCCAATGATCACTAAGAATTGTCTGTGAATGCTTCCGTTTGGTTTTTAGATGAAGTTATTTCCTTTACTACAGTAGGCCTCAAAGCAGTCCAAATCTCCAATCGCAGATTCTACAAAAAGATTGTTTACAACCTGCTCTATGTATAGGAATGTTCAACTCTGTGAGTCGAATGCAATCATCACAAAGTAGTTTCTGAGAATGCTTCCATCTAGTTTTTATGTGAAGATTTTCCTTTTCCACCACAGGCCTCAAAGCCCTCCAAATGTCCACTTGCAGATTCTAGAATAAGAGGGTTTTAGAGCTGCTCTGTCAAGAGGAAAGTTCAATTCCTGAAGTGGAACACAAACATCACAAAGCAGTTTCTGAGAATGCTCCTGTTTAGTTTTTCTGTGAAGATGAACCCGTTTCCAACGAAATCTTCACAGAGGTCCACATATCCACTTGCAGAATCCAAAGAAAGAGAGTTTCAACACTGCTCCATCAGCAGGATTGTTCACCTCTGTGAGTTGAATGCAGTCATCACAGGAAACATTCTGAGCAATGCTTCTGTCTAGGTTTGATGTGAAGATATACCCGTTTCGAAGGAAGGCCACAAAGTGGTCCAAATATCCACTTGCAGATTCTACAAAAAGAGTGTTTGAAAGCTGAACTATGAAAGCAAGGTTCAACTCTGTGAGTTGAATGCAAACATCACAAAGAAGTTTCCTCAGAATGCTCCGTGTAGTTCTGGGAAGTTTATCCCGTTTCCAAAGAAATCCTCAGAGAGGTCCAAATATCCACTTGCAGATTCTACAGAAAGTGTGTTTGGAAACTGCTCCATCTAAAGGAATGTTCAGCTCTGTTAGTTCAATCCAATGATCACTAAGAATTGTCTGTGAATGCTTCCGTTTGGTTTTTAGATGAAGTTATTTCCTTTACTACAGTAGGCCTCAAAGCAGTCCAAATCTCCAATCGCAGATTCTACAAAAAGATTGTTTACAACCTGCTCTATCTATAGGAATGTTCAACTCTGTGAGTCGAATGCAATCATCACAAAGTAGTTTCTGAGAATGCTTCCATCTAGTTTTTATGGGAAGATTTTCCTTTTCCACCACAGGCCTCAAAGCCCTCCAAATGTCCACTTGCAGATTCTAGAAAAAGAGGGTTTCAGAGCTGCTCTGTCAAGAGGAAAGTTCAATTCTTGAAGTGGAACACAAACATCACAAAGCAGTTTCTGAGAATGCTTCTGTTTAGTTTTTCTGTGAAGATGAACCCGTTTCCAACGAAATCTTCACAGAGGTCCACATATCAACTTGCAGAATCCAAAGAAAGAGAGTTTCAAAAGTGCTTCATCAACAGGATTGTTCACCTCTGTGAGTTGAATGCAGTCATCACAGGAAACATTCTGAGAATGCTTCTGTCTAGGTTTGATGTGAAGATATACCCGTTTCGAAGGAAGGCCACAAAGTGGTCCAAATATCCACTTGCAGATTCTACATAAAGAGTGTTTGAAAGCTGAACTATGAAAGCAAGGTTCAACTCTGTGAGTTGAATGCAAACGTCACAAAGAAGTTTCTCACAATGCTTTCCGTGTAGTTCTGGGAAGTTTATCCCGTTTCCAACGAAATCCTCAGAGAGGTCCAAATATCCACTTGCAGATTCTACAGAAAGTGTGTTTGGAAACTGCGCCATCTAAAGGAATGTTCAGCTCTGTTAGTTCAATGCAATGATCACTAAGAATTGTCTGTGAATGCTTCCGTTTGGTTTTTAGATGAAGTTATTTCCTTTACTACAGTAGGCCTCAAAGCAGTCCAAATCTCCAATCGCAGATTCTACAAAAAGATTGTTTACAACCTGCTCTATCTATAGGAATGTTCAACTCTGTGAGTCGAAAGCCATCATCACAAAGTAGTTTCTGAGAATGCTTCCATCTAGTTTTTATGTGAAGATTTTCCTTTTCCACCACAGGCCTCAAAGCCCTCCAAATGTCCACATGCAGATTCTAGAAAAAGAGGGTTTCAGAGCTGCTCTGTCAAGAGGAAAGTTCAATTCCTGAAGTGGAACACAAACATCACAAAGCAGTTTCTGAGAATGCTCCTGCTTAGTTTTTCTGTGAAGATGAACCCGTTTCCAACGAAATGTTCACAGAGGTCCACATATCCACTTGCAGAATACAAAGAAAGAGAGTTTCAAAACTGGCCCATCAGCAGGATTGTTCACCTCTGTGAGTTGAATGCAGTCATCACTAGAAAACATTCTGAGAATGCTTCTGTCTAGGGTTGATGTGAAGATATACCCGTTTCGAAGGAAGGCCACAAAGTGGTCCAAATATCCACTTGCAGATTCCACAAAAAGAGTGTTTGAAAGCTGAACTATGAAAGCAAGGTTCAACTCTGTGAGTTGAATGCAAACATCACAAAGAAGTTTCTCAGAATGCTTCCGTGTAGTTCTGGGAAGTTTATCCCGTTTCCAACGAAATCCTCAGAGAAGTCCAAATATCCACTTGCAGATTCTACAGAAAGTGGGTTTGGAAACTGCTCCATCTAAAGGAATGTTCAGCTCTGTTAGTTCAATCCAATGATCACTAAGAATTGTCTGTGAATGCTTCCGTTTGGTTTTTAGATGAAGTTATTTCCTTTACTACAGTAGGCCTCAAAGCAGTCTAAATCTCCAATCGCAGATTCTACAAAAAGATTGTTTACAACCTGCTCTATCTATACGAATGTTCAACTCTGTGAGTCGAATGCAATCATCCCAAAGTAGTTTCTGAGAATGCTTCCATCTAGTTTGTATGTGAAGATTTTCCTTTTCCACCAGAGGCCTCAAAGCCCTCCAAATGTCCACTTGCAGATTCTAGAAAAAGAGGGTTACAGAGCTGCTCTGTCAAGAGGAAAGTTCAATTCCTGAAGTGGAACACAAACATCACAAAGCAGTTTCTGAGAATGCTCCTGTTTAGTTTTTCTGTGAAGATGAACCCGTTTCCAACGAAATCTTCACAGAGGTCCACATATCAACTTGCAGAATCCAAAGAAAGAGAGTTTCAAAACTGCTCCATCAGCAGGATTGTTCACCTCTGTGAGTTGAATGCAGTCATCACAGGAAACATTCTGAGAATGCTTCTGTCTATGTTTGATGTGAAGATATACCCGTTTCGAAGAAAGGCCACAAAGTGGTCCAAATATCCACTTGCAGATTCTACAAAAAGAGTGTTTGAAAGCTGAACTATGAAAGCAAGGTTCAACTCTGTGAGTTGAATGCAAACATCACAAAGAAGTTTCTCAGCATGCTTCCGTGTAGTTCTGGGAAGTTTATCCCGTTTCCAACGAAATCCTCAGAGAAGTCCAAATATCCACTTGCAGATTCTACAGAAAGTGTGTTTGGAAACTGCGCCATCTAAAGGAATGTTCAGCTCTGTTAGTTCAATGCAATGATCACTAAGAATTGTCTGTGAATGCTTCCGTTTGGTTTTTAGATGAAGTTATTTCCTTTACTACAGTAGGCCTCAAAGCAGTCCAAATCTCCAATCAAAGATTCTGCAAAAAGATTGTTTACAACCTGCTCTATCTATAGGAATGTTCAACTCTGTGAGTCGAATGCAATCATCACAAAGTAGTTTCTGAGAATGCTTCCATCTAGTTTTTATGTGAAGATTTTCCTTTTCCACCACAGGCTTCAAAGCCCTCCAAATGTCCACTTGCAGATTCTAGAAAAAGAGGGTTTCAGAGCTGCTCTGTCAAGAGGAAAGTTCAATTCTTGAAGTGGAACACAAACATCACAAAGCAGTTTCTGAGAATACTTCTGTTTAGTTTTTCTGTGAAGATGAACCCGTTTCCAACGAAATCTTCACAGAGGTCCACATATCCACTTGCAGAATCCAAAGAAAGAGAGTTTCAAAAGTGCTCCATGAACAGGATTGTTCACCTCTGTGAGTTGAATGCAGTCATCACAGGAAACATTCTGAGAATGCTTCTGTCTAGGTTTGATGTGAAGATATACCCGTTTCGAAGGAAGGCCACAAAGTGGTCCAAATATCCACTTGCAGATTCTACAAAAAGAGTGCTTGAAAGCTGAACTATGAAAACAAGGTTCAACTCTGTGAGTTGAATGCAAACATCACAAAGAAGTTTCTCACAATGCTTCCGTGTAGTTCTGGGAAGTTTATCCCGTTTCCAACGAAATCCTCAGAGAGGTCCAAATATCCACTTGCAGATTCTACAGAAAGTGTGTTTGGAAACTGCGCCATCTAAAGGAATGTTCAGCTCTGTTAGTTCAATGCAATGATCACTAAGAATTGTCTGTGAATGCTTCCGTTTGGTTTTTAGATGAAGTTATTTCCTTTACTACAGTAGGCCTCAAAGCAGTCCAAATCTCCAATCGCAGATTCTACAAAAAGATTGTTTACAACCTGCTCTATCTATAGGAATGTTCAACTCTGTGAGTCGAATGCAATCATCACAAAGTAGTTTCTGAGAATGCTTCCATCTAGTTTTTATGTGAAGATTTTCCTTTTCCACCACAGGCCTCAAAGCCCTCCAAATGTCCACTTGCAGATTCTAGAAAAAGAGGGTTTCAGAGCTGCTCTGTCAAGAGGAAAGTTCAATTCTTGAAGTGGAACAGAAACATCACAAAGCAGTTTCTGGGAATGCTTCTGTTTAGTTTTTCTGTGAAGATGAACCCGTTTCCAACGAAATCTTCACAGAGGTCCACATATCAACTTGCAGAATCCAAAGAAAGAGAGTTTCAAAAGTGCTCCATCAACAGGATTGTTCACCTCTGTGAGTTGAATGCAGTCATCACAGGAAACATTCTGAGAATGCTTCTGTCAAGGTTTGATGTGAAGATATACCCGTTTCGAAGGAAGGCCACAAAGTGGTCCAAATATCCACTTGCAGATTCTACAAAAAGAGTGTTTGAAAGCTGAACTATGAAAGCAAGGTTCAACTCTGTGAGTTGAATGCAAACATCACAAAGAAGTTTCTCAGAATACTTCCGTGTAGTTCTGGGAAGTTTATCCCGTTTCCAACGAAATCCTCAGAGAAGTCCAAATATCCACTTGCAGATTCTACAGAAAGTGTGTTTGGAAACTGCGCCATCTAAAGGAATGTTCAGCTCTGTTAGTTCAATGCAATGATCACTAAGAATTGTCTGTGAATGCTTCCGTTTGGTTTTTAGATGAAGTTATTTCCTTTACTACAGTAGGCCTCAAAGCAGTCCAAATCTCCAATCGCAGATTCTACAAAAAGATTGTTTACAACCTGCTCTATGTATAGGAATGTTCAACTCTGTGAGTCGAATGCAATCATCACAAAGTAGTTTCTGAGAATGCTTCCATCTAGTTTTTATGTGAAGATTTTCCTTTTGCACCACAGGCCTCAAAGCCCTCCAAATGTCCACTTGCAGATTCTAGAAAAAGAGGGTTTCAGAGCTGCTCTGTCAAGAGGAAAGTTCAATTCTTGATGTGGAACACAAACATCACAAAGCAGTTTCTGAGAATGCTCCTGTTTAGTTTTTCTGTGAAGATGAACCCGTTTCCAACGAAATCTACACAGAGGTCCACATATCCACTTGCAGAATCCAAAGAAAGAGAGTTTCAAAACTGCTCCATCAGCAGGATTGTTCACCTCTGTGAGTTGAATGCAGTCATCACAGGAAACATTCTGAGAATGCTTCTGTCTAGGTTTGATGTGAAGATATACCCGTTTCGAAGGAAGGCCACAAAGTGGTCCAAATATCCACTTGCAGATTCTACAAAAAGAGTGTTTGAAAGCTGAACTATGAAAGCAAGGTTCAACTCTGTGAGTTGAATGCAAACATCACAAAGAAGTTTCTCAGAATGCTTCCGTGTAGTTCTGGGAAGTTTATCCCGTTTCCAACGAAATCCTCAGAGAAGTCCAAATATCCACTTGCAGATTCTACAGAAAGTGGGTTTGGAAACTGCTCCATCTAAAGGAATGTTCAGCTCTGTTAGTTCAATCCAATGATCACTAAGAATTGTCTGTGAATGCTTCCGTTTGGTTTTTAGATGAAGTTATTTCCTTTACTACAGTACGCCTCAAAGCAGTCCAAATCTCCAATCGCAGATTCTACAAAAAGATTGTTTACAACCTGCTCTATCTATAGGAATGTTCAACTCTGTGAGTCGAATGCAATCATCACAAAGTAGTTTCTGAGAATGCTTCCATCTAGTTTTTATGTGAAGATTTTCCTTTTCCACCACAGGCCTCAAAGCCCTCCAAATGTCCACTTGCAGATTCTAGAAAAAGAGGGTTTCAGAGCTGCTCTGTCAAGAGGAAAGTTCAATTCCTGAAGTGGAACACAAACATCACAAAGCAGTTTCTGAGAATGCTTCTGTTTAGTTTTTCTGTGAAGATGAACCCGTTTCCAACGAAATCTTCACAGAGGTCCACATATCAACTTGCAGAATCCAATGAAAGAGAGTTTCAAAAGTGCTCCATCGACAGGATTGTTCACCTCTGTGAGTTGAATGCAGTCATCACAGGAAACATTCTGAGAATGCTTCTGTCTAGGTTTGATGTGAAGATATACCCGTTTCGAAGGCAAGGCCACAAAGTGGTCCAAATATCCACTTGCAGATTCTACAAAAAGAGTGTTTGAAAGCTGAGCTATGAAAGCAAGGTTCAACTCTGTGAGTTGAATGCAAACATCACAAAGAAGTTTCTCACAATGCTTCCGTGTAGTTCTGGGAAGTTTATCCCGTTTCCAACGAAATCCTCAGAGAAGTCCAAATATCCACTTGCAGATTCTACAGAAAGTGTGTTTGGAAACTGCTCCATCTAAAGGAATGTTCAGCTCTGTTAGTTCAATCCAATGATCACTAAGAATTGTCTGTGAATGCTTCCGTTTGGTTTTTAGATGAAGTTATTTCCTTTACTACAGTAGGCCTCAAAGCAGTCCAAATCTCCAATCGCAGATTCTACAAAAAGATTGTTTACAACCTGCTCTATCTATAGGAATGTTCAACTCTGTGAGTCGAATGCAATCATCACAAAGTAGTTTCTGAGAATGCTTCCATCTAGTTTTTATGGGAAGATTTTCCTTTTCCACCACAGGCCTCAAAGCCCTCCAAATGTCCACTTGCAGATTCTAGAAAAAGAGGGTTTCAGAGCTGCTCTGTCAAGAGGAAAGTTCAATTCTTGAAGTGGAACACAAACATCACAAAGCAGTTTCTGAGAATGCTTCTGTTTAGTTTTTCTGTGAAGATGAACCCGTTTCCAACGAAATCTTCACTGAGGTCCACATATCCACTTGCAGAATCCAAAGAAAGAGAGTTTCAAAACTGCTCCATCAGCAGGATTGTTCACCTCTGTGAGTTGAATGCAGTCATCACAGGAAACATTCTGAGAATGCTTCTGTCTAGGTTTGATGTAAAGATATACCCGTTTCGAAGGAAGGCCACAAAGTGGTCCAAATATCCACTTGCAGATTCTACAAAAAGAGTGTTTGAAAGCTGAACTATGAAAGCAAGGTTCAACTCTGTGAGTTGAATGCAAACATCACAAAGAAGTTTCTCAGATGCTTCCGTGTAGTTCTGGGAAGTTTATCCCGTTTCCAACGAAATCCTCAGAGAAGTCCAAATATCCACTTGCAGATTCTACAGAAAGTGGGTTTGGAAACTGCTCCATCTAAAGGAATGTTCAGCTCTGTTAGTTCAATCCAATGATCACTAAGAATTGTCTGTGAATGCTTCCGTTTGGTTTTTAGATGAAGTTATTTCCTTTACTACAGTAGGCCTCAAAGCAGTCCAAATCTCCAATCGCAGATTCTACAAAAAGATTGTTTACAACCTGCTCTATCTATAGGAATGTTCAACTCTGTGAGTCGAATGCAATCATCACAAAGTAGTTTCTGAGAATGCTTCCATCTAGTTTTTATGTGAAGATTCTCCTTTTCCACCACAGGCCTCAAAGCCCTCCAAATGTCCACTTGCAGATTCTAGAATAAGAGGGTTTCAGAGCTGCTCTGTCAAGAGGAAAGTTCAATTCCTGAAGTGGAACACAAACATCACAAAGCAGTTTCTGAGAATGCTTCTGTTTAGTTTTTCTGTGAAGATGAACCCGTTTCCAACGAAATCTTCACAGAGGTCCACATATCCACTTGCAGAATCCAAAGAAAGAGAGTTTCAAAACTGCTCCATCAGCAGGATTGTTCACCTCTGTGAGTTGAATGCAGTCATCACAGGAAACATTCTGAGAATGCTTCTGTCTAGGTTTGATGTGAAGATATACCCGTTCGAAGGAAGGCCACAAAGTGGTCCAAATATCCACTTGCAGATTCTACAAAAAGAGTGTTTGAAAGCTGAACTATGAAAGCAAGGTTCAACTCTGTGAGTTGAATGCAAACATCACAAAGAAGTTTCTCACAATGCTTCCGTGTAGTTCTGGGAAGTTTATCCCGTTTCCAACGAAATCCTCAGAGAGGTCCAAATATCCACTTGCAGATTCTACAGAAAGTGTGTTTGGAAACTGCGCCATCTAAAGGAATGTTCAGCTCTGTTAGTTCAATGCAATGATCACTAAGAATTGTCTGTGAATGCTTCCGTTTGGTTTTTAGATGAAGTTATTTCCTTTACTACAGTAGGCCTCAAAGCAGTCCAAATCTCCAATCGCATATTCTACAAAAAGATTGTTTACATCCGGCTCTATCTATAGGAATGTTCAACCCTGTGAGTCGAATGCAGTCATCACAAAGTAGTTTCTGAGAATGCTTCCATCTAGTTTTTATGTGAAGATTTTCCTTTTCCACCACAGGCCTCAAAGCCCTCCAAATGTCCACTTGCAGATCCTAGAAAAAGAGGGTTTCAGAGCTGCTCTATCAAGAGGAAAGTTCAATTCCTGAAGTGGAACACAAACATCACAAAGCAGTTTCTGAGAATGCTTCTGTTTAGTTTTTCTGTGAAGATGAACCCGTTTCCAACGAAATCTTCACAGAGGTCCACATATCCACTTGCAGAATCCAAAGAAAGAGAGTTTCAAAACTGCTCCATCAGCAGGATTGTTCACCTCTGTGAGTTGAATGCAGTCATCACAGGAAACAATCTGAGAATGCTTCTGTCTAGGTTTGATGTGAAGATATACCCGTTTCGAAGGAAGGCCACAAAGTGGTCCAAATATCCACTTGCAGATTCCACAAAAAGAGTGTTTGAAAGCTGAACTATGAAAGCAAGGTTCAACTCTGTGAGTTGAATGCAAACATCACAAAGAAGTTTCTCACAATGCTTCCGTGTAGTTCTGGGAAGTTTATCCCGTTTCCAACGAAATCCTCAGAGAAGTCCAAATATCCACTTGCAGATTCTACAGAAATTGTGTTTGGAAACTGCGCCATCTAAAGGAATGTTCAGCTCTGTTAGTTCAATCCAATGATCACTAAGAATTGTCTGTGAATGCTTCCCGTTTGGTTTTTAGATGAAGTTATTTCCTTTACTACAGTAGGCCTCAAAGCAGTCGAAATCTCCAATCGCAGATTCTACAAAAAGATTGTTTACAACCTGCTCTATCTATAGGAATGTTCAACTCTGTGAGTCGAATGCAATCATCACAAAGTAGTTTGTGAGAATGCTTCCATCTAGTTTTTATGTGAAGATTTTCCTTTTCCACCGCAGGCCTCAAAGCCCTCCAAATGTCCACTTGCAGATTCTAGAATAAGAGGGTTTCAGAGCTGCTCTGTCAAGAGGAAAGTTCAATTCCTGAAGTGGAACACAAACATCACAAAGCAGTTTCTGAGAATGCTTCTGTTTAGTTTTTCTGTGAAGATGAACCCGTTTCCAACGAAATCTTCACAGAGGTCCACATATCCACTTGCAGAATCCAAAGAAAGAGAGTTTCAAAACTGCTCCATCAGCAGGATTGTTCACCTCTGTGAGTTGAATGCAGTCATCACAGGAAACATTCTGAGAATGCTTCTGTCTAGGTTTGATGTGAAGATATACCCGTTTCGAAGGAAGGCCACAAAGTGGTCCAAATATCCACTTGCAGATTCTACAAAAAGAGTGTTTGAAAGCTGAACTATGAAAGCAAGGTTCAACTCTGTGAGTTGAATGCAAACATGACAAAGAAGTTTCTCAGAATGCTTCCGTGTAGTTCTGGGAATTTTATCCCGTTTCCAACGAAATCCTCAGAGAAGTCCAAATATCCACTTGCAGATTCTACAGAAAGTGTGTTTGGAAACTGCTCCATCTAAAGGAATGTTCAGCTCTGTTAGTTCAATCCAATGATCACTAAGAATTGTCTGTGAATGCTTCCGTTTGGTTTTTAGATGAAGTTATTTCCTTTACTACAGTAGGCCTCAAAGCAGTCCAAATCTCCAATCGCAGATTCTACAAAAAGATTGTTTACAACCTGCTCTATCTATAGGAATGTTCAAACCTGTGAGTCGAATGCAATCATCACAAAGTAGTTTCTGAGAATGCTTCCATCTAGTTTTTATGTGAAGATTTTCCTTTTCCACCACAGGCCTCAAAGCCATCCAAATGTCCACTTGCAGATTCTAGAAAAAGAGGGTTTCAGAGCTGCTCTGTCAAGAGGAAAGTTCAATTCTTGAAGTGGAACACAAACATCACAAAGCAGTTTCTGAGAATGCTTCTGTTTAGTTTTTCTGTGAAGATGAACCCGTTTCCAACGAAATCTTCACAGAGGTCCACATATCAACTTGCAGAATCCAAAGAAAGAGAGTTTCAAAACTGCTCCATCAACAGGATTGTTCACCTCTGTGAGTTGAATGCAGTCATCACAGGAAACATTCTGAGAATGCTTCTGTCTAGGTTTGATGTGAAGATATACCCGTTTCGAAGGAAGGCCACAAAGTGGTCCAAATATCCACTTGCAGATTCTACAAAAAGAGTGTTTGAAAGCTGAACTATGAAAGCAAGGTTCAACTCTGTGAGTTGAATGCAAACATCACAAAGAAGTTTCTCAGCATGCTTCCGTGTAGTTCTGGGAAGTTTATCCCGTTTCCAACGAAATCCTCAGAGAGGTCCATATATCCACTTGCAGATTCTACAGAAAGTGTGTTTGGAAACTGCGCCATCTAAAGCAATGTTCAGCTCTGTTAGTTCAATGCAATGATCACTAAGAATTGTCTGTGAATGCTTCCGTTTGGTTTTTAGATGAAGTTATTTCCTTTACTACAGTAGGCCTCAAAGCAGTCCAAATCTCCAATCGCAGATTCTACAAAAAGATTGTTTACAACCTGCTCTATCTATAGGAATGTTCAACTCTGTGAGTCGAATGCAATCATCACAAAGTAGTTTCTGAGAATGCTTCCATCTAGTTTTTATGTGAAGATTTTCCTTTTCAACCACAGGCCTCAAAGCCCTCCAAATGTCCACTTGCAGATTCTAGAAAAAGAGGGTTTCAGAGCTGCTCTGTCAAGAGGAAAGTTCAATTCTTGAAGTGGAACACAAACATCACAAAGCAGTTTCTGAGAATGCTTCTGTTTAGTTTTTCTGTGAAGATGAACCCGTTTCCAACGAAATCTTCACAGAGGTCCACATATCCACTTGCAGAATCCAAAGAAAGAGAGTTTCAAAACTGCTCCATCAGCAGGATTGTTCACCTCTGTGAGTTGAATGCAGTCATCACAGGAAACATTCTGAGAATGCTTCTGTCTAGGTTTGATGTGAAGATATACCCTTTTCGAAGGAAGGCCACAAAGTGGTCCAAATATCCACTTGCAGATTCTACAAAAAGAGTGTTTGAAAGCTGAACTATGAAAGCAAGGTTCAACTCTGTGAGTTGAATGCAAACATCACAAAGAAGTTTCTCACAATGCTTCCGTGTAGTTCTGGGAAGTTTATCCCGTTTCCAACGAAATCCTCAGAGAAGTCCAAATATCCACTTGCAGATTCTACAGAAAGTGTGTTTGGAAACTGCTCCATCTAAAGGAATGTTCAGCTCTGTTAGTTCAATCCAATGATCACTAAGAATTGTCTGTGAATGCTTCCGTTTGGTTTTTAGATGAAGTTATTTCCTTTACTACAGTAGGCCTCAAAGCAGTCCAAATCTCCAATCGCAGATTCTACAAAAAGATTGTTTACAACCTGCTCTATCTATAGGAATGTTCAACTCTGTGAGTCGAATGCAATCATCACAAAGTAGTTTCTGAGAATGCTTCCATCTAGTTTTTATGTGAAGATTTTCCTTTTCCACCACAGGCCTCAAAGCCCTCCAAATGTCCACTTGCAGATTCTAGAATAAGAGGGTTTCAGAGCTGCTCTGTCAAGAGGAAAGTTCAATTCTTGAAGTGGAACACAAACATAACAAAGCAGTTTCTGAGAATGCTCCTGTTTAGTTTTTCTGTGAAGATGAACCCGTTTCCAACGAAATCTTCACAGAGGTCCACATATCCACTTGCAGAATCCAAAGAAAGAGAGTTTCAAAACTGCTCCATCAGAAGGATTGTTCACCTCTATGAGTTGAATGCAGTCATCACAGGAAACATTCTGAGAATGCTTCTGTCTAGGTTTGATGTGAAGATATACCCGTTTCGAAGGAAGGCCACAAAGTGGTCCAAATATCCACTTGCAGATTCTACAAAAAGAGTGTTTGAAAGCTGAACTATGAAAGCAAGGTTCAACTCTGTGAGTTGAATGCAAACATCACAAAGAAGTTTCTCAGCATGCTTCCGTGTAGTTCTGGGAAGTTTATCCCGTTTCCAACGAAATCCTCAGAGAAGTCCAAATATCCACTTGCAGATTCTACAGAAAGTGGGTTTGGAAACTGCTCCATCTAAAGGAATGTTCAGCTCTGTTAGTTCAATCCAATGATCACTAAGAATTGTCTGTGAATGCTTCCGTTTGGTTTTTAGATGAAGTTATTTCCTTTACTACAGTAGGCCTCAAAGCAGTCCAAATCTCCAATCGCAGATTCTACAAAAAGATTGTGTACAACCTGCTCTATCTATAGGAATGTTCAACTCTGTGAGTCGAATGCAATCATCAAAAAGTAGTTTCTGAGAATGCTTCCATCTAGTTTTTATGTGAAGATTTTCCTTTTCCACCACAGGCCTCAAAGCCCTCCAAATGTCCACTTGCAGATTCTAGAAAAAGAGGGTTTCAGAGCTGCTCTGTCAAGAGGAAAGTTCAATTCCTGAAGTGGAACACAAACATCACAAAGCAATTTCTGAGAATGCTTCTGTTTAGTTTTTCTGTGAAGATGAACCCGTTTCCAACGAAATCTTCACAGAGGTCCACATATCCACTTGCAGAATCCAAAGAAAGAGAGTTTCAAAACTGCTCCATCAGCAGGATTGTTCACCTCTGTGAGTTGAATGCAGTCATCACAGGAAACATTCTGAGAATGCTTCTGTCTAGGTTTGATGTGAAGATATACCCGTTTCGAAGGAAGGCCACAAAGTGGTCCAAATATCCACTTGCAGATTCTACAAAAAGAGTGTTTGAAAGCTGAACTATGAAAGCAAGGTTCAACTCTGTGAGTTGAATGCAAACATCACAAAGAAGTTTCTCACAATGCTTCCGTGTAGTTCTGGGAAGTTTATCCCGTTTCCAACGAAATCCTCAGAGAAGTCCAAATATCCACTTGCAGATTCTACAGAAAGTGGGTTTGGAAACTGCTCCATCTAAAGGAATGTTCAGCTCTGTTAGTTCAATCCAATGATCACTAAGAATTGTCTGTGAATGCTTCCGTTTGGTTTTTAGATGAAGTTATTTCCTTTACTACAGTAGGCCTCAAAGCAGTCCAAATCTCCAATCGCAGATTCTACAAAAAGATTGTTTACAACCTGCTCTATCTATAGGAATGTTCAACTCTGTGAGTCGAATGCAATCATCACAAAGTAGTTTCTGAGAATACTTCCATCTAGTTTTCATGTGAAGATTTTCCTTTTCCACCACAGGCCTCAAAGCCCTCCAAATGTCCACTTGCAGATTCTAGAAAAAGAGGGTTTCAGAGCTGCTCTGTCAAGAGGAAAGTTCAATTCTTGAAGTGGAACACAAACATGACAATGCAGTTTCTGAGAATGCTTCTGTTTAGTTTTTCTGTGAAGATGAACCCGTTTCCAACGAAATCTTCACAGAGGTCCACATATCCACTTGCAGAATCCAAAGAAAGAGAGTTTCAAAACTGCTCCATCAACAGGATTGTTCACCTCTGTGAGTTGAATGCAGTCATCACAGGAAACATTCTGAGAATGCTTCTGTCTAGGTTTGATGTGAAGATATACCCGTTTCGAAGGAAGGCCACAAAGTGGTCCAAATATCCACTTGCAGATTCTACAAAAAGAGTGTTTGAAAGCTGAACTATGAAAGCAAGGTTCAACTCTGTGAGTTGAATGCAAACATCACAAAGAGGTTTCTCACAATGCTTCCGTGTAGTTCTGGGAAGTTTATCCCGTTTCCAACGAAATCCTCAGAGGTCCAAATATCCACTTGCAGATTCTACAGAAAGTGTGTTTGGAAACTGCTCCATCTAAAGGAATGTTCAGCTCTGTTAGTTCAATGCAATGATCACTAAGAATTGTCTGTGAATGCTTCCGTTTGGTTTTTAGATGAAGTTATTTCCTTTACTACAGTAGGCCTCAAAGCAGTCCAAATCTCCAATCGCAGATTCTACAAAAAGATTGTTTACAACCTGCTCTATCTATAGGAATGTTCAACTCTGTGAGTCGAATGCAATCATGACAAAGGAGTTTGTGAGAATGTTTCCATCTAGTTTTTATGTGAAGATTTTCCTTTTCCACCACAGGCCTCAAAGCCCTCCAAATGTCCACTTGCAGATTCTAGAATAAGAGGGTTTCAGAGCTGCTCTGTCAAGAGGAAAGTTCAATTCTTGAAGTGGAACACAAACATCACAAAGCAGTTTCTGAGAATGCTTCTGTTTAGTTTTTCTGTGAAGATGAACCCGTTTCCAACGAAATCTTCACAGAGGTCCACATATCCACTTGCAGAATCCAAAGAAAGAGAGTTTCAAAACTGCTCCATCAGCAGGATTGTTCACCTCTGTGAGTTGAATGCAGTCATCACAGGAAACATTCTGAGAATGCTTCTGTCTAGGTTTGATTTGAAGATATACCCGTTTCGAAGGAAGGCCACAATGTGGTCCAAATATCCACTTGCAGATTCTACAAAAAGAGTGTTTGAAAGCTGAACTATGAAAGCAAGGTTCAACTCTGTGAGTTGAATGCAAACATCACAAAGAAGTTTCTCAGAATGCTTCCGTGTAGTTCTGGGAAGTTTATCCCGTTTCCAACGAAATCCTCAGAGAAGTCCAAATATCCACTTGCAGATTCTACAGAAAGTGTGTTTGGAAACTGCGCCATCTAAAGGAATGTTCAGCTCTGTTAGTTCAATGCAATGATCACTAAGAATTGTCTGTGAATGCTTCCGTTTGGTTTTTAGATGAAGTTATTTCCTTTACTACAGTAGGCCTCAAAGCAGTCCAAATCTCCAATCGCAGATTCTACAAAAAGATTGTTTACAACCTGCTCTATCTATAGGAATGTTCAACTCTGTGAGTCGAATGCAATCATCACAAAGTAGTTTCTGAGAATGCTTCCATCTAGTTTTTATGTGAAGATTTTCCTTTTCCACCACAGGCCTCAAAGCCCTCCAAATGTCCACTTGCAGATTCTAGAATAAGAGGGTTTCAGAGCTGCTCTGTCAAGAGGAAAGTTCAATTCCTGAAGTGGAACACAAACATCACAAAGCAGTTTCTGAGAATGCTTCTGTTTAGTTTTTCTGTGAAGATGAACCCGTTTCCAACGAAATCTTCACAGCGGTCCACATATCAACTTGCAGAATCCAAAGAAAGAGAGTTTCAAAAGTGCTCCATCAACAGGATTGTTCACCTCTGTGAGTTGAATGCAGTCATCACAGGAAACATTCTGAGAATGCTTCTGTCTAGGTTTGATGTGAAGATATACCCGTTTCGAAGGAAGGCCACAAAGTGCTCCAAATATCCACTTGCAGATTCTACAAAAAGAGTGTTTGAAAGCTGAACTATGAAAGCAAGTTTCAACTCTGTGAGTTGAATGCAAACATCACAAAGAAGTTTCTCAGCATGCTTCCGTGTAGTTCTGGGAAGTTTATCCCGTTTCCAACGAAATCCTCAGAGAGGTCCAAATATCCACTTGCAGATTCTACAGAAAGTGTGTTTGGAAACTGCTCCATCTAAAGGAATGTTCAGCTCTGTTAGTTCAATCCAATGATCACTAAGAATTGTCTGTGAATGCTTCCGTTTGGTTTTTAGATGAAGTTATTTCCTTTACTACAGTAGGCCTCAAAGCAGTCCAAATCTCCAATCGCAGATTCTACAAAAAGATTGTTTACAACCTGCTCTATCTATAGGAATGTTCAACTCTGTGAGTCGAAAGCCATCATCACAAAGTAGTTTCTGAGAATGCTTCCATCTAGTTTTTATGTGAAGATTTTCCTTTACCACCACAGGCCTCAAAGCCCTCCAAATGTCCACTTGCAGATTCTAGAAAAAGAGGGTTTCAGAGCTGCTCTGTCAAGAGGAAAGTTCAATTCTTGAAGTGGAACACAAACATCACAAAGCAGTTTCTGACAATGCTCCTGTTTAGTTTTTCTGTGAAGATGAACCCGTTTCCAACGAAATCTTCACAGAGGTCCACATATCCACTTGCAGAATCCAAAGAAAGAGAGTTTCAAAACTGCTCCATCAGCAGGATTGTTCACCTCTGTGAGTTGAATGCAGTCATCACAGGAAACATTCTGAGAATGCTTCTGTCTAGGTTTGATGTGAAGATATACCCGTTTCGAAGGAAGGCCACAAAGTGGTCCAAATATCCACTTGCAGATTCTACAAAAAGAGTGTTTGAAAGCTGAACTATGAAAGCAAGGTTCAACTCTGTGAGTTGAATGCAAACATCACAAAGAAGTTTCTCAGAATGCTTCCGTGTAGTTCTGGTAAATTTAGCCCCTTTCCAGCGAAATCCTCAGAGAGGTCCAAATATACACTTGCAGATTCTACAGAAAGTGTGTTTCGAAACTGCTCCATCTAAAGGACTGTTCAGCTCTGTTAGTTCAATCCAATGATCACTAAGAATTGTCTGTGAATGCTTCCGTTTGGTTTTTAGATGAAGTTATTTCCTTTACTACAGTAGGCCTCAAAGCAGTCCAAATCTCCAATCGCAGATTCTACAAAAAGATTGTTTACAACCTGCTCTATCTGTAGGAATGTTCAACTCTGTGAGTCGAATGCAATCATCACAAAGGAGTTTCTGAGAATGCTTCCATCTATTTTTTATGTGAAGATTTTCCTTTTCCACCACAGGCCTCAAAGCCCTCCAAATGTCCACTTGCAGATTCTAGAAAAAGAGGGTTTCAGAGCTGCTCTGTCAAGAGGAAAGTTCAATTCTTGAAGTGGAACACAAACATCACAAAGCAGTTTCTGAGAATGCTTCTGTTTAGTTTTTCTGTGAAGATGAACCCGTTTCCAACGAAATCTTCACAGAGGTCCACATATCAACTTGCAGAATCCAAAGAAAGAGAGTTTCAAAACTGCTCCATCAACAGGATTGTTCACCTCTGTGAGTTGAATGCAGTCATCACAGGAAACATTCTGAGAATGCTTCTGTCTAGGTTTGATGTGAAGATATACCCCTTTCGAAGGAAGGCCACAAAGTGGTCCAAATATCCACTTGCAGATTCTACAAAAAGAGTGTTTGAAAGCTGAACTATGAAAGCAAGGTTCAACTCTGTGAGTTGAATGCAAACATCACAAAGAAGTTTCTCAGAATGCTTCCGTGTAGTTCTGGGAAGTTTATCCCGTTTCCAACGAAATCCTCAGAGAGGTCC
Organism: Homo sapiens; assembly: GCF_000001405.40. Classification (NCBI taxonomy): domain Eukaryota; kingdom Metazoa; phylum Chordata; class Mammalia; order Primates; family Hominidae; genus Homo; species Homo sapiens. The sequence continues at coordinate 52,942,649 of NC_000011.10, read as the reverse complement.
AAATATCCACTTGCAGATTCTACAGAAAGTGTGTTTGGAAACTGCGCCATCTACAGGAATGTTCAGCTCTGTTAGTTCAATCCAATGATCACTAAGAATTGTCTGTGAATGCTTCCGTTTGGTTTTTAGATGAAGTTATTTCCTTTACTACAGTAGGCCTCAAAGCAGTCCAAATCTCCAATCGCAGATTCTACAAAAAGATTGTTTACAACCTGCTCTATCTATAGGAATGTTCAACTCTGTGAGTCGAATGCAATCATCACAAAGTAGTTTCTGAGAATGCTTCCATCTAGTTTTTATGTGAAGATTTTCCTTTTCCACCACAGGCCTCAAAGCCCTCCAAATGTCCACTTGCAGATTCTAGAAAAAGAGGGTTTCAGAGCTGCTCTGTCAAGAGGAAAGTTCAATTCCTGAAGTGGAACACAAACATCACAAAGCAGTTTCTGAGAATGCTGTCTGTTTAGTTTTTCTGTGAAGATGAACCCGTTTCCAACGAAATCTTCACAGAGGTCCACATATCCACTTGCAGAATCCAAAGAAAGAGAGTTTCAAAACTGCTCCATCAACAGGATTGTTCACCTCTGAGAGTTGAATGCAGTCATCACAGGAAACATTCTGAGAATGCTTCTGTCTAGGTTTGATGTGAAGATATACCCGTTTCGAAGGAAGGCCACAAAGTGGTCCAAATATCCACTTGCAGATTCTACAAAAAGAGTGTTTGAAAGCTGAACTATGAAAGCAAGGTTCAACTCTGTGAGTTGAATGCAAACATCACAAAGAAGTTTCTCAGAATGCTTCCGTGTAGTTCTGGGAAGTTTATCCCGTTTCCAACGAAATCCTCAGAGAAGTCCAAATATCCACTTGCAGATTCTACAGAAAGTGTGTTTGGAAACTGCTCCATCTAAAGGAATGTTCAGCTCTGTTAGTTCAATCCAATGATCACTAAGAATTTTCTGTGAATGCTTCCGTTTGGTTTTTAGATGAAGTTATTTCCTTTACTACAGTAGGCCTCAAAGCAGTCCAAATCTCCAATCGCAGATTCTACAAAAAGATTGTTTACAACCTGCTCTATCTATAGGAATGTTCAACTCTGTGAGTCGAATGCAATCATCACAAAGTAGTTTCTGAGAATGCTTCCATCTAGTTTTTATGTGAAGATTTTCCTTTTCCACCACAGGCCTCAAAGCCCTCCAAATGTCCACTTGCAGATTCTAGAATAAGAGGGTTTCAGAGCTGCTCTGTCAAGAGGAAAGTTCAATTCCTGAAGTGGAACACAAACATCACAAAGCAGTTTCTGAGAATGCTCCTGTTTAGTTTTTCTGTGAAGATGAACCCGTTTCCAACGAAATCTTCACAGAGGTCCACATATCCACTTGCAGAATCCAAAGAAAGAGAGTTTCAAAACTGCTCCATCAGCAGGATTGTTCACCTCTGTGAGTTGAATGCAGTCATCACAGGAAACATTCTGAGAATGCTTCTGTCTAGGTTTGATGTGAAGATATACCCGTTTCGAAGGAAGGCCACAAAGTGGTCCAAATATCCACTTGCAGATTCTACAAAAAGAGTGTTTGAAAGCTGAACTATGAAAGCAAGGTTCAACTCTGTGAGTTGAATGCAAACATCACAAAGAAGTTTCTCAGAATGCTTCCGTGTAGTTCTGGGAAGTTTATCCCGTTTCCAACGAAATCCTCAGAGAGGTCCAAATATCCACTTGCAGATTCTACAGAAAGTGTGTTTGGAAACTACGCCATCTAAAGGAATGTTCAGCTCTGTTAGATCAATGCAATGATCACTAAGAATTGTCTGTGAATGCTTCCGTTTGGTTTTTAGATGAAGTTATTTCCTTTACTACAGTAGGCCTCAAAGCAGTCCAAATCTCCAATCGCAGATTCTACAAAAAGATTGTTTACAACCTGCTCTATCTATAGGAATGTTCAACTCTGTGAGTCGAATGCAATCATCACAAAGTAGTTTCTGAGAATGCTTCCATCTAGTTTTTATGTGAAGATTTTCCTTTTCCACCACAGGCCTCAAAGCCCTCCAAATGTCCACTTGCAGATTCTAGAATAAGAGGGTTTCAGAGCTGCTCTGTCAAGAGGAAAGTTCAATTCCTGAAGTGGAACACAAACATCACAAAGCAGTTTCTGAGAATGTTTCTGTTTAGTTTTTCTGTGAAGATGAACCCGTTTCCAACGAAATCTTCACAGAGGTCCACATATCCACTTGCAGAATCCAAAGAAAGAGAGTTTCAAAACTGCTCCATCAGCAGGACTGTTCACCTCTGTGAGTTGAATGCAGTCATCACAGGAAACATTCTGAGAATGCTTCTGTCTAGGTTTGATGTGAAGATATACCCGTTTCGAAGGAAAGGCCACAAAGTGGTCCAAATATCCACTTGCAGATTCTACAAAAAGAGGGTTTGAAAGCTGAACTATGAAAGCAAGGTTCAACTCTGTGAGTTGAATGCAAACATCACAAAGAAGTTTCTCAGAATGCTTCCGTGTAGTTCTGGGAAGTTTATCCCTTTTCCAACGAAATCCTCAGAGAGGTCCCAATATCCACTTGCAGATTCTATAGAAAGTGTGTTTGGAAACTGCGCCATCTAAAGGAATGCTCAGCTCTGTTAGTTCAATGCAATGATCACTAAGAATTGTCTGTGAATGCTTCCGTTTGGTTTTTAGATGAAGTTATTTCCTTTACTACAGTAGGCCTCAAAGCAGTCCAAATCTCCAATCGCAGATTCTACAAAAAGATTGTTTACAACCTGCTCTATCTATAGGAATGTTCAACTCTGTGAGTCGAATGCAATCATCACAAAGTAGTTTCTGAGAATGCTTCCATAAAGTTTTTATGTGAAGATTTTCCTTTTCCACCACAGGCCTCAAAGCCCTCCAAATGTCCGCTTGCAGATTCTAGAAAAAGAGGGTTTCAGAGCTGCTCTGTCAAGAGGAAAGTTCAACTCTTGAAGTGGAACACAAACATGATAATGCAGTTTCTGAGAATGCTTCTGTTTAGTTTTTCTGTGAAGATGAACCCGTTTCCAAAGAAATCTTCACAGAGGTCCACATATCCACTTGCAGAATCCAAAGAAAGAGAGTTTCAAAACTGCTCCATCAGCAGGATTGTTCACCTCTGTGAGTTGAATGCAGTCATCACAGGAAACATTCTGAGAATGCTTCTGTCTAGGTTTGATGTGAAGATATACCCGTTTCGAAGGAAGGCCACAAAGTGGTCCAAATATCCACTTGCAGATTCTACAAAAAGAGTGTTTGAAAGCTGAACTATGAAAGCAAGGTTCAACTCTGTGAGTTGAATGCAAACATCACAAAGAAGTTTCTCAGCATGCTTCCGTGTAGTTCTGGGAAGTTTATCCCGTTTCCAACGAAATCCTCAGAGAGGTCCAAATATCCACTTGCAGATTCTACAGAAAGTGTGTTTGGAATCTGCTCCATCTAAAGGAATGTTCAGCTCTGTTAGTTCAATCCAATGATCACTAAGAATTGTCTGTGAATGCTTCCGTTTGGTTTTTAGATGAAGTTATTTCCTTTACTACAGTAGGCCTCAAAGCAGTCCAAATCTCCAATCGCAGATTCTACAAAAAGATTGTTTTCAACCTGCTCTATCTATAGGAATGTTCAACTCTGTGAGTCGAATGCAATCATCACAAAGTAGTTTCTGAGAATGCTTCCATCTAGTTTTTATGTGAAGATTTTCCTTTTCCACCACAGGCCTCAAAGCCCTCCAAATGTCCACTTGCAGATTCTAGAAAAAGAGGGTTTCAGAGCTGCTCTGTCAAGAGGAAAGTTCAATTCTTGAAGTGGAACACAAACATCACAAAGCAGTTTCTGAGAATGCTTCTGTTTAGTTTTTCTGTGAAGATGAACCCGTTTCCAACGAAATCTTCACAGAGGTCCACATATCCACTTGCAGAATCCAAAGAAAGAGAGTTTCAAAACTGCTCCATCAACAGGATTGTTCACCTCTGTGAGTTGAATGCAGTCATCACAGGAAACATTCTGAGAATGCTTCTGTCTACGTTTGATGTGAAGATATACCCGTTTCGAAGGAAGGCCACAAAGTGGTCCAAATATCCACTTGCAGATTCTACAAAAAGAGTGTTTGAAAGCTGAACTATGAAAGCAAGGTTCAACTCTGTGAGTTGAATGCAAACATCACAAAGAAGTTTCTCAGAATGCTTCCGTGTAGTTCTGGGAAGTTTATCCCGTTTCCAACGAAATCCTCAGAGAAGTCCAAATATCCACTTGCAGATTCTACAGAAAGTGGGTTTGGAAACTGCTCCATCTAAAGGAATGTTCAGCTCTGTTAGTTCAATCCAATGATCACTAAGAATTGTCTGTGAATGCTTCCGTTTGGTTTTTAGATGAAGTTATTTCCTTTACTACAGTAGGCCTCAAAGCAGTCCAAATCTCCAATCGCAGATTCTACAAAAACATTGTTTACAACCTGCTCTATCTATAGGAATGTTCAACTCTGTGAGTCGAATGCAATCATCACAAAGTAGTTTCTGAGAATGCTTCCATCTAGTTTTTATGGGAAGATTTTCCTTTTCCACCACAGGCCTCAAAGCCCTCCAAATGTCCACTTGCAGATTCTAGAAAAAGAGGGTTTCAGAGCTGCTCTGTCAAGAGGAAAGTTCAATTCTTGAAGTGGAACACAAACATCACAAAGCAGTTTCTGAGAATGCTCCTGTTTAGTTTTTCTGTGAAGATGAACACGTTTCCAACGAAATCTTCACAGAGGTACACATATCCACTTGCAGAATCCAAAGAAAGAGAGTTTCAAAACTGCTCCATCAGCAGGATTGTTCACCTCTGTGAGTTGAATGCAGTCATCACAGGAAACATTCTGAGAATGCTTCTGTCTAGGTTTGATGTGAAGATATACCCGTTTCGAAGGAAGGCCACAAAGTGGTCCAAATATCCACTTGCAGATTCTACAAAAAGAGTGTTTGAAAGCTGAACTATGAAAGCAAGGTTCAACTCTGTGAGTTGAATGCAAACATCACAAAGAAGTTTCTCACAATGCTTCCGTGTAGTTCTGGGAAGTTTATCCCGTTTCCAACGAAATCCTCAGAGAAGTCCAAATATCCACTTGCAGATTCTACAGAAAGTGGGTTTGGAAACTGCTCCATCTAAAGGAATGTTCCGCTCTGTTAGTTCAATCCAATGATCACTAAGAATTGTCTGTAAATGCTTCCGTTTGGTTTTTAGATGAAGTTATTTCCTTTACTACAGTAGGCCTCAAAGCAGTCCAAATCTCCAATCGCAGATTCTACAAAAAGATTGTTTACAACCTGCTCTATCTATAGGAATGTTCAACTCTGTGACTCGAATGCAATCATCACAAAGTAGTTTCTGAGAATGCTTCCATCTAGTTTTTATGTGAAGATTTTCCTTTTCCACCACAGGCCTCAAAGCCCTCCAAATGTCCACTTGCAGATTCTAGAATAAGAGGGTTTCAGAGCTGCTCTGTCAAGAGGAAAGTTCAATTCCTGAAGTCGAACACAGACATCACACAGCAGTTTCTGAGAATGCTTCTGTTTAGTTTTTCTGTGAAGATGAACCCGTTTCCAACGAAATCTTCACAGAGGTCCACATATCCACTTGCAGAATCCAAAGAAAGAGAATTTCAAAACTGCTCCATCAGCAGGATTGTTCACCTCTGTGAGTTGAATGCAGTCATCACAGGAAACATTCTGAGAATGCTTCTGTCTAGGTTTGATGTGAAGATATACCCGTTTCGAAGGAAGGCCACAAAGTGGTCCAAATATCCACTTGCAGATTCTACAAAAAGAGTGTTTGAAAGCTGAACTATGAAAGCAAGGTTCAACTCTGTGAGTTGAATGCAAACATCACAAAGTAGTTTCTCAGAATGCATCCGTGTAGTTCTGGGAAGTTTATCCCGTTTCCAACGAAATCCTCAGAGAGGTCCAAATATCCACTTGCAGATTCTACAGAAAGTGTGTTTGGAAACTGCTCCATCTAAAGGAATGTTCAGCTCTGTTAGTTCAATCCAATGATCACTAAGAATTGTCTGTGAATGCTTCCGTTTGGTTTTTAGATGAAGTTATTTCCTTTACTACAGTAGGCCTCAAAGCAGTCCAAATCTCCAATCGCAGATTCTACAAAAAGATTGTTTACAACCTGCTCTATCTATAGGAATGTTCAACTCTGTGAGTCGAATGCAATCATCACAAAGTAGTTTCTGAGAATGCTTCCATCTAGTTTTTATGGGAAGATTTTCCTTTTCCACCACAGGCCTCAAAGCCCTCCAAATGTCCACTTGCAGATTCTAGAAAAAGAGGGTTTCAGAGCTGCTCTGTCAAGAGGAAAGTTCAATTCTTGAAGTGGAACACAAACATCACAAAGCAGTTTCTGAGAATGCTCCTGTTTATTTTTTCTGTGAAGATGAACCCGTTTCCAACGAAATCTTCACAGAGGTCCACATATCCACTTGCAGAATCCAAAGAAAGAGAGTTTCAAAACTGCTCCATCAGCAGGATTTTTCACCTCTGTGAGTTGAATGCAGTCATCACAGGAAACATTCTGAGAATGCTTCTGTCTAGGTTTGATGTGAAGATATACCCGTTTCGAAGGAAGGCCACAAAGTGGTCCAAATATCCACTTGCAGATTCTACAAAAAGAGTGTTTGAAAGCTGAACTATGAAAGCAAGGTTCAACTCTGTGAGTTGAATGCAAACATCACAAAGAAGTTTCTCACAATGCTCCGTGTAGTTCTGGGAAGTTTATCCCGTTTCCAACGAAATCCTCAGAGAAGTCCCAATATCCACTTGCAGATTCTACAGAAAGTGTGTTTGGAAACTGCTCCATCTAAAGGAATGTTCAGCTCTGTTAGTTCAATCCAATGATCACTAAGAATTGTCTGTGAATGCTCTCCGTTTGGTTTTTAGATGAAGTTATTTCCTTTACTACAGTAGGCCTCAAAGCAGTCCAAATCTCCAATCGCAGATTCTACAAAAAGATTGTTTACAACCTGCTCTATCTATAGGAATGTTCAACTCTGTGAGTCGAATGCAATCATCACAAAGTAGTTTCTGAGAATGCTTCCATCTAGTTTTTATGTGAAGATTTTCCTTTTCCACCACAGGCCTCAAAGCCCTCCAAATGTCCACTTGCAGATTCTAGAAAAAGAGGGTTTCAGAGCTGCTCTGTCAAGAGGAAAGTTCAATTCTTGAAGTGGAACACAAACATCACAAAGTAGTTTCTGAGAATGCTTCTGTTTAGTTTTTCTGTGAAGATGAACCCGTTTCCAACGAAATCTTCACAGAGGTCCACATATCCACTTGCAGAATCCAAAGAAAGAGAGTTTCAAAACTGCTCCATCAGCAGGATTGTTCACCTCTGTGAGTTGAATGCAGTCATCACAGGAAACATTCTGAGAATGCTTCTGTCTAGGTTTGATGTGAAGATATACCCGTTTCGAAGGAAGGCCAGAAAGTGGTCCAAATATCCACTTGCAGATTCTACAAAAAGAGTGTTTGAAAGCTGAACTATGAAAGCAAGGTTCAACTCTGTGAGTTGAATGCAAACATCACAAAGAAGTTTCTCAGAATGCTTCCGTGTAGTTCTGGGAAGTTTATCCCGTTTCCAACGAAATCCTCAGAGAAGTCCAAATATCCACTTGCAGATTCTACAGAAAGTGTGTTTGGAAACTGCGCTATCTAAAGGAATGTTCAGCTCTGTTAGTTCAATGCAATGATCACTAAGAATGATCTGTGAATGCTTCCGTTTGGTTTTTAGATGAAGTTATTTCCTTTACTACAGTAGGCCTCAAAGCAGTCCAAATCTCCAATCGCAGATTCTACAAAAAGATTGTTTACAACCTGCTCTATCTATAGGAATGTTCAACTCTGTGAGTCGAATGCAATCATCACAAAGTAGTTTCTGAGAATGCTTCCATCTAGTTTTTATGTGAAGATTTATCTTTTCCACCACAGGCCTCAAAGCCCTCCAAATGTCCACTTGCAGATTCTAGAAAAAGAGGGTTTCAGAGCTGCTCTGTCAAGAGGAAAGTTCAATTCTTGAAGTGGAACACAAACATCACAAAGCAGTTTCTGAGAATGCTCCTGTTTAGTTTTTCTGTGAAGATGAACCCGTTTCCAACGAAATCTTCACAGAGGTCCACATATCCACTTGCAGAATCCAAAGAAAGAGAGTTTCAAAACTGCTCCATCAACAGGATTGTTCACCTCTCTGAGTTGAATGCAGTCATCACAGGAAACATTCTGAGAATGCTTCTGTCTAGGTTTGATGTGAATATATACCCGTTTCGAAGGAAGGCCACAAAGTGGTCCAAATATCCACTTGCAGATTCTACAAAAAGAGTGTTTGAAAGCTGAACTATGAAAGCAAGGTTCAACTCTGTGAGTTGAATGCAGACGTCACAAAGAAGTTTCTCAGAATGCTTCCGTGTAGTTCTGGGAAGTTTATCCCGTTTCCAACGAAATCCTCAGAGAGGTCCAAATATCCACTTGCAGATTCTACAGAAAGTGTGTTTGGAAACTGCGCCATCTAAAGGAATGTTCAGCTCTGTTAGTTCAATCCAATGATCACTAAGAATTGTCTGTGAATACTTCCGTTTGGTTTTTACATGAAGTTATTTCCTTTACTACAGTAGGCCTCAAAGCAGTCCAAATCTCCAATCGCAGATTCTACAAAAAGATTGTTTACAACCTGCTCTATGTATAGGAATGTTCAACTCTGTGAGTCGAATGCAATCATCACAAAGTAGTTTCTGAGAATGCTTCCATCTAGTTTTTATGTGAAGATTTTCCTTTTCCACCACAGGCATCAAAGCCCTCCAAATGTCCACTTGCAGATTCTAGAAAAAGAGGGTTTCAGAGCTGCTCTGTCAAGAGGAAAGTTCAATTCCTGAAGTGGAACACAAACATCACAAAGCAGTTTCTGAGAATGCTCCTGTTTAGTTTTTCTGTGAAGATGAACCCGTTTCCAACGAAATCTTCACAGAGGTCCACATATCCACTTGCAGAATCCAAAGAAAGAGAGTTTCAAAACTGCTCCATCAGCAGGATTGTTCACCCCTGTGAGTTGAATGCAGTCATCACAGGAAACATTCTGAGAATGCTTCTGTCTAGGTTTGATGTGAAGATATACCCGTTTCGAAGGAAGGCCACAAAGTGGTCCAAATATCCACTTGCAGATTCTACAAAAAGAGGGTTTGAAAGCTGAACTATGAAAGCAAGGTTAAACTCTGTGAGTTGAATGCAAACATCACAAAGAAGTTTCTCAGAATGCTTCCGTGTAGTTCTGGGAAGTTTATCCCATTTCCAACGAAATCCTCAGAGAAGTCCAAATATCCACTTGCAGATTCTGCAGAAAGTGTGTTTGGAAACTGCTCCATCTAAAGGAATGTTCAGCTCTGTTAGTTCAATCCAATGATCACTAAGAATTGTCTGTGAATGCTTCCGTTTGGTTTTTAGATGAAGTTATTTCCTTTACTACAGTAGGCCTCAAAGCAGTCCAAATCTCCAATCGCAGATTCTACAAAAAGATTGTTTACAACCTGCTCTATCTATAGGAATGTTCAACTCTGTGAGTCGAATGCAATCATCACAAAGTAGTTTCTGAGAATGCTTCCATCTAGTTTTTATGTGAAGATTTTCCTTTTCCACCACAGGCCTCAAAGCCCTCCAAATGTCCACTTGCAGATTCTAGAAAAAGAGGGTTTCAGAGCTGCTCTGTCAAGAGGAAAGTTCAATTCTTGAAGTGGAACACAAACATCACAAAGCAGTTTCTGAGAATGTTTCTGTTTAGTTTTTCTGTGAAGATGAACCCGTTTCCAACGAAATCTTCACAGAGGTCCACATATCCACTTGCAGAATCCAAAGAAAGAGAGTTTCAAAACTGCTCCATCAACAGGATTGTTCGCCTCTGTGAGTTCAATGCAGTCATCACAGGAAACATTCTGAGAATGCTTCTGTCTAGGTTTGATGTGAAGATATACCCGTTTCGAAGGAAGGCCTCAAAGTGGTCCAAATATCCACTTGCAGATTCTACAAAAAGAGTGTTTGAAAGCTGAACTATGAAAGCAAGGTTCAACTCTGTGAGTTGAATGCAAACATCACAAAGAAGTTTCTCACAATGCTTCCGTGTAGTTCTGGGAAGTTTATCCCGTTTCCAACGAAATCCTCAGAGAGGTCCAAATATCCACTTGCAGATTCTACAGAAAGTGTGTTTGGAAACTGCTCCATCTAAAGGAATGTTCAGCTCTGTTAGTTCAATCCAATGATCACTAAGAATTGTCTGTGAATGCTTCCGTTTGGTTTTTAGATGAAGTTATTTCCTTTACTACAGTAGGCCTCAAAGCAGTCCAAATCTCCAATCGCAGATTCTACAAAAACATTGTTTACAACCTGCTCTATCTATAGGAATGTTCAACTCTGTGAGTCGAATGCAATCATCACAAAGTAGTTTCTGAGAATGCTTCCATCTAGTTTTTATGTGAAGATTTTCCTTTTCCACCACAGGCCTCAAAGCCCTCCAAATGTCCACTTGCAGATTCTAGAAAAAGAGGGTTTCAGAGCTGCTCTGTCAAGAGGAAAGTTCAATTCTTGAAGTGGAACACAAACATCACAATGCAGTTTCTGAGAATGTTCCTGTTTAGTTTTTCTGTGAAGATGAACCCGTTTCCAACGAAATCTTCATAGAGGTCCACATATCCACTTGCAGAATCCAAAGAAAGAGAGTTTCAAAACTGCTCCATCAGCAGGATTGTTCACCTCTGTGAGTTGAATGCAGTCATCACAGGAAACATTCTGAGAATGCTTCTGTCTAGGTTTGATGTGAAGATATACCCGTTTCGAAGGAAGGCCACAAAGTGGTCCAAATATCCACTTGCAGATTCTACAAAAAGAGTGTTTGAAAGCTGAACTATGAAAGCAAGGTTCAACTCTGTGAGTTAAATGCAAACATCACAAAGAAGTTTCTCAGAATGCTTCCGTGTAGTTCTGGGAAGTTTATCCCATTTCCAACGAAATCCTCAGAGAAGTCCAAATATCCACTTGCAGATTCTACAGAAAGTGGGTTTGGAAACTGCTCCATCTAAAGGAATGTTCAGCTCTGTTAGTTCAAACCAATGATCACTAAGAATTGTCTGTGAATGCTTTCCGTTTGGTTTTTAGATGAAGTTATTTCCTTTTCTACAGTAGGCCTCAAAGCAGTCCAAATCTACAATCGCAGATTCTACAAAAAGATTGTTTACAACCTGCTCTATCTATAGGAATGTTCAACTCTGTGAGTCCAATGCAATCATCACAAAATAGTTTCTGAGAATGCTTCCATCTAATTTTTATGTGAAGATTTTCCTTTTCCACCACAGGCCTCAAAGCCCTCCAAATGTCCACTTGCAGATTCTAGAATAAGAGGGTTTCAGAGCTGCTCTGTCAAGAGGAAAGTTCAATTCCTGAAGTGGAACACAAACATCACAAAGCAGTTTCTGAGAATGCTTCTGTTTAGTTTTTCTGTGAAGATGAACCCGTTTCCAACGAAATCTTCACAGAGGTCCACATATCCACTTGCAGAATCCAAAGAAAGAGAGTTTCAAAACTGCTCCATCAGCAGGATTGTTCACCTCTGTGAGTTGAATGCAGTCATCACAGGAAACATTCTGAGAATGCTTCTGTCTAGGTTTGATGTGAAGATATACCCGTTTCGAAGGAAGGCCACAAAGTGGTCCAAATATCCACTTGCAGATTCTACAAAAAGAGTGTTTGAAAGCTGAACTATGAAAGCAAGGTTCAACTCTGTGAGTTGAATGCAAACATCACAAAGAAGTTTCTCACAATGCTTCCGTGTAGTTCTGGGAAGTTTATCCCGTTTCCAACGAAATCCTCAGAGAAGTCCAAATATCCACTTGCAGATTCTACAGAAAGTGTGTTTGGAAACTGCTCCATCTAAAGGAATGTTCAGCTCTGTTAGTTCAATCCAATGATCACTAAGAATTGTCTGTGAATGCTTCCGTTTGGTTTTTAGATGAAGTTATTTCCTTTACTACAGTAGGCCTCAAAGCAGTCCAAATCTCCAATCGCAGATTCTACAAAAAGATTGTTTACAACCTGCTCTATGTATAGGAATGTTCAACTCTGTGAGTCGAATGCAATCATCACAAAGTAGTTTCTGAGAATGCTTCCATCTAGTTTTTATGTGAAGATTTTCCTTTTCCACCACAGGCCTCAAAGCCCTCCAAATGTCCACTTGCAGATTCTAGAAAAAGAGGGTTTCAGAGCTGCTCTGTCAAGAGGAAAGTTCAATTCTTGAAGTGGAACACAAACATCACAAAGTAGTTTCTGAGAATGCTTCTGTTTAGTTTTTATGTGAAGATGAACCCGTTTCCAACGAAATCTTCAAAGAGGTCCACATATCCAGTTGCAGATTCCAAAGAAAGAGAGTTTCAAAACTGCTCCATCAACAGGATTGTTCACCTCTGTGAGTTGAATGCAGTCATCACAGGAAACATTCTGAGAATGCTTCTGTCTAGGTTTGATGTGAAGATATACCCGTTTCGAAGGAAGGCCACAAGTTGTTCTAAATATCCACTTGCAGATTCTACAAATAGAGTGTTTGAAAGCTGAACTATGAAAGGAAGGTTCAACCCCCTGAGTTGAATGCAAACATCACAAAAAAGTTTCGGAGAATGCTTCCGTGTAGTTTTGGGAATTTTATCCCGTTTCCAACGAAATCCTCAGAGAGGTCCAAATATCCACTTGCAGATTCTACAGAAAGTGGGTTTGGAAACTGCGCCATCTAAAGCAATGTTCAGCTCTGTTAGTTCAATGCAATGATCACTAAGAATTGTCTGTGAATGCTTCCGTTTGGTTTTTAGATGAAGTTATTTCCTTTAGTACAGTAGGCCTCAAAGCAGTCCAAATCTCCAATCGCAGATTCTACAAAAAGATTGTTTACAACCTGCTCTATCTATAGGAATGTTCAACTCTGTGAGTCGAATGCAATCATCACAAAGTAGTTTGCTGAGAATGCTTTCCATCTAGTTTTTATGTGAAGATTTTCCTTTTCCACCACAGGCCTCAAAGCCCTCCAAATGTCCACTTGCAGATTCTAGAAAAAGAGGGTTTCAGAGCTGCTCTGTCGAGAGGAAAGTTCAATTCTTGAAGTGGAACACAAACATCACAAAGCAGTTTCTGAGAATGCTTCTGTTTAGTTTTTCTGTGAAGATGAACCCGTTTCCAACGAAATCTTCACAGAGGTCCACATATCAACTTGCAGAATCCAAAGAAAGAGAGTTTCAAAAGTGCTCCATCAACAGGATTGTTCACCTCTGTGAGTTGAATGCAGTCATCACAGGAAACATTCTGAGAATTCTTCTGTCTAGGTTTGATGTGAAGATATACCCCTTTCGAAGGAAGGCCACAAAGTGGTCCAAATATCCACTTGCAGATCCTACAAAAAGAGTGTTTGATAGCTGAACTATGAAAGCAAGGTTCAACTCTGTGAGTTGAATGCAAACATCACAAAGAAGTTTCTCAGAATGCTTCCGTGTAGTTCTGGGAAGTTTATCCCGTTTCCAACGAAATCCTCAGAGAGGTCCAAATATCCACTTGCAGATTCTACAGAAAGTGTGTTTGGAAACTGCGCCATCTAAAGGAATGTTCAGCTCTGTTAGTTCAATCCAATGATCACTAAGAATTGTCTGTGAATGCTTCCGTTTGGTTTTTAGATGAAGTTATTTCCTTTACTATCATAGGCCTCAAAGCAGTCCAAATCTCCAATCGCAGATTCTACAAAAAGATTGTTTACAACCTGCTCTATCTATAGGAATGTTCAACTCTGTGAGTCGAATGCAATCATCACAAAGTAGTTTCTGAGAATGCTTCCATCTAGTTTTTATGTGAAGATTTTCCTTTTCCACCACAGGCCTCAAAGCCCTCCAAATGTCCACTTGCAGATTCTAGAATAAGAGGGTTTCAGAGCTGCTCTGTCAAGAGGAAAGTTCAATTCCTGAAGTGGAACACAAACATCACAAAGCAGTTTCTGAGAATGCTCCTGTTTAGTTTTTCTGTGAAGATGAACCCGTTTCCAACGAAATCTTCACAGAGGTCCACATATCCACTTGCAGAATCCAAAGAAAGAGAGTTTCAAAACTGCTCCATTAGCAGGATTGTTCACCTCTGTGAGTTGAATGCAGTCATCACAGGAAACATTCTGAGAATGCTTCTGTCTAGGTTTGATGTGAAGATATACCCGTTTCGAAGGAAGGCCACAAAGTGGTCCAAATATCCACTTGCAGATTCTACAAAAGGAGTGTTTGAAAGCTGAACTATGAAAGCAAGGTTCAACTCTGTGAGTTGAATGCAAACATCACAAAGAAGTTTCTCAGAATGCTTCCGTGTAGTTCTGGGAAGTTTATCCCGTTTCCAACGAAATCCTCAGAGAAGTCCAAATATCCACTTGCAGATTCTACAGAAAGTGTGTTTGGAAACTGCTCCATCTAAAGGAATGTTCAGCTCTGTTAGTTCAATCCAATGATCACTAAGAATTGTCTGTGAATGCTTCCGTTTGGTTTTTAGATGAAGTTATTTCCTTTACTACAGTAGGCCTCAAAGCAGTCCAAATCTCCAATCGCAGATTCTACAAAAAGATTGTTTACAACCTGCTCTATCTATAGGAATGTTCAACTCTGTGAGTCGAAAGCCATCATCACAAAGTAGTTTCTGAGAATGCTTCCATCTAGTTTTTATGTGAAGATTTTCCTTTTCCACCACAGGCCTCAAAGCCCTCCAAATGTCCACTTGCAGATTCTAGAATAAGAGGGTTTCAGAGCTGCTCTGTCAAGAGGAAAGTTCAATTCCTGAAGTGGAACACAAACATCACAAAGCAGTTTCTGAGAATGCTTCTGTCTAGTTTTTCTGTGAAGATGAACCCGTTTCCAACGAAATCTTCACAGAGGCCCACATATCCACTTGCAGAATCCAAAGAAAGAGAGTTTCAAAACTGCTCCATCAACAGGATTGTTCACCTCTGTGAGTTGAATGCAGTCATCACAGGAAACATTCTGAGAATGCTTCTGTCTAGGTTTGATGTGAAGATATACCCGTTTCGAAGGAAGGCCACAAAGTGGTCCAAATATCCACTTGCAGATTCTACAAAAAGAGTGTTTGAAAGCTGAACTATGAAAGCAAGGTTCAACTCTGTGAGTTGAATGCAAACATCACAAAGGAAGTTTCTCACAATGCTTCCGTGTAGTTCTGGGAATTTTAGCCCGTTTCCAACGAAATCCTCAGAGAAGTCCAAATATCCACTTGCAGATTCTACAGAAAGTGTGTTTGGAAACTGCTCCATCTAAAGGAATGCTCAGCTCTGTTAGTTCAATCCAATGATCACTAAGAATTGTCTGTGAATGCTTCCGTTTCGTTTTTAGATGAAGTTATTTCCTTTACTACAGTAGGCCTCAAAGCAGTCCAAATCGCCAATCGCAGATTCTACAAAAAGATTGTTTACAACCTGCTCTATCTATACGAATGTTCAACTCTGTGAGTCGAATGCAATCATCACAAAGTAGTTTCTGAGAATGCTTCCATCTAGTTCTTATGTGAAGATTTTCCTTTTCCACCACAGGCCTCGAAGCCCTCCAAATGTCCACTTGCAGATTCTAGAAAAAGAGGGTTTCAGAGCTGCTCTGTCAAGAGGAAAGTTCAATTCTTGAAGTGGAACACAAACAACACAAAGCAGTTTCTGAGAATGCTTCCTGTTTAGTTTTTCTGTGAAGATGAACCCGTTTCCAACGAAATCTTCACAGAGGTCCACATATCCACTTGCAGAATCCAAAGAAAGAGAGTTTCAAAACTGCTCCATCAGCAGGATTGTTCACCTCTGTGAGTTGAATGCAGTCATCACAGGAAACATTCTGAGAATGCTTCTGTCTAGGTTTGATGTGAAGATATACCCGTTTCGAAGGAAGGCCACAAAGTGGTTCAAATATCCACTTGCAGATTCTACAAAAAGAGTGTTTGAAAGCTGAACTATGAAAGCAAGGTTCAACTCTGTGAGTTGAATGCAAACATCACAAAGAAGTTTCTCAGAATGCTTCCGTGTAGTTCTGGGAAGTTTATCCCGTTTCCAACGAAATCCTCAGAGAAGTCCAAATATCCACTTGCAGATTCTACAGAAAGTGTGTTTGGAAAATGCTCCATCTAAAGGAATGTTCAGCTCTGTTAGTTCAATGCAATGATCACTAAGAATTGTCTGTGAATGCTTCCGTTTGGTTTTTAGATGAAGTTATTTCCTTTACTACAGTAGGCCTCAAAGCAGTCCAAATCTCCAATCGCAGATTCTACAAAAAGATTGTTTACAACCTGCTCTATGTATAGGAATGTTCAACTCTGTGAGTCGAATGCAATCATCACAAAGTAGTTTCTGAGAATGCTTCCATAAAGTTTTTATGTGAAGATTTTCCTTTTCCACCACAGGCCTCAAAGCCCTCCAAATGTCCACTTGCAGATTCTAGAAAAAGAGGGTTTCAGAGCTGCTCTGTCAAGAGGAAAGTTCAATTCTTGAAGTGGAACACAAACATCACAATGCAGTTTCTGAGAATGCTTCTGTTTAGTTTTTCTGTGAAGATGAACCCGTTTCCAACGAAATCTTCACAGAGGTCCACATATCCACTTGCAGAATCCAAAGAAAGAGAGTTTCAAAACTGCTCCATCAACAGGATTGTTCACCTCTGTGAGTTGAATGCAGTCATCAAAGGAAACATTCTGAGAATGCTTCTGTCTAGGTTTGATGTGAAGATATACCCGTTTCGAAGGAAGGCCACAAAGTGGTCCAAATATCCACTTGCAGATTCTATAAAAAGAGTGTTTGAAAGCTGAACTATGA
The DNA here is from genome assembly GCF_000001405.40 of Homo sapiens. Lineage (NCBI taxonomy): Eukaryota > Metazoa > Chordata > Mammalia > Primates > Hominidae > Homo > Homo sapiens. Next base: position 52,925,757 of record NC_000011.10, on the reverse strand, counting down.
AAGCAAGGTTCAACTCTGTGAGTTGAATGCAAACATCACAAAGAAGTTTCTCACAATGCTTCCGTGTAGTTCTGGGAAATTTTGCCCGTTTCCAACGAAATCCTCAGAGAGGTCCAAATATCCATTTGCAGATTCTACAGAAAGTGTGTTTGGAAACTGCTCCATCTAAAGGAATGTTCAGCTCTGTTAGTTCAATCCAATGATCACTAAGAATTGTCTGTGAATGCTTCCGTTTGGTTTTTAGATGAAGTTATTTCCTTTACTACAGTAGGCCTCAAAGCAGTCCAAATCTCCAATCGCAGATTCTACAAAAAGATTGTTTACAACCTGCTCTATCTATAGGAATGTTCAACTCTGTGAGTCGAATGCAATCATCACATAGTAGTTTCTGAGAATGCTTCCATCTAGTTTTTATGTGAAGAGTTTCCTTTTCCACCACAGGCCTCAAAGCCCTCCAAATGTCCACTTGCAGATTCTAGAAAAAGAGGGTTTCAGAGCTACTCTGTCAAGAGGAAAGTTCAATTCCTGAAGTGGAACACAAACATCACAAAGCAGTTTCTGAGAATGCTTCTGTTTAATTTTTCTGTGAAGATGAACCCGTTTCCAACGAAATCTTCACAGAGGTCCACATATCAACTTGCAGAATCCAAAGAAAGAGAGTTTCAAAACTGCTCCATCAACAGGATTGTTCACCTCTGTGAGTTGAATGCAGTCATCACAGGAAACATTCTGAGAATGCTTCTGTCTAGGTTTGATGTGAAGATATACCCGTTTCGAAGGAAGGCCACAAAGTGGTCCAAATATCCACTTGCAGATTCTACAAAAAGAGTGTTTCAAAGCTGAACTATGAAAGCAAGGTTCAACTCTGTGAGTTGAATGCAAACATCACAAAGAAGTTTCTCAGAATGCTTCCGTGTAGTTCTGGGAAGTTTATCCCGTTTCCAACGAAATCCTCAGAGAGGTCCAAATATCCACTTGCAGATTCTACAGAAAGTGTGTTTGGAAACTGCTCCATCTAAAGGAATGTTCAGCTCTGTTAGTTCAATCCAATGATCACTAAGAATTGTCTGTGAATGCTTCCGTTTGGTTTTTAGATGAAGTTATTTCCTTTACTACAGTAGGCCTCAAAGCAGTCCAAATCTCCAATCGCAGATTCTACAAAAAGATTGTTTACAACCTGCTCTATCTATAGGAATGTTCAACTCTGTGAGTCGAATGCAATCATCACAAAGTAGTTTCTGAGAATCCTTCCATCTAGTTTTTATGTGAAGATTTTCCTTTTCCACCACAGGCCTCAAAGCCCTCCAAATGTCCACTTGCAGATTCTAGAATAAGAGGGTTTCAGAGCTGCTCTGTCAAGAGGAAAGTTCAATTCCTGAAGTGGAACACAAACATCACAAAGCAGTTTCTGAGAATGCTCCTGTTTAGTTTTTCTGTGAAGATGAACCCGTTTCCAACGAAATCTTCACAGAGGTCCACATATCCACTTGCAGAATCCAAAGAAAGAGAGTTTCAAAACTGCTCCATCAGCAGGATTGTTCACCTCTGTGAGTTGAATGCAGTCATCACAGGAAACATTCTGAGAATGCTTCTGTCTAGGTTTGATGTGAAGATATACCCGTTTCGAAGGAAGGCCACAAAGTGGTCCAAATATCCACTTGCAGATTCTACAAAAAGAGTGTTTGAAAGCTGAACTATGAAAGCAAGGTTCAACTCTGTGAGTTGAATGCAAACATCACAAAGAAGTTTCTCACAATGCTTCCGTGTAGTTCTGGGAAGTTTATCCCGTTTCCAACGAAATCCTCAGAGAGGTCCAAATATCCACTTGCAGATTCTGTAGAAAGTGTGTTTGGAAACTGCTCCATCTAAAGGAATGTTCAGCTCTGTTAGTTCAATCCAATGATCACTAAGAATTGTCTGTGAATGCTTCCGTTTGGTTTTTAGATGAAGTTATTTCCTTTACTACAGTAGGCCTCAAAGCAGTCCAAATCTCCAATCGCAGATTCTACAAAAAGATTGTTTACAACCTGCTCTATCTATAGGAATGTTCAACTCTGTGAGTCGAATGCAATCATCACAAAGTAGTTTCTGAGAATGCTTCCATCTAGTTTTTATGTGAAGATTTTCCTTTTCCACCACAGGCCTCAAAGCCCTCCAAATGTCCACTTGCAGATTCTAGAAAAAGAGGGTTTCAGAGCTGCTCTGTCAAGAGGAAAGTTCAATTCTTGAAGTGGAACACAAACATCACAAAGCAGTTTCTGAGAATGCTTCTGTTTAGTTTTTCTGTGAAGATGAACCCGTTTCCAACGAAATCTTCACAGAGGTCCACATATCCACTTGCAGAATCCAAAGAAAGAGAGTTTCAAAACTGCTCCATCAGCAGGATTGTTCACCTCTGTGAGTTGAATGCAGTCATCACAGGAAACATTCTGAGAATGCTTCTGTCTAGGTTTGATGTGAAGATATACCCGTTTCGAAGGAAGGCCACAAAGTGGTCCAAATATCCACTTGCAGATTCTACAAAAAGAGTGTTTGAAAGCTGAACTATGAAAGCAAGTTTCAACTCTGTGAGTTGAATGCAAACATCACAAAGAAGTTTCTCAGAATACTTCCGTGTAGTTCTGGGAAGTTTATCCCGTTTCCAACGAAATCCTCAGAGAAGTCCAAATATCCACTTGCAGATTCTACAGAAAGTGTGTTTGGAAACTGCTCCATCTAAAGGAATGTTCAGCTCTGTTAGTTCAATGCAATGATCACTAAGAATTGTCTGTGAATGCTTCCGTTTGGTTTTTAGGTGAAGTTATTACCTTTACTACAGTAGGCCTCAAAGCAGTCCAAATCTCCAATCGCAGATTCTACAAAAAGATTGTTTACAACCTGCTCTATCTATAGGAATGTTCAACTCTGTGAGTCGAATGCAATCATGACAAAGTAGTTTCTGAGAATGCTTCCATCTAGTTTTTATGTGAAGATATTCCTTTTCCACCACAGGCCTCAAAGCCCTCCAAATGTCCACTTGCAGATTCTAGAAAAAGAGGGTTTCAGAGCTACTCTGTCAAGAGGAAAGTTCAATTCCTGAAGTGGAACACAAACATCACAAAGCAGTTTCGGAGAATGCTCCTGTTTAGTTTTTCTGTGAAGATGAACCCGTTTCCAACGAAATCTTCACAGAGGTCCACATATCCACTTGCAGAATCCAAAGAAAGAGAGTTTCAAAACTGCTCCATCAGCAGGATTGTTCACCTCTGTGAGTTGAATGCAGTCATCACAGGAAACATTCTGAGAATGCTTCTGTCTAGGTTTGATGTGAAGATACACCCTTTTCAAAGGAAGGCCACAAAGTGGTCCAAATATCCACTTGCAGATTCTACAAAAAGAGTGTTTGAAAGCTGAACTATGAAAGCAAGGTTCAACTTTGTGAGTTGAATGCAAACATCACAAAGAAGTTTCTCAGAATGCTTCCGTGTAGTTCTGGGAAGTTTATACCGTTTCCAACGAAATCCTTAGAGAAGTCCAAATATCCACTTGCAGATTCTACAGAAAGTGTGTTTGGAAACTGCTCCATCTAAAGGAATGTTCAGCTCTGTTAGTTCAATCCAATGATCACTAACAATTGTCTGTGAATGCTTCCGTTTGGTTTTTAGATGAAGTTATTTCCTTTACTACAATAGGCCTCAAAGCAGTCCAAATCTCCAATCGCAGATTCTACAAAAAGATTGTTTACAACCTGCTCTATCTATAGGAATGTTCAACTCTGTGAGTCGAATGCAATCATCACAAAGTAGTTTCTGAGAATGCTTCCATCTAGTTTTTATGTGAAGATTTTCCTTTTCCACCACAGGCCTCAAAGCCCTCCAAATGTCCACTTGCAGATTCTAGAAAAAGAGGGTTTCAGAGCTGCTCTGTCAAGAGGAAAGTTCAATTCCTGAAGTGGAACACAAACATCACAAAGCAGTTTCTGAGAATGCTTCTGTTTAGTTTTTCTGTGAAGATGAACCCGTTTCCAACGAAATCTTCACAGAGGTCCTCATATCAACTTGCAGAATCCAAAGAAAGAGAGTTTCAAAAGTGCTCCATCAACAGGATTGTTCACCTCTGTGAGTTGAATGCAGTCATCACAGGAAACATTCTGAGAATGCTTCTGTCTAGGTTTGATGTGAAGATATACCCGTTTCGAAGGAAGGCCACAAAGTGCTCCAAATATCCACTTGCAGATTCTACAAAAAGAGTGTTTGAAAGCTGAACTATGAAAGCAAGTTTCAACTCTGTGAGTTGAATGCAAACATCACAAAGAAGTTTCTCAGCATGGTTCCGTGTAGTTCTGGGAAGTTTATCCCTTTTCCAACGAAATCCTCAGAGAGGTCCAAATATCCACTTGCAGATTCTACAGAAAGTGTGTTTGGAAACTGCTCCATCTAAAGGAATGTTCAGCTCTGTTAGTTCAATCCAATGATCACTAAGAATTTTCTGTGAATGCTTCCGTTTGGTTTTTAGATGAAGTTATTTCCTTTACTACAGTAGGCCTCAAAGCAGTCCAAATCTCCAATCGCAGATTCTACAAAAAGATTGTTTACAACCTGCTCTATCTATAGGAATGTTCAACTCTGTGAGTCGAATGCAATCATCACAAAGTAGTTTCTGAGAATGCTTCCATCTAGTTTTTATGGGAAGATTTTCCTTTTCCACCACAGGCCTCAAAGCCCTCCAAATGTCCACTTGCACATTCTAGAAAAAGAGGGTTTCAGAGCTGCTCTGTCAAGAGGAAAGTTCAATTCTTGAAGTGGAACACAAACATCACAAAGCAGTTTCTGAGAATGCTCCTGTTTAGTTTTTCTGTGAAGATGAACCCGTTTCCAACGAAATCTTCACAGAGGTCCACATATCCACTTGCAGAATCCAAAGAAAGAGAGTTTCAAAACTGCTCCATCAGCAGGATTGTTCACCTCTGTGAGTTGAATGCAGTCATCACAGGAAACATTCTGAGAATGCTTCTGTCTAGGTTTGATGTGAAGATATACCCGTTTCGAAGGAAGGCCACAAAGTGGTCCAAATATCCACTTGCAGATTCTACAAAAAGAGTGTTTGAAAGCTGAACTATGAAAGCAAGGTTCAACTCTGTGAGTTGAATGCAAACATCACAAAGAAGTTTCTCACAATGCTTCCGTGTAGTTCTGGGAAGTTTATCCCGTTTCCAACGAAATCCTCGGAGAAGTCCAAATATCCACTTGCAGATTCTACAGAAAGTGGGTTTGGAAACTGCTCCATCTAAAGGAATGTTCAGCTCTGTTAGTTCAATCCAATGATCACTAAGAATTGTCTGTGAATGCTTCAGTTTGGTTTTTAGATGAAGTTATTTCCTTTACTACAGTAGGCCTCAAAGCAGTCCAAATCTCCAATCGCAGATTCTACAAAAAGATTGTTTACAACCTACTCTATCTATAGGAATGTTCAACTCTGTGAGTCGAAAGCAATCAACACAAAGTAGTTTCTGAGAATGCTTCCATCTAGTTTTTATGTGAAGATTTTCCTTTTCCACCACAGGCCTCAAAGCCCTCCAAATGTCCACTTGCAGATTCTAGAATAAGAGGGTTTCAGAGCTGCTCTGTCAAGAGGAAAGTTCAATTCCTGAAGTGGAACACAAACATCACAAAGCAGTTTCTGAGAATGCTTCTGTTTAGTTTTTCTGTGAAGATGAACCCGTTTCCAACGAAATCTTCACAGAGGTCCACATATCCACTTGCAGAATCCAAAGAAAGAGAGTTTCAAAACTGCTCCATCAGCAGGATTGTTCACCTCTGTGAGTTGAATGCAGTCATCACAGGAAACATTCTGAGAATGCTTCTGTCTAGGTTTGATGTGAAGATATACCCGTTTCGAAGGAAGGCCACAAAGTGGTCCAAATATCCACTTGCAGATTCTACAAAAAGAGTGTTTGAAAGCTGAAGTATGAAAGCAAGGTTCAACTCTGTGAGTTGAATGCAAACATCACAAAGAAGTTTCTCAGAATGCTTCCGTGTAGTTCTGGGAAGTTTAGCCCGTTTCCAACGAAATCCTCAGAGAGGTCCAAATATCCACATGCAGATTCTCCAGAAAGTGTGTTTGGAAACTGTGCCATCTAAGGGAATGTTCAGCTCTGTTAGTTCAATCCAATGATCACTAAGAATTGTCTGTGAATGCTTCCGTTTGGTTTTTAGATGAAGTTATTTCCTTTACTACAGTAGGCCTCAAAGCAGTCCAAATCTCTAATCGCAGATTCTACAAAAAGATTGTTTACAACCTGCTCTCCCTATAGGAATGTTGAATTCTGTGAGTCGAATGCAATCATCACAAAGTAGTTTCTGAGAATGCTTCCATAAAGTTTTTATGTGAAGATTTTCCTTTTCCACCACAGGCCTCAAAGCCCTCCAAATGTCCACTTGCAGATTCTAGAAAAAGAGGGTTTCAGAGCTGCTCTTTCAAGAGGAAAGTTCAATTCCTGAAGTGGAACACAAACATCACAAAGCAGTTTCTGAGAATGCTTCTGTTTAGTTTTTCTGTGAAGATGAACCCGTTTCCAACGAAATCTTCACAGAGGTCCACATATCCACTTGCAGAATCCAAAGAAAGAGAGTTTCAAAACTGCTCCATCAGCAGGATTGTTCACCTCTGTGCGTTGAATGCAGTCATCACAGGAAACATTCTGAGAATGCTTCTGTCTAGGTTTGATGTGAAGATATACCCTTTTCAAAGGAAGGCCACAAAGTGGTCCAAATATCCACTTGCAGATTCTACAAAAAGAGTGTTTGAAAGCTGAACTATGAAAGCAAGGTTCAACTCTGTGAGTTGAATGCAAACATCACAAAGAAGTTTCTCACAATGCTTCCGTGTAGTTCTGGGAAGTTTATCCCGTTTCCAACGAAATCCTCAGAGAAGTCCAAATATCCACTTGCAGATTCTACAGAAAGTGTGTTTGGAAACAGCGCCATCTAAAGGAGTGTTCAGCTCTGTTAGTTCAATCCAATGATCACTAAGAATTGTCTGTGAATGCTTCCGTTTGGTTTTTAGATGAAGTTATTTCCTTTACTACAGTAGGCCTCAAAGCAGTCCAAATCTCCAATCGCAGATTCTACAAAAAGATTGTTTACAACCTGCTCTATCTATAGGAATGTTCAACTCTGTGAGTCGAATGCAATCATCACAAAGTAGTTTCTGAGAATGCTTCCATCTAGTTTTTATGGGAAGATTTTCCTTTTCCACCACAGGCCTCAAAGCCCTCCAAATGTCCACTTGCAGATTCTAGAAAAAGAGGGTTTCAGAGCTGCTCTGTCAAGAGGAAAGTTCAATTGCTTGAAGTGGAACACAAACATCACAAAGCAGTTTCTGAGAATGCTCCTGTTTAGTTTTTCTGTGAAGATGAACCCGTTTCCAACGAAATCTTCACAGAGGTCCACATATCCACTTGCAGAATCCAAAGAAAGAGAGTTTCAAAACTGCTCCATCAGCAGGATTGTTCACCTCTGTGAGTTGAATGCAGTCATCACAGGAAACATTCTGAGAATGCTTCTGTCTAGGTTTGATGTGAAGATATACCCGTTTCGAAGGAAGGCCACAAAGTGGTCCAAATATCCACTTGCAGATTCTACAAAAAGAGTGTTTGAAAGCTGAACTATGAAAGCAAGGTTCAACTCTGTGAGTTGAATGCAAACATCACAAAGAAGTTTCTCAGCATGCTTCCGTGTAGTTCTGGGAAGTTTATCCCGTTTCCAACGAAATCCTCAGAGAGGTCCAAATATCCACTTGCAGATTCTACAGAAAGTGTGTTTGGAAACTGCTACATCTAAAGGAATGTTCAGCTCTGTTAGTTCAATCCAATGATCACTAAGAATTGTCTGTGAATGCTTCCGTTTGGTTTTTAGATGAAGTTATTTCCTTTACTACAGTAGGCCTCAAAGCAGTCCAAATCTCCAATCGCAGATTCTACGAAAAGATTGTTTGCAACCTGCTCTATCTATAGGAATGTTCAACTCTGTGAGTCGAATGCAATCATCACAAAGTAGTTTCTGAGAATGCTTCCATCTAGTTTTTATGGGAAGATTTTCCTTTTCCACCACAGGCCTCAAAGCCCTCCAAATGTCCACTTGCAGATTCTAGAAAAAGAGGGTTTCAGAGCTGCTCTATCAAGAGGAAAGTTCAATTCTTGAAGTGGAACACAAACATCACAAAGCAGTTTACTGAGAATGCTCCTGTTTAGTTTTTCTGTGAAGATGAACCCGTTTCCAACGAAATCTTCACAGAGGTCCACATATCCACATGCAGAATCCAAAGAAAGAGAGTTTCAAAACTGCTCCATCAGAAGGATTGTTCACCTCTGTGAGTTGAATGCAGTCATCACAGGGAAACATTCTGAGAATGCTTCTGTCTAGGTTTGATGTGAAGATATACCCGTTTCGAAGGAAGGCCACAAAGTGGTCCAAATATCCACTTGCAGATTCTACAAAAAGAGTGTTTGAAAGCTGAACTATGAAAGCAAGGTTCAACTCTGTGAGTTGAATGCAAACATCACAAAGAAGTTTCTCAGAATGCTTCCGTGTAGTTCTGGAAAGTTTATCCCGTTTCCAACGAAATCCTCAGAGACGTCCAAATATCCACTTGCAGATTCTACAGAAAGTGTGTTTGGAATCTGCTCCATCTAAAGGAATGTTCAGCTCTGTTAGTTCAATCCAATGATCACTAAGAATTGTCTGTGAATGCTTCCGTTTGGTTTTTAGATGAAGTTATTTCCTTTACTACAGTAGGCCTCAAAGCAGTCCAAATCTCCAATCGCAGATTCTACAAAAAGATTGTTTACAACCTGCTCTATCTATAGGAATGTTCAACTGCTGTGAGTCGAATGCAATCATCACAAAGTAGTTTCTGAGAATGCTTCCATCTAGTTTTTATGTGAAGATTTTCCTTTTCCACCACAGGCCTCAAAGCCCTCCAAATGTCCACTTGCAGATTCTAGAAAAAGAGGGTTTCAGAGCTGCTCTGTCAAGAGGAAAGTTCAATTCTTGAAGTGGAACACAAACATCACAAAGCAGTTTCTGAGAATGCTTCTGTTTAGTTTTTCTGTGAAGATGAACCCGTTTCCAACGAAATCTTCACAGAGGTCCACATATCCACTTGCAGAATCCAAAGAAAGAGAGTTTCAAAACTGCTCCATCAGCAGGATTGTTCACCTCTGTGAGTTGAATGCAGTCATCACAGGAAACATTCTGAGAATGCTTCTGTATAGGTTTGATGTGAAGATATACCCGTTTCGAAGGAAGGCCACAAAGTGGTCCAAATATCCACTTGCAGATTCTACAAAAAGAGTGTTTGAAAGCTGAACTATGAAAGCAAGGTTCAACTCTGTGAGTTGAATGAAAACATCACAAAGAAGTCTCTCACAATGCTTCCGTGTAGTTCTGGGAAGTTTATCCCGTTTCCAACGAAATCCTCAGAGAAGTCCAAATATCCACTTGCAGATTCTACAGAAAGTGCGTTTGGAAAATGCTCCATCTAAAGGAATGTTCAGCTCTGTTAGTTCAATCCAATGATCACTAAGAATTGTCTGTGAATGCTTCCGTTTGGTTTTTAGATGAAGTTATTTCCTTTACTACAGTAGGCCTCAAAGCAGTCCAAATCTCCAATCGCAGATTCTACAAAAAGATTGTTTACAACCTGCTCTATCTATAGGAATGTTCAACTCTGTGAGTCGAATGCAATCATCACAAAGTAGTTTCTGAGAATGCTTCCATCTAGTTTTTATGTGAAGAGTTTCCTTTTCCACCACAGGCCTCAAAGCCCTCCAAATGTCCACTTGCAGATTCTAGAAAAAGAGGGTTTCAGAGCTGCTCTGTCAAGAGGAAAGTTCAATTCTTGAAGTGGAACACAAACATCACAAAGCAGTTTCTGAGAATGCTTCTGTTTAGTTTTTCTGTGAAGATGAACCCGTTTCCAACGAAATCTTCACAGAGGTCCACATATCCACTTGCAGAATCCAAAGAAAGAGAGTTTCAAAACTGCTCCATCAGCAGGATTGTTCACCTCTGTGAGTTGAATGCAGTCATCACAGGAAACATTCTGAGAATGCTTCTGTCTAGGTTTGATGTGAAGATATACCCGTTTCGAAGGAAGGCCACAAAGTGGTCCAAATATCCACTTGCAGATTCTACAAAAAGAGTGTTTGAAAGCTGAACTATGAAAGCAAGGTTCAACTCTGTGAGTTGAATGCAAACATCACAAAGAAGTTTCTCAGAATGCTTCCGTGTAGTTCTGGGAAGTTTATCCCGTTTCCAACGAAATCCTCAGAGAAGTCCAAATATCCACTTGCACATTCTACAGAAAGTGTGTTTGGAAACTGCTCCATCTAAAGGAATGTTCAGCTCTGTTAGTTCAATGCAATGATCACTAAGAATTGTCTGTGAATGCTTCCGTTTGGTTTTTAGATGAAGTTATTTCCTTTACTACAGTAGGCCTCAAAGCAGTCCAAATCTCCAATCGCAGATTCTACAAAAAGATTGTTTTCAACCTGCTCTATCTATAGGAATGTTCAACTCTGTGAGTCGAATGCAATCATCACACAGTAGTTTCTGAGAATGCTTCCATACAGTTTTTATGTGAAGATTTTCCTTTTCCACCACAGGCCTCAAAGCCCTCCAAATGTCCACTTGCAGATTCTAGAAAAAGAGGGTTTCAGAGCTGCTCTGTCAAGAGGAAAGTTCAATTCTTGAAGTGGAACACAAACATCACAAAGCAGTTTCTGAGAATGCTCCTGTTTAGTTTTTCTGTGAAGATGAACCCGTTTCCAACGAAATCTTCACAGAGGTCCACATATCCACTTGCAGAATCCAAAGAAAGAGAGTTTCAAAACTGCTCCATCAGCAGGATTGTTCACCTCTGTGAGTTGAATGCAGTCATCACAGGAAACATTCTGAGAATGCTTCTGTCTAGGTTTGATGTGAAGATTTACCAGTTTCGAAGGAAGGCCACAAAGTGGTCCAAATATCCACTTGCAGATTCTACAAAAAGAGTGTTTGAAAGCTGAACTATGAAAGCAAGGTTCAACTCTGTGAGTTGAATGCAAACATCCAAAGAAGTTTCTCAGAATGCTTCCGTGTAGTTCTGGGAAGTTTATCCCTTTTCCAACGAAATCCTCAGAGAGGTCCAAATATCCACTTGCAGATTCTACAGAAAGTGTGTTTGGAAACTGCGCCATCTAAAGGAATGTTCAGCTCTGTTAGTTCAATGCAATGATCACTAAGAATTGTCTGTGAATGCTTCCGTTTGGTTTTTAGATGAAGTTATTTCCTTTACTACAGTAGGCCTCAAAGCAGTCCAAATCTCCAATCGAAGATTCTACAAAAAGATTGTTTACAACCTGCTCTATCTATAGGAATGTTCAACTCTGTGAGTCGAATGCAATCATCACAAAGTAGTTTCTGAGAATGCTTCCATCTAGTTTTTATGTGAAGATTTTCCTTTTCCACCACAGGCCTCAAAGCCCTCCAAATGTCCACTTGCAGATTCTAGAAAAAGAGGGTTTCAGAGCTGCTCTGTCAAGAGGAAAGTTCAATTCTTGAAGTGGAACACAAACATCACAAAGCAGTTTCTGAGAATGCTCCTGTTTAGTTTTTCTGTGAAGATGAACCCGTTTCCAACGAAATCTTCACGGAGGTCCACATATCCACTTGCAGAATCCAAAGAAAGAGAGTTTCAAAACTGCTCCATCAACAGGATTGTTCACATCTGTGAGTTGAATGCAGTCATCACAGGAAACATTCTGAGAATGCTTCTGTCTAGGTTTGATGTGAAGATATACCCGTTTCGAAGGAAGGCCACAAAGTGGTCCAAATATCCACTTGCAGATTCTACAAAAAGTGTGTTTGAAAGCTGAACTATGAAAGCAAGGTTCAACTCTGTGAGTTGAATGCAAACATCACAAAGAAGTTTCTCAGAATGCTTCCGTGTAGTTCTGGGAAGTTTATCCCGTTTCCAACGAAATCCTCAGAGAGGTCCAAATATCCACTTGCAGATTCTACAGAAAGTGTGTTTGGAAACTGCGCCATCTAAAGGAATGTTCAGCTCTGTTAGTTCAATGCAATGATCACTAAGAATTGTCTGTGAATGCTTCCGTTTGGTTTTTAGATGAAGTTATTTCCTTTACTGCAGTAGGCCTCAAAGCAGTCCAAATCTCCAATCGCAGATTCTACAAAAAGATTGTTTACAACCTGCTCTATCTATAGGAATGTTCAACTCTGTGAGTCGAATGCAATCATCACAAAGTAGTTTCTGAGAATGCTTCCATCTAGTTTTTATGTGAAGATTTTCCTTTTCCACCACAGGCCTCAAAGCCCTCCAAATGTCCACTTGCAGATTCTAGAATAAGAGGGTTGCAGAGCTGCTCTGTCAAGAGGAAGTTCAATTCCTGAAGTGGAACACAAACATCACAAAGCAGTTTCCGAGAATGCTTCTGTTTAGTTTTTCTGTGAAGATGAACCCGTTTCCAACGAAATCTTCACAGAGGTCCACATATCCACTTGCAGAATCCAAAGAAAGAGAGTTTCAAAACTGCTCCATCAGCAGGATTGTTCACCTCTGTGAGTTGAATGCAGTCATCACAGGAAACATTCTGAGAATGCTTCTGTCTAGGTTTGATGTGAAGATATACCCGTTTCGAAGGAAGGCCACAAAGTGGTCCAAATATCCACTTGCAGATTCTACAAAAAGAGTGTTTGAAAGCTGAACTATGAAAGCAAGGTTCAACTCTGTGAGTGGAATGCAAACATCACAAAGAAGTTTCTCAGCATGCTTCCGTGTAGTTCTGGGAAGTTTATCCCTTTTCCAACGAAATCCTCAGAGAGGTCCAAATATCCACTTGCAGAATCTACAGAAAGTGTGTTTGGAAACTGCTCCATCTAAAGGAATGTTCAGCTCTGTTAGTTCAATCCAATGATCACTAAGAATTGTCTGTGAATGCTTCCGTTTGGTTTTTAGATGAAGTTATTTCCTTTACTACAGTAGGCCTCAAAGCAGTCCAAATCTCCAATCGCAGATTCTACAAAAAGATTGTTTACAACCTGCTCTATCTATAGGAATGTTCAACTCTGTGAGTGGAATGCAATCATCACAAAGTAGTTTCTGAGAATGCTTCCGTCTAGTTTTTATGTGAAGAGTTTCCTTTTCCACCACAGGCCTCAAAGCCCTCCAAATGTCCACTTGCAGATTCTAGAAAAAGAGGGTTTCAGAGCTGCTCTCTCAAGAGGAAATTTCAATTCCTGAAGTGGAACACAAACATCACAAAGCAGTTTCTGAGAATGCTTCTGTTTAGTTTTTCTGTGAAGATGAACCCGTTTCCAACGAAATCTTCACAGAGGTCCACATATCCACTTGCAGAATCCAAAGAAAGAGAGTTTCAAAACTGCTCCATCAACAGGATTGTTCACCTCTGTGAGTTGAATGCAGTCATCACAGGAAACATTCTGAGAATGCTTCTGTCTAGGTTTGATGTGAAGATACACCCTTTTCAAAGGAAGGCCACAAAGTGGTCCAAATATCCACTTGCAGATTCTACAAAAAGAGTGTTTGAAAGCTGAACTATGAAAGCAAGGTTCAACTCTGTGAGTTGAATGCAAACATCACAAAGAAGTTTCTCACAATGCTTTCCGTGTAGTTCTGGGAAGTTTATCCCGTTTCCAACGAAATCCTCAGAGAAGTCCAAATATCCACTTGCAGATTCTACAGAAAGTGTGTTTGGAAACTGCTCCATCCAAAGGAATGTTCAGCTCTGTTAGTTCAATCCAATGATCACTAAGAATTTTCTGTGAATGCTTCCGTTTGGTTTTTAGATGAAGTTATTTCCTTTACTACAGTAGGCCTCAAAGCAGTCCAAATCTCCAATCGCAGATTCTACAAAAAGATTGTTTACAACCTGCTCTATCTATAGGAATGCTCAACTCTGTGAGTCGAATGCAATCATCACAAAGTAGTTTCTGGAGAATGCTTCCATCTAGTTTTTATGTGAAGATTTTCCTTTTCCACCACAGGCCTCAAAGCCCTCCAAATGTCCACTTGCAGATTCTAGAATAAGAGGGTTTTAGAGCTGCTCTGTCAAGAGGAAAGTTCAATTCCTGAAGTGGAACACAAACATCACAAAGCAGTTTCTGAGAATGCTGCTGTTTAGTTTTTCTGTGAAGATGAACCCGTTTCCAACGAAATCTTCACAGAGGTCCACATATCCACTTGCAGAATCCAAAGAAAGAGAGTTTCAAAACTGCTCCATCAACAGGATTGTTCACCTCTGTGAGTTGAATGCAGTCATCACAGGAAACATTCTGAGAATGCTTCTGTCTAGGTTTGATGTGAAGATATACCCGTTTCGAAGGAAGGCCACAAAGTGGTCCAAATATCCACTTGCAGATTCTACAAAAGGAGTATTTGAAAGCTGAACCATGAAAGCAAGGTTCAACTCTGTGAGTTGAATGCAAACATCACAAAGAAGTTTCTCAGAATGCTTCCGTGTAGTTCTGGGAAGTTTATCCCGTTTCCAAAGATATCCTCAGAGAGGTCCAAATATCCACTTGCAGATTCTACAGAAAGTGGGTTTGGAAACTGCGCCATATAAAGGAATGTTCAGCTCTGTTAGTTCAATGCAATGATCACTAAGAATTGTCTGTGAATGCTTCCGTTTGGTTTTTAGATGAAGTTATTTCCTTTACTACAGTAGGCCTCAAAGCAGTCCAAATCTCCAATCGCAGATTCTACAAAAAGATTGTTTACAACCTGCTCTACCTATAGGAATGTTCAACTCTGTGAGTCGAATGCAATCATCACAAAGTAGTTTCTGAGAATGCTTCCTTCTAGTTTTTATGTGAAGATTTTCCTTTTCCACCACAGGCCTCAAAGCCCTCCAAATGTCCACTTGCAGATTCTAGAAAAAGAGGGTTTCAGAGCTGCTCTGTCAAGAGGAAAGGTCAATTCTTGAAGTGGAACACAAACATCACAAAGCAGTTTCTGAGAATGCTCCTGTTTAGTTTTTCTGTGAAGATGAACCCGTTTCCAACGAAATCTTCACAGAGGTCCACATATCCACTTGCAGAATCCAAAGAAAGAGAGTTTCAAAACTGCTCCATCAGCAGGATTGTTCACCTCTGTGAGTTGAATGCAGTCATCACAGGAAACATTCTGAGAATGCTTCTGTCTAGGTTTGATGTGAAGATATACCCGTTTCGAAGGAAGGCCACAAAGTGGTCCAAATATCCACTTGCAGATTCTACAAAAAGAGTGTTTGAAAGCTGAACTATGAAAGCAAGGTTCAACTCTGTGAGTTGAATGCAAACATCACAAAGAAGTTTCTCAGAATGCTTCCGTGTAGTTCTGGGAAGTTTATCCCGTTTCCAACGAAATCCTCAGAGAGGTCCAAATATCCACTTGCAGATTCTACAGAAAGTGTGTTTGGAAACTGCGCCATCTAAAGGAATGTTCAGCTCTGTTAGTTCAATCCAATGATCACTAAGAATTGTCTGTGAATGCTTCCGTTTGGTTTTTAGATGAAGTTATTTCCTTTACTACAGTAGGCCTCAAAGCAGTCCAAATCTCCAATCGCAGATTCTACAAAAACATTGTTTACAACCTGCTCTATCTATAGGAATGTTCAACTCTGTGAGTCGAATGCAATCATCACAAAGTAGTTTCTGAGAATGCTTCCATCTAGTTTTTATGTGAAGATTTTCCTTTTCCACCACAGGCCTCAAAGCCCTCCAAATGTCCACTTGCAGATTCTAGAAAAAGAGGGTTTCAGAGCTGCTCTGTCAAGAGGAAAGTTCAATTCTTGAAGTGGAACACAAACATCACAAAGCAGTTTCTGAGAATGCTTCTGTTTAGTTTTTCTGTGAAGATGAACCCGTTTCCAACGAAATCTTCACAGAGGTCCACATATCCACTTGCAGAATCCAAAGAAGTAGAGTTTCAAAACTGCTCCATCAGCAGGATTGTTCACCTCTGTGAGTTGAATGCAGTCATCACAGGAAACATTCTGAGAATGCTTCTGTCTAGGTTTGATGTGAAGATATACCCGTTTCGAAGGAAGGCCACAAAGTGGTCCAAATATCCACTTGCAGATTCTACAAAAAGAGTGTTTGAAAGCTGAACTATGAAAGCAAGGTTCAACTCTGTGAGTTGAATGCAAACATCACAAAGAAGTTTCTCACAATGCTTCCGTGTAGTTCTGGGAAGTTTATCCCGTTTCCAACGAAATCCTCAGAGAAGTCCAAATATCCACTTGCAGATTCTACAGAAAGTGTGTTTGGAAACTGCTCCATCTAAAGGAATGTTCAGCTCTGTTAGTTCAATCCAATGATCACTAAGAATTGTCTGTGAATGCTTCCGTTTGGTTTTTAGATGAAGTTATTTCCTTTACTACAGTAGGCCTCAAAGCAGTCCAAATCTCCAATCGCAGATTCTACAAAAAGATTGTTTACAACCTGCTCTATCTATAGGAATGTTCAACTCTGTGAGTCGAATGCAATCATCACAAAGTAGTTTCTGAGAATGCTTCCATCTAGTTTTTATGTGAAGATTTTTCCTTTTCCACCACAGGCCTCAAATCCCTCCAAATGTCCACTTGCAGATTCTAGAAAAAGAGGGTTTCAGAGCTGCTCTGTCAAGAGGAAATTTCAATTCTTGAAGTGGAACACAAACATCACAAAGCAGTTTCTGAGAATGCTCCTGTTTAGTTTTTCTGTGAAGATGAACCCGTTTCCAACGAAATCTTCACAGAGGTCCACATATCCACTTGCAGAATCCAAAGAAAGAGAGTTTCAAAACTGCTCCATCAACAGGATTGTTCACCTCTGTGAGTTGAATGCAGTCATCACAGGAAACATTCTGAGAATGCTTCTGTCTAGGTTTGATGTGAAGATATACCCGTTTCGAAGGAAGGCCACAAAGTGGTCCAAATATCCACTTGCAGATTCTACAAAAAGAGTGTTTGAAAGCTGAACTATGAAAGCAAGGTTCAACTCTGTGAGTTGAATGCAAACATCACAAAGAAGTTTCTCAGAATGCTTCCGTGTAGTTCTGGGAAGTTTATCCTGTTTCCAACGAAATCCTCAGAGAAGTCCAAATATCCACTTGCAGATTCTACAGAAAGTGTGTTTGGAAACTGCGCCATCTAAAGGAATGTTCAGCTCTGTTAGTTCAATGCAATGATCACTAAGAATTGTCTGTGAATGGTTCCGTTTGGTTTTTAGATGAAGTTATTTCCTTTACTACAGTAGGCCTCAAAGCAGTCCAAATCTCCAATCGCAGATTCTACAAAAAGATTGTTTACAACCTGCTCTATCTATAGGAATGTTCAACTCTGTGAGTCGAATGCAATCATCACAAAGTAGTTTCTGAGAATGCTTCCATCTAGTTTTTATGTGAAGATTTTCCTTTTCCACCACAGGCCTCAAAGCCCTCCAAATGTCCACTTGCAGATTCTAGAATAAGAGGGTTTCAGAGCTGCTCTGTCAAGAGGAAAGTTCAATTCCTGAAGTGGAACACAAACATCACAAAGCAGTTTCTGAGAATGCTTCTGTTTAGTTTTTCTGTGAAGATGAACCCGTTTCCAACGAAATCTTCACAGAGGTCCACATATCCACTTGCAGAATCCAAAGAAAGAGAGTTTCAAAACTCCTCCATCAGCAGGATTGTTCACCTCTGTGAGTTGAATGCAGTCATCACAGGAAACATTCTGAGAATGCTTCTGTCTAGGTTTGATGTGAAGATATACCCGTTTCGAAGGAAGGCCACAAAGTGGTCCAAATATCCACTTGCAGATTCTACAAAAAGAGTGTTTGAAAGCTGAACTATGAAAGCAAGGTTCAACTCTGTGAGTTGAATGCAAACATCAAAAAGAAGTTTCTCAGAATGCTTCCGTGTAGTTCTGGGAAGTTTATCCCGTTTCCAACGAAATCCTCAGAGAAGTCCAAATATCCACTTGCAGATTCTACAGAAAGTGGGTTTGGAAACTGCTCCATCTAAAGGAATGTTCAGCTCTGTTAGTTCAATCCAATGATCACTAAGAATTGTCTGTGAATGCTTCCGTTTGGTTTTTAGATGAAGTTATTTCCTTTACTACAGTAGGCCTCAAAGCAGTCCAAATCTCCAATCGCAGATTCTACAAAAAGATTGTTTACAACCTGCTCTATCTATAGGAATGTTCAACTCTGTGAGTCGAATGCAATCATCACAAAGAAGTTTCTGAGAATGCTTCCATCTAGTTTTATGTGAAGATTTTCCTTTTCCACCACAGGCCTCAAAGCCCTCCAAATGTCCACTTGCAGATTCTAGAAAAAGAGGGTTTCAGAGCTGCTCTGTCAAGAGGAAAGTTCAATTCTTGAAGTGGAACACAAACATCACAAAGCAGTTTCTGAGAATGCTTCTGTTTAGTTTTTCTGTGAAGATGAACCCGTTTCCAACGAAATCTTCACAGAGGTCCACATATCCACTTGCAGAATCCAAAGAAAGGGAGTTTCAAAACTGCTCCATCAGCAGGATTGTTCACCTCTGTGAGTTGAATGCAGTCATCACAGGAAACATTCTGAGAATGCTTCTGTCTAGGTTTGATGTGAAGATATACCCGTTTCGAAGGAAGGCCACAAAGTGGTCCAAATATCCACTTGCAGATTCTACAAAAAGAGTGTTTGAAAGCTGAACTATGAAAGCAAGGTTCAACTCTGTGAGTTGAATGCAAACATCACAAAGAAGTTTCTCACAATGCTTCCGTGTAGTTCTGGGAAGTTTATCCCGTTTCCAACGAAATTCTCAGAGAAGTCCAAATATCCACTTGCAGATTCTACAGAAAGTGGGTTTGGAAACTGCTCCATCTAAAGGAATGTTCAGCTCTGTTAGTTCAATCCAATGATCACTAAGAATTGTCTGTGAATGCTTCCGTTTGGTTTTTAGATGAAGTTATTTCCTTTACTACAGTAGGCCTCAAAGCAATCCAAATCTCCAATCGCAGATTCTACAAAAACATTGTTTACAACCTGCTCTATCTATAGGAATGTTCAACTCTGTGAGTCGAATGCAATCATCACAAAGTAGTTTCTGAGAATGCTTTCATCTAGTTTTTATGTGAAGATTTTCCTTTTCCACCACAGGCCTCAAAGCCCTTCAAATGTCCACTTGCAGATTCTAGAATAAGAGGGTTTCAGAGCTGCTCTGTCAAGAGGAAAGTTCAATTCCTGAAGTGGAACACAAACATCACAAAACAGTTTCTGAGAATGCTTCTGTTTAGTTTTTCTGTGAAGATGAACCCGTTTCCAACGAAATCTTCACAGAGGTCCACATATCCACTTGCAGAATCCAAAGAAAGAGAGTTTCAAAACTGCTCCATCAGCAGGATTGTTCACCTCTGTGAGTTGAATGCAGTCATCACAGGAAACATTCTGAGAATGCTTCTGTCTAGGTTTGATGTGAAGATATACCCGTTTCGAAGGAAGGCCACAAAGTGGTCCAAATATCCACTTGCAGATTCTACAAAAAGAGTGTTTCAAAGCTGAACTATGAAAGCAAGGTTCTACTCTGTGAGTTGAATGCAAACATCACAAAGAAGTTTCTCAGAATGCTTCCGTGTAGTTCTGGGAAGTTTATCCCGTTTCCAACGAAATCCTCAGAGAAGTCCAAATATCCACTTGCAGATTCTACAGAAAGTGTGTTTGGAAACTGCGCCATCTAAAGGAATGTTCAGCTCTGTTAGTTCAATGCAATGATCACTAAGAATTGTCTGTGAATGCTTCCGTTTGGTTTTTAGATGAAGTTATTTCCTTTACTACAGTAGGCCTCAAAGCAGTCCAAATCTCCAATCGCAGATTCTACAAAAAGATTGTTTACAACCTGCTCTATCTATAGGAATGTTCAACTCTGTGAGTCGAATGCAATCATCACAGAGTAGCTTCTGAGAATGCTTCCATCTAGTTTTTATGTGAAGATTTTCCTTTTCCACCACAGGCCTCAAAGCCCTCCAAATGTCCACTTGCAGATTCTAGAAAAAGAGGGTTGCAGAGCTGCTCTGTCAAGATGAAAGTTCAATTCTTGAAGTGGAACACAAACATCACAAAGTAGTTTCTGAGAATGCTCCTGTTTAGTTTTTCTGTGAAGATGAACCCGTTTCCAACGAAATCTTCACAGAGGTCCACATATCCACTTGCAGAATCCAAAGAAAGAGAGTTTCAAAACTGCTCCATCAGCAGGATTGTTCACCTCTGTGAGTTGAATGCAGTCATCACAGGAAACATTCTGAGAATGCTTCTGTCTAGGTTTGATGTGAAGATATACCCGTTTCGAAGGAAGGCCACAAAGTGGTCCAAATATCCACTTGCAGATTCCAGAAAATGAGTGTTTGAAAGCTGAACTATGAAAGCAAGGTTCAACTCTGTGAGTTGAATGCAAACACCACAAAGAAGTTTCTCACAATGCTTCCGTGTAGTTCTGGGAAGTTTATCCCGTTTCCAACGAAATCCTCAGAGAAGTCCAAATATCCACTTGCAGATTCTACAGAAAGTGTGTTTGGAAACTGCTCCATCTAAAGGAATGTTCAGCTCTGTTAGTTCAATCCAATGATCACTAAGAATTGTCTGTGAATGCTTCCGTTTGGTTTTTAGATGAAGTTATTTCCTTTACTACAATAGGCCTCAAAGCAGTCCAAATCTCCAATCGCAGATTCTACAAAAAGATTGTTTACAACCTGCTCTATCTATAGGAATATTCAACTCTGTGAGTCGAATGCAATCATCACAAAGTAGTTTCTGAGAATGCTTCCATCTAGTTTTTATGTGAAGATTTTCCTTTTCCACCACAGGCCTCAAAGCCCTCCAAATGTCCACTTGCAGATTCTAGAAAAAGAGGGTTTCAGAGCTGCTCTGTCAAGAGGAAAGTTCCATTCTTGAAGTGGAACACAAACATCACAAAGCAGTTTCTGAGAATGCTCCTGTTTAGTTTTTCTGTGAAGATGAACCCGTTTCCGACGATATCTTCACAGAGGTCCACATATCCACTTGCAGAATCCAAAGAAAGAGAGTTTCAAAACTGCTCCATCAACAGGATTGTTCACCTCTGTGAGTGGAATGCAGTCATCACAGGAAACATTCTGAGAATGCTTCTGTCTAGGTTTGATGTGAAGATATACCCGTTTCGAAGGAAGGCCACAAAGTGGTCCAAATATCCACTTGCAGATTCTACAAAAAGAGTGTTTGAAAGCTGAACTATGAAAGCAAGGTTCAACTCTGTGAGTTGAATGCAAACATCACAAAGAAGTTTCTCAGCATGCTTCCGTGTAGTTCTGGGAAGTTTATCCCGTTTCCAAAGAAATCCTCAGAGAGGTCCAAATATCCACTTGCAGATTCTACAGAAAGTGTGTTTGGAATCTGCTCCATCTAAAGGAATGTTCAGCTCTGTTAGTTCAATCCAATGATCACTAAGAATTGTCTGTGAATGCTTCCGTTTGGTTTTTAGATGAAGTTATTTCCTTTACTACAGTAGGCCTCAAAGCAGTCCAAATCTCCAATCGCAGATTCTACAAAAACATTGTTTACAACCTGCTCTATCTATAGGAATGTTCAACTCTGTGAGTCGAATGCAATCATCACAAAGTAGTTTCTGAGAATGCTTCCATCTAATTTTTATGTGAAGATTTTCCTTTTCCACCACAGGCCTCAAAGCCCTCCAAATGTCCACTTGCAGATTCTAGAATAAGAGGGTTTCAGAGCTGCTCTGTCAAGAGGAAAGTTCAATTCTTGAAGTGGAAAACAAACATAACAAAGCAGTTTCTGAGAATGCTCCTGTTTAGTTTTTCTGTGAAGATGAACCCGTTTCCAACGAAATCTTCACAGAGGTCCACATATCCACTTGCAGAATCCAAAGAAAGAGAGTTTCAAAACTGCTCCATCAGCAGGATTGTTCACCTCTGTGAGTTGAATGCAGTCATCACAGGAAACATTCTGAGAATGCTTCTGTCTAGGTTTGATGTGAAGATATACCCGTTTCGAAGGAAGGCCACAAAGTGGTCCAAATATCCACTTGCAGATTCTACAAAAAGAGTGTTTGAAAGCTGAACTATGAAACCAAGGTTCAACTCTGTGAGTTGAATGCAAACATCACAAAGAAGTTTCGCACAATGCTTCCGTGTAGTTCTGGGAAGTTTATCCCGTTTCCAACGAAATCCTCAGAGAAGTCCAAATATCCACTTGCAGATTCTACAGAAAGTGGGTTTGGAAACTGCTCCATCTAAAGGAATGTTCAGCTCTGTTAGTTCAATCCAATGATCACTAAGAATTGTCTGTGAATGCTTCCGTTTGGTTTTTAGATGAAGTTATTTCCTTTACTACAGTAGGCCTCAAAGCAGTCCAAATCTCCAATCGCAGATTCTACAAAAAGATTGTTTACAACCTGCTCTATCTATAGGAATGTTCAACTCTGTGAGTCGAATGCAATCATCACAAAGTAGTTTCTGAGAATGCTTCCATCAAGTTTTTATGTGAAGATTTTCCTTTTCCACCACAGGCCTCAAAGCCCTCCAAATGTCCACTTGCAGATTCTAGAAAAAGAGGGTTTCAGAGCTGCTCTGTCAAGAGGAAAGTTCAATTCTTGAAGTGGAACACAAACATCACAAAGCAGTTTCCTGAGAATGCTTCTGTTTAGTTTTTCTGTGAAGATGAACCCGTTTCCAACGAAATCTTCACAGAGGTCCACATATCAACTTGCAGAATCCAAAGAAAGAGAGTTTCAAAAGTGCTCCATCAACAGTATTGTTCACCTCTGTGAGTTGAATGCAGTCATCACAGGAAACATTCTGAGAATGCTTCTGTCTAGGTTTGATGTGAAGATATACCTGTTTCGAAGGAAGGCCACAAAGAGGTCCAAATATCCACTTGCAGATTCTACAAAAAGAGTGTTTGAAAGCTGAACTATGAAAGCAAGGTTCAACTCTGTGAGTTGAATGCAAACATCACAAAGAAGTTTCTCACAATGCTTCCGTGTAGTTCTGTGAAGTTTATCCCGTTTCCAACGAAATCCTCAGAGAAGTCCAAATATCCACTTGCAGATTCTACAGAAAGTGGGTTTGGAAACTGCTCCATCTAAAGGAATGTTCAGCTCTGTTAGTTCAATGCAATGATCACTAAGAATTGTCTGTGAATGCTTCCGTTTGGTTTTTAGATGAAGTTATTTCCTTTACTACAGTAGGCCTCAAAGCAGTCCAAATCTCCAATCGCATATTCTACAAAAAGATTGTTTACATCCTGCTCTATCTACAGGAATGTTCAACCCTGTGAGTCGAATGCAGTCATCACAAAGTAGTTTCTGAGAATGCTTCCATCTAGTTTTTATGTTAAGATTTTCCTTTTCCACCACAGGCCTCAAAGCCCTCCAAATGTCCACTTGCAGATTCTAGAAAAAGAGGGTTTCAGAGCTGCTCTGTTGAGAGGAAAGTTCAATTCCTGAAGTGGAACACAAACATCACAAAGCAGTTTCTGAGAATGCTTCTGTTTAGTTTTTCTGTGAAGATGAACCCGTTTCCAACGAAATCTTCACAGAGGTCCACATATCCACTTGCAGAATCCAAAGAAAGAGAGTTTCAAAACTGCTCCATCAGCAGGATTGTTCACCTCTGTGAGTTGAATGCAGTCATCACAGGAAACATTCTCAAAATGCTTCTGTCTAGGTTTGATGTGAAGATATACCCGTTTCGAAGGAAGGCCACAAAGTGGTCCAAATATCCACTTGCAGATTCTACGAAAAGAGTGTTTGAAAGCTGAACTATGAAAGCAAGGTTCAACTCTGTGAGTTGAATGCAACCATCACAAAGAAGTTTCTCAGAATGCTTCCGTGTAGTTCTGGGAAGTTTATCCCGTTTCCAACGAAATCCTCAGAGAAGTCCAAATATCCACTTGCAGATTCTACAGAAAGTGTGTTTGGAAACTGCTCCATCTAAAGGAATGTTCAGCTCTGTTAGTTCAATGCAATGATCACTAAGAATTGTCTGTGAATGCTTCCGTTTGGTTTTTAGATGAAGTTATATCCTTTACTACAGTAGGCCTCAAAGCAGTCCAAATCTCCAATCGCAGATTCTACAAAAAGATTGTTTACAACCTGCTCTATCTATAGGAATGTTCAACTCTGTGAGTCGAATGCAATCATCACAAAGTAGTTTCTGAGAATGCTTCCATCTAGTTTTTATGTGAAGATTTTCCTTTTCCACCACAGGCCTCAAAGCCCTCCAAATGTCCACTTGCAGATTCTAGAATAAGAGGGTTTCAGAGCTGCTCTGTCAAGAGGAAAGTTCAATTCCTGAAGTGGAACACAAACATCACAAAGCAGTTTCTGAGAATGCTCCTGTTTAGTTTTTCTGTGAAGATGAACCCGTTTCCAACGAAATCTTCACAGAGGTCCACATATCCACTTGCAGAATCCAAAGAAAGAGAGTTTCAAAACTGCTCCATCAGCAGGATTGTTCACCTCTGTGAGTTGAATGCAGTCATCACAGGAAACATTCTGAGAATGCTTCTGTCTAGGTTTGATGTGAAGATATACCCGTTTCGAAGGAAGGCCACAAAGTGGTCCAAATATCCACTTGCAGATTCTACAAAAAGAGTGTTTGAAAGCTGAACTATGAAAGCAAGGTTCAACTCTGTGAGTTGAATGCAAACATCACAAAGAAGTTTCTCACAATGCTTCCGTGTAGTTCTGGGAAGTTTATCCCGTTTCCAACGAAATCCTCAGAGAGGTCCAAATATCCACTTGCAGATTCTACAGAAAGTGTGTTTGGAAACTGCTCCATCTAAAGGAATGTTTAGCTCTGTTAGTTCAATCCAATGATCACTAAGAATTGTCTGTGAATGCTTCCGTTTGGTTTTTAGATGAAGTTATTTCCTTTACTACAGTAGGCCTCAAAGCAGTCCAAATCTCCAATCGCAGATTCTACAAAAACATTGTTTACAACCTGCTCTATCTATAGGAATGTTCAACTCTGTGAGTCGAATGCAATCATCACAAAGTAGTTTCTGAGAATGCTTCCATCTAATTTTTATGTGAAGATTTTCCTTTTCCACCACAGGCCTCAAAGCCCTCCAAATGTCCACTTGCAGTTTCTAGAATAAGAGGGTTTCAGAGCTGCTCTGTCAAGAGGAAAGTTCAATTCCTGAAGTGGAACACAAACATCACAAAGCAGTTTCTGAGAATGCTCCTGTTTAGTTTTTCTGTGAAGATGAACCCGTTTCCAACGAAATCTGCACAGAGGTCCACATATCCACTTGCAGAATCCAAAGAAAGAGAGTTTCAAAACAGCTCCATCAGCAGGATTGTTCACCTCTGTGAGTTGAATGCAGTCATCACAGGAAACATTCTGAGAATGCTTCTGTCTAGGTTTGATGTGAAGATATACCCGTTTCGAAGGAAGGCCACAAAGTGGTCCAAATATCCACTTGCAGATTCTACAAAAAGAGTGTTTGAAAGCTGAACTATGAAAGCAAGGTTCAACTCTGTGAGTTGAATGCAAACATCACAAAGAAGTTTCTCACAATGCTTCCGTGTAGTTCTGGGAAGTTTATCCCGTTTCCAACGAAATCCTCAGAGAAGTCCAAATATCCACTTGCAGATTCTACAGAAAGTGTGTTTGGAAACTGCGCCATCTAAAGGAATGTTCAGCTCTGTTAGTTCAATGCAATGATCACTAAGAATTGTCTGTGAATGCTTCCGTTTGGTTTTTAGATGAAGTAATTTCCTTTACTACAGTAGGCCTCAAAGCAGTCCAAATCTCCAATCGCAGATTCTACAAAAAGATTGTTTACAACCTGCTCTATCTATAGGAATGTTCAACTCTGTGAGTCGAATGCAATCATCACAAAGTAGTTTCTGAGAATGCTTCCATCTAGTTTTTATGTGAAGATTTTCCTTTTCCACCACTGGCCTCAAAGCCCTCCAAATGTCCACTTGCAGATTCTAGAATAAGAGGGTTTCAGAGCTGCTCTGTCAAGAGGAAAGTTCAATTCCTGAAGTGGAACACAAAAATCACAAAGCAGTTTCTGAGAATGCTTCTGTTTAGTTTTTCTGTGAAGATGAACCCGTTTCCAACGAAATCTTCACAGAGGTCCACATATCCACTTGCAGAATCCAAAGAAAGAGAGTTTCAAAACTGCTCCATCAGCAGGATTGTTCACCTCTGTGAGTTGAATGCAGTCATCACAGGAAACATTCTGAGAATGCTTCTGTCTAGGTTTGATGTGAAGATATACCCGTTTCGAAGGAAGGCCACAAAGTGGTCCAAATATCCACTTGCAGATTCTACAAAAAGAGTGTTTGAAAGCTGAACTATGAAAGCAAGGTTCAACTCTGTGAGTTGAATGCAAACATTACAAAGAAGTTTCTCACAATGCTTCCGTGTAGTTCTGAGAAGTTTATCCCGTTTCCAACGAAATCCTCAGAGAAGTCCAAATATCCACTTTCAGATTCTACAGAAAGTGTGTTTGGAAACTGCTCCATCTAAAGGAATGTTCAGCTCTGTTAGTTCAATGCAATGATCACTAAGAATTGTCTGTGAATGCTTCCGTTTGGTTTTTAGATGAAGTTATTTCCTTTACTACAGTAGGCCTCAAAGCAGTCCAAATCTCCAATCGCAGATTCTACAAAAAGATTGTTTACAACCTGCTCTATCTATAGGAATGTTCAACTCTGTGAGTCGAATGCAATCATCACAAAGTAGTTTCTGAGAATGCTTCCATCTAGTTTTTATGTGAAGATTTTCCTTTTCCACCACAGGCCTCAAAGCCCTCCAAATGTCCACTTGCAGATTCTAGAATAAGAGGGTTTTAGAGCTGCTCTGTCAAGAGGAAAGTTCAATTCCTGAAGTGGAACACAAACATCACAAAGCAGTTTCTGAGAATGCTTCTGTTTAGTTTTTCTGTGAAGATGAACCCGTTTCCAACGAAATCTTCACAGAGGTCCACATATCCACTTGCAGAATCCAAAGAAGGAGAGTTTCAAAACTGCTCCATCAGCAGGATTGTTCACCTCTGTGAGTTGAATGCAGTCATCACAGGAAACATTCTGAGAATGCTTCTGTCTAGGTTTGATGTGAAGATATACCCGTTTCGAAGGAAGGCCACAAAGTGGTCCAAATATCCACTTGCAGATTCTACAAAAAGAGTGTTTGAAAGCTGAACTATGAAAGCAAGGTTCAACTCTGTGAGTTGAATGCAAACATCACAAAGAAGTTTCTCAGAATGCTTCCGTGAAGTTCTGGGAAGTTTATCCCGTTTCCAACGAAATCCTCAGAGAGGTCCAAATATCCACTTGCAGATTCTACAGAAAGTGTGTTTGGAAACTGCGCCATCTAAAGGAATGTTCAGCTCTGTTAGTTCAATGCAATGATCACTAAGAATTGTCTGTGAATGCTTCCGTTTGGTTTTTAGATGAAGTTATTTCCTTTACTACAGTAGGCCTCAAAGCAATCCAAATCTCCAATCGCAGATTCTACAAAAACATTGTTTACAACCTGCTCTATCTATAGGAATGTTCAACTCTGTGAGTCGAATGCAATCATCACAAAGTAGTTTCTGAGAATGCTTCCATCTAGTTTTTATGTGAAGATTTCCTTTTCCACCACATTACCCAAAACCCTCCAAATGTACACTTGCAGATTCTAGAAAAAGAGGTTTTCAGAGCTGCTCTATCAAGAGGAAAGTTCAATTCCTGAAGTGGAACACAAACATCACAAAGCAGTTTCTGAGAATGCTTCTGTTTAGTTTTTCTGTGAAGATGAACCCGTTTCCAACGAAATCTTCACAGAGGTCCACATATCCACTTGCAGAATCCAAAGAAAGAGAGTTTCAAAACTGCTCCATCAGCAGTATTGTTCACCTCTGTGAGTTGAATGCAGTCATCACAGGAAACATTCTGAGAATGCTTCTGTCTAGGTTTGATGTGAAGATATACCCGTTTCGAAGGAAGGCCACAAAGTGGTCCAAATATCCACTTGCAGATTCTACAAAAAGAGTGTTTGAAAGCTGAACTATGAAAGCAAGGTTCAACTCTGTGAGTTGAATGCAAACATCACAAAGAAGTTTCTCACAATGCTTCCGTGTAGTTCTGGGAAGTTTATCCCGTTTCCAACGAAATCCTCAGAGAAGTCCAAATATCCACTTGCAGATTCTACAGAAAGTGTGTTTGGAAACTGCTCCATCTAAAGGAATGTTCAGCTCTGTTAGTTCAATCCAATGATCACTAAGAATTGTCTGTGAATGCTTCCATTTGGTTTTTAGATGAAGTTATTTCCTTTACTACAGTAGGCCTCAAAGCAGTCCAAATCTCCAATCGCAGATTCTACAAAAAGATTGTTTACAACCTGCTCTATCTATAGGAATGTTCAACTCTGTGAGTCGAATGCAATCATCACAAAGTAGTTTCTGAGAATGCTTCCATCTAGTTTTTATGTGAAGATTTTCCTTTTCCACCACAGGCCTCAAAGCCCTCCAAATGTCCACTTGCAGATTCTAGAATAAGAGGGTTTCAGAGCTGCTCTGTCAAGAGGAAAGTTCAATTCCTGAAGTGGAACACAAACATCACAAAGCAGTTTCTGAGAATGCTTCTGTTTAGTTTTTCTGTGAAGATGAACCCGTTTCCAACGAAATCTTCACAGAGGTCCACATATCCACTTGCAGAATCCAAAGAAAGAGAGTTTCAAAACTGCTCCATCAGCAGGATTGTTCACCTCTGTGAGTTGAATGCAGTCATCACAGGAAACATTCTGAGAATGCTTCTGTCTAGGTTTGATGTGAAGATATACCCGTTTCGAAGGAAGGCCACAAAGTGGTCCAAATATCCACTTGCAGATTCTACAAAAAGAGTGTTTGAAAGCTGAACTATGAAAGCAAGGTTCAACTCTGTGAGTTGAATGCAAACATCACAAAGAAGTTTCTCAGAATGCTTCCGTGTAGTTCTGGGAAGTTTATCCCGTTTCCAACGAAATCCTCAGAGAAGTCCAAATATCCACTTGCAGATTCTACAGAAAGTGTGTTTGGAAAATGCTCCATCTAAAGGAATGTTCAGCTCTGTTAGTTCAATGCAATGATCACTAAGAATTGTCTGTGAATGCTTCCGTTTGGTTTTTAGATGAAGTTATTTCCTTTACTACAGTAGGCCTCAAAGCAGTCCAAATCTCCAATCGCAGATTCTACAAAAAGATTGTTTACAACCTGCTCTATCTATAGGAATGTTCAACTCTGTGAGTCGAATGCAATCATCACAAAGTAGTTTCTGAGAATGCTTCCATCTAGTTTTTATGTGAAGATTTTCCTTTTCCACCACAGGCCTCAAAGCCCTCCAAATGTCCACTTGCAGATTCTAGAAAAAGAGGGTTTCAGAGCTGCTCTGTCAAGAGGAAAGTTCAATTCTTGAAGTGGAACAGAAACATCACAAAGCAGTTTCTGGGAATGCTCCTGTTTAGTTTTTCTGTGAAGATGAACCCTTTTCCAACGAAATCTTCACAGAGGTCCACATATCTACTTGCAGAATCCAAAGAAAGAGAGTTTCAAAACTGCTCCATCAGAAGGATTGTTCACCTCTGTGAGTTGAATGCAGTCATCACAGGAAACATTCTGAGAATGCTTCTGTCTAGGTTTGATGTGAAGATATACCCGTTTCGAAGGAAGGCCACAAAGTGGTCCAAATATCCACTTGCAGATTCTACAAAAAGAGTGTTTGAAAGCTGAACTATGAAATCAAGGTTCAACTCTGTGAGTTGAATGCAAACATCACAAAGAAGTTTCTCAGAATGCTTCCGTGTAGTTCTGGGAAGTTTATCCCGTTTCCAACGAAATCCTCAGAGAAGTCCAAATATCCACTTGCAGATTCTACAGAAAGTGGGTTTGGAAACTGCTCCATCTAAAGGAATGTTCAGCTCTGTTAGTTCAATCCAATGATCACTAAGAATTGTCTGTGAATGCTTCCGTTTGGTTTTTAGATGAAGTTATTTCCTTTACTACAGTAGGCCTCAAAGCAGTCCAAATCTCCAATCGCAGATTCTACAAAAAGATTGTTTACAACCTGCTCTATCTATAGGAATGTTCAACTCTGTGAGTCGAATGCAATCATCACAAAGTAGTTTCTGAGAATGCTTCCATCTAGTTTTTATGTGAAGATTTTCCTTTTCCACCACAGGCCTCAAAGGCCCTCCAAATGTCCACTTGCAGATTCTAGAATAAGAGGGTTTCAGAGCTGCTCGGTCAAGAGGAAAGTTCAATTCTTGAAGTGGAACACAAACATCACAAAGCAGTTTCTGAGAATGCTTCTGTTCAGTATTTCTGTGAAGATGAATCCGTTTCCAACGAAATCTTCACAGAAGTCCACCTATCCACTTGCAGAATCCAAAGAAAGAGAGTTTCAAAACTGCTCCATCAACAGGATTGTTCACGTCTGTGAGTTGAATGCAGTCATCACAGGAAACATTCTGAGAATGCTTCTGTCTAGGTTTGATGTGAAGATATACCCGTTTCGAAGGAAGGCAACAAAGTGGTCCAAATATCCACTTGCAGATTCTACAAAAAGAGTGTTTGAAAGCTGAACTATGAAAGCAAGGTTCAACTCTGTGAGTTGAATGCAAACATCACAAAGAAGTTTCTCACAATGCTTCCGTGTAGTTCTGGGAAGTTTATCCCGTTTCCAACGAAATCCTCAGAGAAGTCCAAATATCCACTTGCAGATTCTACAGAAAGTGTGTTTGGAAACTGCTCCATCTAAAGGAATGTTCAGCTCTGTTAGTTCAATCCAATGATCACTAAGAATTGTCTGTGAATGCTTCCGTTTGGTTTTTAGATGAAGTTATTTCCTTTACTACAGTAGGCCTCAAAGCAGTCCAAATCTCCAATCGCAGATTCTACAAAAAGATTGTTTACAACCTGCTCTATCTTTAGGAATGTTCAACTCTGTGAGTCGAATGCAATCATCACAAAGTAGTTTCTGAGAATGCTTCCATCTAGTTTTTATGTGAAGATTTTCCTTTTCCACCACAGGCCTCAAAGCCCTCCAAATGTCCACTTGCAGATTCTAGAATAAGAGGGTTTCAGAGCTGCTCTGTCAAGAGGAAAGTTCAATTCCTGAAGTGGAACACAAACATCACAAAGCAGTTTCTGAGAATGCTCCTGTTTAGTTTTTCTGTGAAGATGAACCCGTTTCCAACGAAATCTTCACAGAGGTCCACATATCCACTTGCAGAATCCAAAGAAAGAGAGTTTCAAAACTGCTCCATCAGCAGGATTGTTCACCTCTGTGAGTTGAATGCAGTCATCACAGGAAACATTCTGAGAATGCTTCTGTCTAGGTTTGATGTGAAGATATACCCGTTTCGAAGGAAGGCCACAAAGTGGTCCAAATATCCACTTGCAGATTCTACAAAAAGAGTGTTTGAAAGCTGAACTAAGAAAGCAAGGTTCAACTCTGTGAGTTGAATGCAAACATCACAAAGAAGTTTCTCAGAATGCTTCAGTGTAGTTCTGGGAAGTTTATCCCGTTTCCAACGAAATCCTCAGAGAAGTCCAAATATCCACTTGCAGATTCTACAGAAAGTGGGTTTGGAAACTGCTCCATCTAAAGGAATGTTCAGTTCTGTTAGTTCAATGCAATGATCACTAAGAATTGTCTGTGAATGCTTCCGTTTGGTTTTTAGATGAAGTTATTTCCTTTACTACAGTAGGCCTCAAAGCAGTCCAAATCTCCAATCGCAGATTCTACAAAAAGATTGTTTACAACCTGCTCTATCTATAGGAATGTTCAACTCTGTGAGTCGAATGCAATCATCACAAAGTAGTTTCTGAGAATGCTTCCATCTAGTTTTTATGTGAAGATTATCCTTTTCAACCACAGGCCTCAAAGCCCTCCAAATGTCCACTTGCAGATTCTAGAAAAAGAGGGTTTCAGAGCTGCTCTGTCAAGAGGAAAGTTCAATTCTTGAAGTGGAACACAAACATCACAAAGCAGTTTCTGAGAATGCTCCTGTTTAGTTTTTCTGTGAAGATGAACCCGTTTCCAACGAAATCTTCACAGAGGTCCACATATCCACTTGCAGAATCCAAAGAAAGAGAGTTTCAAAACTGCTCCATCAGCAGGATTGTTCACCTCTGTGAGTTGAATGCAGTCATCACAGGAAACATTCTGAGAATGCTTCTGTCTAGGTTTGATGTGAAGATATACCCGTTTCGAAGGAAGGCCACAAAGTGGTCCAAATATCCACTTGCAGATTCTACAAAAAGAGTGTTTGAAAGCTGAACTATGAAAGCAAGGTTCAACTCTGTGAGTTGAATGCAAACATCTCAAAGAAGTTTCTCACAATGCTTCCGTGTAGTTCTGGGAAGTTTATCCCGTTTCCAAAGAAATCCTCAGAGAGGTCCAAATATCCACTTGCAGATTCTACAGAAAGTGTGTTTGGAAACTGCTCCATCTAAAGGAATGTTCAGCTCTGTTAGTTCAATCCAATGATCACTAAGAATTGTCTGTGAATGCTTCCGTTTGGTTTTTAGATGAAGTTATTTCCTTTACTACAGTAGGCCTCAAAGCAGTACAAATCTCCAATCGCAGATTCTACAAAAAGATTGTTTTCAACCTGCTCTATCTATAGGAATGTTCAACTCTGTGAGTCGAATGCAATCATCACAAAGTAGTTTCTGAGAATGCTTCCATCTAGTTTTTATGTGAAGATTTTCCTTTTCCACCACAGGCCTCAAAGCCCTCCAAATGTCCACTTGCAGATTCTAGAAAAAGAGGGTTTCAGAGCTGCTCTGTCAAGAGGAAAGTTCAATTCTTGAAGTGGAACACAAACATCACAAAGCAGTTTCTGAGAATGCTCCTGTATAGTTTTTCTGTGAAGATGAACCCGTTTCCAACGAAATCTTCACAGAGGTCCACATATCCACTTGCAGAATCCAAAGAAAGAGAGTTTCAAAACTGCTCCATCAACAGGATTGTTCGCCTCTGTGAGTTGAATGCAGTCATCACAGGAAACATTCTGGGAATGCTTCTGTCTAGTTTTGATGTGAAGATATACCCGTTTCGAAGGAAGGCCACAAAGTGGTCCAAATATCCACTTGCAGATTCTACAAAAAGAGTGTTTGAAAGCTGAACTATGAAACCAAGGTTCAACTCTGTGAGTTGAATGCAAACATCACAGAGAAGTTTCTCAGAATGCTTCCGTGTAGTTCTGGGAAGTTTATCCCGTTTCCAACGAAATCCTCAGTAGAAGTCCAAATATCCACTTGCAGATTCTACAGAAAGTGTGTTTGGAAACTGCGCCATCTAAAGGAATGTTCAGCTCTGTTAGTTCAATCCAATGATCACTAAGTATTGTCTGTGAATGCTTCCGTTTGGTTTTTAGATGAAGTTATTTCCTTTACTACAGTAGGCCTCAAAGCAGTCCAAATCTCCAATCGCAGATTCTACAAAAAGATTGTTTTCAACCTGCGCTATCTATAGGAATGTTCAACTCTGTGAGTCGAATGCAATCATCACAAAGTAGTTTCTGAGAATGCTTCCATCTAGTTTTTATGTGAAGATTTTCCTTTTCCACCACAGGCCTCAAATCCCTCCAAATGTCCACTTGCAGATTCTAGAAAAAGAGGGTTTCAGAGCTGCTCTGTCAAGAGGAAAGTTCAATTCTTGAAGTGGAACACAAACATCACAAAGCAGTTTCTGAGAATGCTCCTGTTTAGTTTTTCTGTGAAGATGAACCCGTTTCCAACGAAATCTTCACAGAGGTCCACATATCCACTTGCAGAATCCAAAGAAAGAGAGTTTCAAAACTGCTCCATCAACAGGATTGTTCACCTCTGTGAGTTGAATGCAGTCATCACAGGAAACATTCTGAGAATGCTTCTGTCTAGGTTTGATGTGAAGATATACCCGTTTCGAAGGAAGGCCTCAAAGTGGTCCAAATATCCACTTGCAGATTCTACAAAAAGAGTGTTTGAAAGCTGAACTATGAAAGCAAGGTTCAACTCTGTGAGTTGAATGCAAACATCACAAAGAAGTTTCTCAGAATGCTTCCGTGTAGTTCTGGGAAGTTTATCCCGTTTCCAACGAAATCCTCAGAGAAGTCCAAATATCCACTTGCAGATTCTACAGAAAGTGTGTTTGGAAACTGCGCCATCTAAAGGAATGTTCAGCTCTGTTAGTTCAATCCAATGATCACTAAGAATTGTCTGTGAATGCTTCCGTTTGGTTTTTAGATGAAGTTATTTCCTTTACTACAGTAGGCCTCCAAGCAGTCCAAATCTCCAATCGCAGATTCTACAAAAAGATTGTTTACAACCTGCTCTATCTATAGCAATGTTCAACTCTGTGAGTCGAATGCAATCATCACAAAGTAGTTTCTGAGAATGCTTCCATCTAGTTTTTATGTGAAGATTTTCCTTTTCCACCACAGGCCTCAAAGCCCGCCAAATGTCCACTTGCAGATTCTAGAAAAAGAGGGTTTCAGAGCTGCTCTGTCAAGAGGAAAGTTCAATTCTTGAAGTGGAACACAAACATCACAAAGCAGTTTCTGAGAATGCTTCTGTTTAGTTTTTCTGTGAAGATGAACCCGTTTCCAACGAAATCTACACAGAGGTCCACATATCCACTTGCAGAATCCAAAGAAAGAGAGTTTCAAAACTGCTCCATGAGCAGGATTGTTCACATCTGTGAGTTGAATGCAGTCATCACAGGAAACATTCTGAGAATGCTTCTGTCTAGGTTTGATGTGAAGATATACCCGTTTCGAAGGAAGGCCAGAAAGTGGTCCAAATATCCACTTGCAGATTCTACAAAAAGAGTGTTTGAAAGCTGAACTATGAAAGCAAGGTTCAACTCTGTGAGTTGAATGCAAACATCACAAAGAAGTTTCTCAGAATGCTTCCGTGTAGTTCTGGGAAGTTTATCCCGTTTCCAACGAAATCCTCAGAGTAGTCCAAATATCCACTTGCAGATTCTACAGAAAGTGTGTTTGGAAACTGCGCCATCTAAAGGAATGTTCAGCTCTGTTTGTTCAATCCAATGATCACTAAGAATTGTCTGTGAATGCTTCCGTTTGGTTTTTAGATGAAGTTATTTCCTTTATTACAGTAGGCCTCAAAGCAGTCCAAATCTCCAATCGCAGATTCTACAAAAAGATTGTTTACAACCTGCTCTATCTATAGGAATGTTCAACTCTGTGAGTCGAATGCAATCATCACAAAGTAGTTTCTGAGAATGCTTCCATCTAGTTTTTATGTGAAGATTTTCCTTTTCCACCACAGGCCTCAAATCCCTCCAAATGTCCACTTTCAGATTCTAGAAAAAGAGGGTTTCAGAGCTGCTCTGTCAAGAGGAAAGTTCAATTCTTGAAGTGGAACACAAACATCACAAAGCAGTTTCTGAGAATGCTTCTGTTTAGTTTTTCTGTGAAGATGAACCCGTTTCCAACGAAATCTTCACAGAGGTCCACATATCCACTTGCAGAATCCAAAGAAAGAGAGTTTCAAAACTGCTCCATCAGCAGGATTGTTCACCTCTGTGAGTTGAATGCAGTCATCACAGGAAACATTCTGAGAATGCTTCTGTCTAGGTTTGATGTGAAGATATACCCTTTTCAAAGGAAGGCCACAAAGTGGTCCAAATATCCACTTGCAGATTCTACAAAAAGAGTGTTTGAAAGCTGAACTATGAAAGCAAGGTTCAACTCTGTGAGTTGAATGCAAACATCACAAAGAAGTTTCTCACAATGCTTCCCCTGTAGTTCTGGGAAGTTTATCCCGTTTCCAACGAAATCCTCAGAGAAGTCCAAATATCCACTTGCAGATTCTACAGAAAGTGTGTTTGGAAACTGCTCCATCTAAAGGAATGTTCAGCTCTGTTAGTTCAATGCAATGATCACTAAGAATTGTCTGTGAATGCTTCCGTTTGGTTTTTAGATGAAGTTATTTCCTTTACTACAGTAGGACTCAAAGCAGTCCAAATCTCCAATCGCAGATTCTACAAAAAGATTGTTTACAACCTGCTCTATCTGTAGGAATGTTCAACTCTGTGAGTCGAATGCAATCATCACAAAGTAGTTTCTGAGAATGCTTCCATCTAGTTTTTATGGGAAGATTTTCCTTTTCCACCACAGGCCTCAAAGCCCTCCAAATGTCCACTTGCAGATTCTAGAAAAAGAGGGTTTCAGAGCTGCTCTGTCAAGAGGAAAGTTCAATTCCTGAAGTGGAACACAAACATCACAAAGCAGTTTCTGAGAATGCTTCTGTTTAGTTTTTCTTTGAAGATGAACACTTTTCCAAGGAAATCTTCAAAGAGGTCCAAATATCCACTTGCAGATTCCAAAGAAAGAGAGTTTCAAACTGCTCCATCAACAGGATTGTTCACCTCTGTGCGTTGAATGCAGTCTTCACAGGAAACATTCTGAGAATGCTTCTGTCTAGGTTTGATGTGAAGATATACACGTTTCGAAGGAAGGCCACAAAGTGGTCCAAATATCCACTTGCAGATTCTACAAATAGAGTGTTTGAAAGCTGAACTATGAAAGGAAGGTTCAACTCTGTGAGTTGAATGCAACAGTGACACACATGTTTCTGAGAATGCTTCCCTGTAGTTCTGGGAAGCATATCCCGTTTCCAACGAAATCCTCAGAGAAGTCCAAATATCCACTTGCAGATTCTACAGAAAGTGGGTTTGGAAACTGCTCCATCTAAAGGAATGTTCAGCTCTGTTAGTTCAATCCAATGATCACTAAGAATTGTCTGTGAATGCTTCCGTTTGGTTTTTAGATGAAGTTATTTCCTTTACTACAGTAGGCCTCAAAGCAGTCCAAATCTCCAATCGCAGATTCTACAAAAAGACTGTTTACAACCTGCTCTATCTATAGGAATGTTCAACTCTGTGAGTCGAATGCAATCATCACAAAGTAGTTTCTGAGAATGCTTCCATCTAGTTTTTATGTGAAGATTTTCCTTTTCCACCACAGGCCTCAAAGCCCTCCAAATGTCCACTTGCAGATTCTAGAATAAGAGGGTTTCAGAGCTGCTCTGTCAAGAGGAAAGTTCAATTCCTGAAGTGGAACACAAACATCACAAAGCAGTTTCTGAGAATGCTCCTGTTTAGTTTTTCTGTGAAGATGAACCCGTTTCCAACGAAATCTTCACAGAGGTCCACATATCCACTTGCAGAATCCAAAGAAAGAGAGTTTCAAAACTGCTCCATCAACAGGATTGTTCACCTCTGTGAGTTGAATGCAGTCATCACAGGAAACATTCTGAGAATGCTTCTGTCTAGGTTTCATGTGAAGATATACCCGTTTCGAAGGAAGGCCACAAAGTGGTCCAAATATCCACTTGCAGATTCTACAAAAAGAGTGTGTGAAAGCTGAACTATGAAAGCAAGGTTCAACTCTGTGAGTTGAATGCAAACATCACAAAGAAGTTTCTCAGAATGCTTCCGTGTAGTTCTGGGAAGTTTATCCCGTTTCCAACGAAATCCTCAGAGAAGTCCAAATATCCACTTGCAGATTCTACAGAAAGTGGGTTTGGAAACTGCTCCATCTAAAGGAATGTTCAGCTCTGTTAGTTCAATCCAATGATCACTAAGAATTGTCTGTGAATGCTTCCGTTTGGTTTTTAGATGAAGTTATTTCCGTTACTACAGTAGGCCTCAATGCAGTCCAAATATCCAATCGCAGATTCTACAAAAAGATTGTTTACAACCTGCTCTATCTATAGGAATGTTCAACTCTGTGAGTCGAATGCAATCATCACAAAGTAGTTTCTGAGAATGCTTCCATCTAGTTTTTATGTGAAGATTTTCCTTTTCCACCACAGGCCTCAAAGCCCTCCAAATGTCCACTTGCAGATTCTAGAAAAAGAGGGTTTCAGAGCTGCTCTATCAAGAGGAAAGTTCAATTCCTGAAGTGGAACACAAACATCACAAAGCAGTTTCTGAGAATGCTCCTGTTTTTTTTTTCTGTGAAGATGAACCCGTTTCCAACGAAATCTTCACAGAGGTCCTCATATCCACTTGCAGAATCCAAAGAAAGAGAGTTTCAAAACTGCTCCATCAACAGGATTGTTCACCTCTGTGAGTTGAATGCAGTCATCACAGGAAACATTCTGAGAATGCTTCTGTCTAGGTTTGATGTGAAGATATACCCGTTTCGAAGGAAGGCCACAAAGTGGTCCAAATATCCACTTGCAGATTCTACAAAAAGAGTGTTTGAAAGCTGAACTATGAAAGCAAGGTTCAACTCTGTGAGTTGAATGCAAACATCACAAAGAAGTTTCTCAGAATGCTTCGGTGTAGTTCTGGGAAGTTTATCCCGTTTCCAAAGAAATCCTCAGAGAGGTCCAAATATCCACTTGCAGATTCTACAGAAAGTGTGTTTGGAAACTGCTCCATCTAAAGGAATGTTCAGCTCTGTTAGTTCAATCCAATGATCACTAAGAATTGTCTGTGAATGCTTCCGTTTGGTTTTTAGATGAAGTTATTTCCTTTACTACAGCAGGCCTCAAAGCAGTCCAAATCTCCAATCGCAGATTCTACAAAAAGATTGTTTTCAACCTGCTCTATCTATAGGAATGTTCAACTCTGTGAGTCGAATGCAAACATCACAAAGTAGTTTCTGAGAATGCTTCCATCTAGTTTTTATGTGAAGATTTTCCTTTTCCACCACAGGCCTCAAAGCCCTCCAAATGTCCACTTGCAGATTCTAGAAAAAGAGGGTTTCAGAGCTGCTCTTTCAAGAGGAAAGTTCAATTCCTGAAGTGGAACACAAACATCACAAAGCAGTTTCTGAGAATGCTTCTGTTTAGTTTTTCTGTGAAGATGAACCCGTTTCCAACGAAATCTTCACAGAGGTCCACATATCCTCTTGCAGAATCCAAAGAAAGAGAGTTTCAAAACTGCTCCATCAGCAGGATTGTTCACCTCTGTGAGTTGAATGCAGTCATCACAGGAAACATTCTGAGAATGCTTCTGTCTAGGTTTGATGTGAAGATATACCCGTTTCAAAGGAAGGCCACAAAGTGGTCCAAATATCCACTTGCAGATTCTACAAAAAGAGTGTTTGAAAGCTGAACTATGAAAGCAAGGTTCTACTCTGTGAGTTGAATGCAAACATCACAAAGAAGTTTCTCACAATGCTTCCGTGTAGTTCTGGGAAGTTTATCCCGTTTCCAACGAAATCCTCAGAGAAGTCCAAATATCCACTTGCAGATTCTACAGAAAGTGGGTTTGGAAACTGCTCCATCTAAAGGAATGTTCA
Source organism: Homo sapiens (assembly GCF_000001405.40). Taxonomy (NCBI): domain Eukaryota; kingdom Metazoa; phylum Chordata; class Mammalia; order Primates; family Hominidae; genus Homo; species Homo sapiens. The sequence continues at coordinate 52,886,471 of NC_000011.10, read as the reverse complement.
GCTCTGTTAGTTCAATCCAATGATCACTAAGAATTGTCTGTGAATGCTTCCGTTTGGTTTTTAGATGAATTTATTTCCTTTACTACAGTAGGCCTCAAAGCAGTCCAAATCTCCAATCGCAGATTATACAAAAAGATTGTTTACAACCTGCTCTATCTATAGGAATGTTCAACTCTGTGAGTCGAATGCAATCATCACAATGTAGTTTCTGAGAATGCTTCCATCTAGTTTTTATGTGAAGATTTTCCTTTTCCACCTCAGGCCTCAAAGCCCTCCAAATGTCCACTTGCAGATTCTAGAATAAGAGGGTTTCAGAGCTGCTCTGTCAAGAGGAAAGTTCAATTCCTGAAGTGGAACACAAACATCACACAGCAGTTTCTGAGAATGCTTCTGTTTAGTTTTTCTGTGAAGATGAACCCGTTTCCAACGAAATCTTCACAGAGGTCCACATATCAACTTGCAGAATCCAAAGAAAGAGAGTTTCAAAACTGCTCCATCAACAGGATTGTTCACCTCTGTGAGTTGAATGCAGTCATCACAGGAAACATTCTGAGAATGCTTCTGTCTAGGTTTGATGTGAAGATATACCCGTTTCGAAGGAAGGCCACAAAGTGGTCCAAATATCCACTTGCAGATTCTACAAAAAGAGTGTTTGAAAGCTGAACTATGAAAGCAAGGTTCAACTCTGTGAGTTGAATGCAAACATCACAAAGAAGTTTCTCAGAATGCTTCCGTGTAGTTCTGGGAAGTTTATCCCGTTTCCAACGAAATCCTCAGAAAAGTCCGAATATCCACTTGCAGATTCTACAGAAAGTGTGTTTGGAAACTGCTCCATCTAAAGGAATGTTCAGCTCTGTTAGTTCAATCCAATGATCACTAAGAATTGTCTGTGAATGCTTCCGTTTGGTTTTTAGATGAAGTTATTTCCTTTACTACAGTAGGCCTCAAAGCAGTCCAAATCTCCAATCGCAGATTCTACAAAAAGATTGTTTACAACCTGCTCTATGTATAGGAATGTTCAACTCTGTGAGTCGAATGCAATCATCACAAAGTAGTTTCTGAGAATGCTTCCATCTAGTTTTTATATGAAGAGTTTCCTTTTCCACCACAGGCCTCAAAGCCCTCCAAATGTCCACTTGCAGATTCTAGAAAAAGAGGGTTTCAGAGCTGCTCTGTCAATAGGAAAGTTCAATTCCTGAAGTGGAACACAAACATCACAAAGCAGTTTCTGAGAATGCTTCTGTTTAGTTTTTCTGTGAAGAAGAACCTGTTTCCAACGAAATCTTCAAAGAGGTCCACACATCCACTTGCAGATTCCAAAGAAAGAGAGTTTCAAAACTGCTCCATCAACAGGATTGCTCACCTCTGTGAGTTGAATGCAGTCATCACAGGAAACATTCTGAGAATGCTTCTGTCTAGGTTTGATGTGAAGATATACCCGTTTCGAAGGAAGGCCACAAAGTGGTCCAAATATCCACTAGCAGATTCTACAAAAAGAGTGTTTGAAAGCTGAACTATGAAAGCAAGGTTCAACTCTGTGAGTTGAATGCAAACATCACAATGAAGTTTTTGAGAATGATTCCGTGTAGTTCTGGGAAGTTTATCCCGTTTCCAACGAAATCCTCAGAGAGGTCCAAATATCCACTTGCAGATTCTACAGAAAGTGTGTTTGGAAACTGCGCCATCTAAAGGAATGTTCAGCTCTGTTAGTTCACTGCAATGATCACTAAGAATTGTCTGTGAATGCTTCCGTTTGGTTTTTAGATGAAGTTATTTCCTTTACTACAGTAGGCCTCAAAGCAGTCCAAATCTCCAATCGCAGATTCTACAAAAAGATTGTTTACAACCTGCTCTATCTATAGGAATGTTCAACTCTGTGAGTCGAATGCAATCATCACAAAGTAGTTTCTGAGAATGCTTCCATCTAGTTTTTATGTGAAGATTTTCCTTTTCCACCACAGGCCTCAAAGCCCTCCAAATGTCCACTTGCAGATTCTAGAATAAGAGGGTTTTAGAGCTGCTCTGTCAAGAGGAAAGTTCAATTCCTGAAGTGGAACACAAACATCACAAAGCAGTTTCTGAGAATGCTTCTGTTTAGTTTTTCTGTGAAGATGAACCCGTTTCCAACGAAATCTTCACAGAGGTCGACATATCAACTTGCAGAATCCAAAGAAAGAGAGTTTCAAAACTGCTCCATAAACAGGATTGTTCACCTCTGTGAGTTGAATGCAGTCATCACAGGAAACATTCTGAGAATGCTTCTGTCTAGGTTTGATGTGAAGATATACCCGTTTCGAAGGAAGGCCACAAAGTGGTCCAAATATCCACTTGCAGATTCTACAAAAAGAGTGTTTGAAAGCTGAACTATGAAAGCAAGGTTCAACTCTGTGAGTTGAATGCAAACATCACAAAGAAGTTTCTCAGAATGCTTCCCTGTAGTTCTGGGAAGTTTATCCCGTTTCCAACGAAATCCTCAGAGAAGTCCAAATATCCACTTGCAGATTCTACAGAAAGTGTGTTTGGAAACTGCTCCATCTAAAGGAATGTTCAGCTCTGTTAGTTCAATCCAATGATCACTAAGAATTGTCTGTGAATGCTTCCGTTTGGTTTTTAGATGAAGTTATTTCCTTTACTACAGTAGGCCTCAAAGCAGTCCAAATCTCCAATCGCAGATTCTACAAAAAGATTGTTTACAACCTGCTCTATCTATAGGAATGTTCAACTCTGTGAGTCGAATGCAATCATCACAAAGTAGTTTCTGAGAATGCTTCCATCTAGTTTTTATGTGAAGATTTTCCTTTTCCACCACAGGCCTCAAAGCCCTCCAAATGTCCACTTGCAGATTCTAGAAAAAGAGGGTTTCAGAGCTGCTCTGTCAAGAGGAAAGTTCAATTCTTGAAGTGGAACACAAACATCACAAAGCAGTTTCTGAGAATGCTTCTGTTTAGTTTTTCTGTGAAGATGAACCCGTTTCCAACGAAATCTTCACAGAGGTCCACATATCCACTTGCAGAATCCAAAGAAAAAGAGTTTCAAAACTGCTCCATCAGCAGGATTGTTCACCTCTGTGAGTTGAATGCAGTCACCACAGGAAACATTCTGAGAATGCTTCTGTCTAGGTTTGATGTGAAGATATACCTGTTTCGAAGGAAGGCCACAAAGTGGTTCAAATATCCACTTGCAGATTCTACAAAAAGAGTGTTTGAAAGCTGAACTATGAAAGCAAGGTTCAACTCTGTGAGTTGAATGCAAACATCACAAAGAAGTTTCTCACAATGCTTCCGTGTAGTTCTGGGAAGTTTATCCCTTTTCCAACGATATCCTCAGAGAAGTCCAAATATCCACTTGCAGATTCTACAAAAAGTGTGTTTGGAAACTGCTCCATCTAAAGGAATGTTCAGCTCTCTTAGTTCAATCCAATGATCACTAAGAATTGTCTGTGAATGCTTCCGTTTGGTTTTTAGATGAAGTTATTTCCTTTACTACAGTAGGCCTCAAAGCAGTCCAAATCTCCAATCGCAGATTCTACAAAAAGATTGTTTACAACCTGCTCTATCTATAGGAATGTTCAACTCTGTGAGTCGAATGCAATCATCACAAAGTAGTTTCTGAGAATGCTTCCATCTAGTTTTTATGTGAAGATATTCCTTTTCCACCACAGGCCTCAAAGCCCTCCAAATGTCCACTTGCAGACTCTAGAAAAAGAGGGTTTCAGAGCTGCTTTGTCAAGAGGAAAGTTCAATTCTTGAAGTGGAACACAAACATCACAAAGCAGTTTCTGAGAATGCTCCTGTTTAGTTTTTCTGTGAAGATGAACCCGTTTCCAACGAAATCTTCACAGAGGTCCACATATCCACTTGCAGAATCCAAAGAAAGAGAGTTTCAAAACTGCTCCATCAGCAGGATTGTTCACCTCTGTGAGTTGAATGCAGTCATCACAGGAAACATTGTGAGAATGCTTCTGTCTAGGTTTGATGTGAAGATATACCCGTTTCGAAGGGAGGCCACAAAGTGGTCCAAATATCCACTTGCAGATTCTACATAAAGAGGGTTTGAAAGCTGAACTATGAAAGCAAGGTTCAACTCTGTGAGTTGAATGCAAACATCACAAAGAAGTTTCTCAGAATGCTTCCGTGTAGTTCTGGGAAGTTTATCCCGTTTCCAACGAAATCCTCAGAGAAGTCCAAATATCCACTTGCAGATTCTACAGAAAGTGTGTTTGGAAACTGCTCCATCTAAAGGAATGTTCAGCTCTGTTAGTTCAATGCAATGATCACTAAGAATTGTCTGTGAATGCTTCCGTTTGGTTTTTAGATGAAGTTATTTCCTTTACTACAGTAGGCCTCAAAGCAGTCCAAATCTCCAATCGCAGATTCAACAAAAAGATTGTTTACAACCTACTCTATCTATAGGAATGTTCAACTCTGTGAGTCGAATGCAATCATCACAAAGTAGTTTCTGAGAATGCTTCCATCTAATTTTTATGTGAAGATTTTCCTTTTCCACCACAGGCCTCAAAGCCCTCCAAATGTCCACTTGCAGATTCTAGAATAAGAGGGTTTCAGAGCTGCTCTGTCAAGAGGAAAGTTCAATTCCTGAAGTGGAACACAAACATCACAAAGCAGTTTCTGAGAATGCTTCTGTTTAGTTTTTCTGTGAAGATGAACCCGTTTCCAACGAAATCTTCAGAGAGGTCCACACATCCACTTGCAGATTCCAAAGAAAGAGAGTTTCAAAACTGCTCCATCAACAGGATTGTTCACCTCTGTGAGTTGAATGCAGTCATCACAGGAAACATTCTGAGAATGCTTCTGTCTAGGTTTGATGTGAAGATATACCCGTTTCGAAGGAAGGCCACAAAGTGGTCCAAATATCCACTTGCAGATTCTACAAAAAGAGTGTTTGAAAGCTGAACTATGAAAGCAAGGTTCAACTCTGTGAGTTGAATGCAAACATCACAAAGAAGTTTCTCAGAATGCTTCCGTGTAGTTCGGGGAAGTTTATCCCGTTTCCAACGAAATCCTCAGATAGGTCCAAATATCCACTTGCAGATTCTACAGAAAGTGTGTTTGGAATCTGCTCCATCTAAAGGAATGTTCAGCTCTGTTAGTTCAATCCAATGATCACTAAGAATTGTCTGTGAATGCTTCCGTTTGGTTTTTAGATGAAGTTATTTCCTTTACTACAGTAGGCCTCAAAGCAGTCCAAATCTCCAATCGCAGATTCTACAAAAAGATTGTTTACAACCTGCTCTATCTATAGGAATGTTCAACTCTGTGAGTCGAATGCAATCATCACAAAGTAGTTTCTGAGAATGCTTCCATCTAGTTTTTATGTGAAGATTTTCCTTTTCCACCACAGGCCTCGAAGCCCTCCAAATGTCCACTTGAAGATTCTAGAAAAAGAGGGTTTCAGAGCTGCTCTGTCAAGAGGAAAGTTCAATTCCTGAAGTGGAACACAAACATCACAAAGCAGTTTCTGAGAATGTTCCTGTTTAGTTTTTCTGTGAAGATGAACCCGTTTCCAACGAAATCTACACAGAGGTCCACATATCCACTTGCACAATCCAAAGAAAGAGAGTTTCAAAACTGCTCCATCAGCAGGATTGTTCACCTCTGTGAGTTGAATGCAGTCATCACAGGAAACATTCTGAGAATGCTTCTGTCTAGGTTTGATGTGAAGATATACCCGTTTCGAAGGAAGGCCACAAAGTGGTCCAAATATCCACTTGCAGATTCTACAAAAAGAGTGTTTGAAAGCTGAACTATGAAAGCAAGGTTCAACTCTGTGAGTTGAATGCAAACATCACAAAGAAGTTTCTCAGAATGCTTCCGTGTAGTTCTGGGAAGTTTATCCCGTTTCCAACGAAATCCTCAGAGAGGTCCAAATATCCACTTGCAGATTCTACAGAAACTGTGTCTGGAAACTGAGCCATCTAAAGGAATGTTCAGCTCTGTTAGTTCAATCCAATGATCACTAAGAATTGTCTGTGAATGCTTCCGTTTGGTTTTTAGATGAAGTTATTTCCTTTACTATCATAGGCCTCAAAGCAGTCCAAATCTCCAATCGCAGATTCTACAAAAAGATTGTTTACAACCTGCTCTATCTATAGGAATGTTCAACTCTGTGAGTCGAATGCAATCATCACAAAGTAGTTTCTGAGAATGCTTCCATCTAGTTTTTATGTGAAGATTTTCCTTTTCCACCACAGGCCTCAAAGCCCTCCAAATGTCCACTTGCAGATTCTAGAAAAAGAGGGTTTCAGAGCTGCTCTGTCAAGAGGAAAGTTCAATTCCTGAAGTGGAACACAAACATCACAAAGCAGTTTCTGAGAATGCTTCTGTTTAGTTTTTCTGTGAAGATGAACCCGTTTCCAACGAAATCTTCACAGAGGTCCACATATCCACTTGCAGAATCCAAAGAAAGAGAGTTTCAAAACAGCTCCATCAGCAGGATTGTTCACCTGCTGTGAGTTGAATGCAGTCATCACAGGAAACATTCTGAGAATGCTTTCTGTCTAGATTTGATGTGAAGATATACCCGTTTCGAAGGAAGGCCACAAAGTGGTCCAAATATCCACTTGCAGATTCTACAAAAAGAGTGTTTGAAAGCTGAACTATGAAAGCAAGGTTCAACTCTGTGAGTTGAATGCAAACATCACAAAGAAGTTTCTCAGAATGCTTCCGTGTAGTTCTGGGATGTTTATCCCGTTTCCAACGAAATCCTCAGAGAGGTCGAAACATCCACTTGCAGATTCTACAGAAAGTGTGTTTGGAAACTGCGCTATCTAAAGGAATGTTCAGCTCAGTTAGTTCAATGCAATGATCACTAAGAATTGTCTGTGAATGCTTCCGTTTGGTTTTTAGATGAAGTTATTTCCTTTACTACAGTAGGCCTCAAAGCAGTCCAAATCTCCAATCGCAGATTCTACAAAAAGATTGTTTACAACCTGCTCTATCTATAGGAATGTTCAACTCTGTGAGTCGAATGCAATCATCACAAAGTAGTTTCTGAGAATGCTTCCATCTAGTTTTTATGTGAAGATTTTCCTTTTCCACCACAGGCCTCAAAGCCCTGCAAATGTCCACTTGCAGATTCTAGAAAAAGAGGGTTTCAGAGCTGCTCTGTCAAGAGGAAAGTTCAATTCTTGAAGTGGAACACAAACATCACAAAGCAGTTTCTGAGAATGCTTCTGTTTAGTTTTTCTGTGAAGATGAACCCGTTTCCAAGGAAATCTTCACAGAGGTCCACATATCAACTTGCAGAATCCAAAGAAAGAGAGTTTCCAAACTGCTCCATCAACAGGATTGTTCACCTCTGTGAGTTGAATGCAGTCATCACAGGAAACATTCTGAGAATGCTTCTGTCTAGGTTTGATGTGAAGATATACCCGTTTCGAAGGAAGGCCACAAAGTGGTCCAAATATCCACTTGCAGATTCTACAAAAAGAGTGTTTGAAAGCTGAACTATGAAAGCAAGGTTCAACTCTGTGAGTTGAATGCAAACATCACAAAGAAGTTTCTCAGAATGCTTCCGTGTAGTTCTGGGAAGTTTATCCCGTTTCCAACGAAATCCTCAGAGAGGTCCAAATATCCACTTGCAGATTCTACAGAAAGTGTGTTTGGAAACTGCGCCATCTAAAGGAATGTTCAGCTCTGTTAGTTCAATGCAATGATCACTAAGAATTGTCTGTGAATGCTTCCGTTTGGTTTTTAGATGAAGTTATTTCCTTTACTACAGTAGGCCTCAAAGCAGTCCAAATCTCCAATCGCAGATTCTACAAAAAGATTGTTTACAACCTGCTCTATCTATAGGAATGTTCAACTCTGTGAGTCGAAAGCCATCATCACAAAGTAGTTTCTGAGAATGCTTCCATCTAGTTTTTATGTGAAGATTTTCCTTTTCCACCACAGGCCTCAAAGCCCTCCAAATGTCCACTTGCAGATTCTAGAATAAGAGGGTTTCAGAGCTGCTCTGTCAAGAGGAAAGTTCAATTCCTGAAGTGGAACACAAACATCACAAAGCAGTTTCTGAGAATGCTTCTGTTTAGTTTTTCTGTGAAGATGAACCCGTTTCCAACGAAATCTTCACAGAGGTCCACATATCCACTTGCAGAATCCAAAGAAAGAGAGTTTCAAAACTGCTCCATCAGCAGGATTGTTCACCTCTGTGAGTTGAATGCAGTCATCACAGGAAACATTCTGAGAATGCTTCTGTCTAGGTTTGATGTGAAGATATACCCGTTTCGAAGGAAGGCCACAAAGTGGTCCAAATATCCACTTGCAGATTCTACAAAAAGAGTGTTTGAAAGCTGAACTATGAAAGCAAGGTTCAACTCTGTGAGTTGAATGCAAACATCACAAAGAAGTTTCTCAGAATGCTTCCGTGTAGTTCTGGGAAGTTTATCCCGTTTCCAACGAAATCCTCAGAGAAGTCCAAATATCCACTTGCAGATTCTACAGAAAGTGTGTTTGGAAACTGCTCCATCTAAAGGAATGTTCAGCTCTGTTAGTTCAATGCAATGATCACTAAGAATTGTCTGTGAATGCTTCCGTTTGTTTTTTAGATGAAGTTATTTCCTTTACTACAGTAGGCCTCAAAGCAGTCCAAATCTCCAATCGCAGATTCTACAAAAAGATTGTTTACAACCTGCTCTATCTATAGGAATGTTCAACTCTGTGAGTCGAATGCAATCATCACAAAGGAGTTTCTGAGAATGCTTCCATCTAGTTTTTATGTGAAGATTTTCCTTTTCCACCACAGGCCTCAAAGCCCTCCAAATGTCCACTTGCAGATTCTAGAATAAGAGGGTTTCAGAGCTGCTCTGTCAAGAGGAAAGTTCAATTCTTGAAGTGGAAAACAAACATCACAAAGCAGTTTCTGAGAATGCCCCTGTATAGTTTTCCTGTGAAGATGAACCCGTTTCCAACGAAATCTTCACAGAGGTCCACATATCCACTTGCAGAATCCAAAGAAAGAGAGTTTCAAAACTGCTCCATCAACAGGATTGTTCACCTCTGTGAGTTGAATGCAGTCATCACAGGAAACATTCTGAGAATGCTTCTGTCTAGGTTTGATGTGAAGATATACCCGTTTCGAAGGAAGGCCACAAAGTGGTCCAAATATCCACTTGCAGATTCTACAAAAAGAGTGTTTGAAAGCTGAACTATGAAAGCAAGGTTCAACTCTGTGAGTTGAATGCAAACATCACAAAGAAGTTTCTCACAATGCTTCCGTGTAGTTCTGGGAAGTTTATCCCGTTTCCAAAGAAATCCTCAGAGAAGTCCAAATATCCACTTGCAGATTCTACAGAAAGTGGGTTTGGAAAACTGCTCCATCTAAAGTAATGTTCAGCTCTGTTAGTTCAATGCAATGATCACTAAGAATTTTCTGTGAATGCTTCCGTTTGGTTTTTAGATGAAGTTATTTCCTTTACTACAGTAGGCCTCAAAGCAGTCCAAATCTCCAATCGCAGATTCTACAAAAAGATTGTTTACAACCTGCTCTATCTATAGGAATGTTCAACTCTGTGAGTCGAATGCAATCATCACAAAGTAGTTTCTGAGAATGCTTCCATAAAGTTTTTATGTGAAGATTTTCCTTTTCCACCACAGGCCTCAAAGCCCTCCAAATGTCCACTTGCAGATTCTAGAAAAAGAGGGTTTCAGAGCTGCTCTGTCAAGAGGAATGTTCAACTCTTTAAGTGGAACACAATCATGATAATGCAGTTTCTGAGAATGCTCCTGTTTAGTTTTTCTGTGAAGATGAACCCGTTTCCAACGAAATCTTCACAGAGGTCCACATATCCACTTGCAGAATCCAAAGAAAGAGAGTTTCAAAACTGCTCCATCAGCAGGATTGTTCACCTCTGTGAGTTGAATGCAGTCATCACAGGAAACATTCTGAGAATGCTTCTGTCTAGGTTTGATGTGAAGATATACCCGTTTCGAAGGAAGGCAACAAAGTGGTCCAAATATCCACTTGCAGATTCTACAAAAAGAGTGTTTGAAAGCTGAACTATGAAAGCAAGGTTCAACTCTGTGAGTTGAATGCAAACATCACAAAGAAGTTTCTCAGAATGCTTCCGTGTAGTTCTGGGAAGTTTATCCCGTTTCCAACGAAATCCTCAGAGAGGTCCAAATATCCACTTGCAGATTCTACAGAAAGTGTGTTTGGAATCTGCTCCATCTAAAGGAATGTTCAGCTCTGTTAGTTCAATCCAATGATCACTAAGAATTGTCTGTGAATGCTTCCGTTTGGTTTTTAGATGAAGTTATTTCCTTTACTACAGTAGGCCTCAAAGCAGTCCAAATCTCCAATCGCAGATTCTACAAAAAGATTGTTTACAACCTGCTCTATCTATAGGAATGTTCAACTCTGTGAGTCGAATGCAATCATCACAAAGTAGTTTCTGAGAATGCTTCCATCTAGTTTTTATGTGAAGATTTTCCTTTTCCACCACAGGCGTCAAAGCCCTCCAAATGTCCACTTACAGATTCTAGAAAAAGAGGGCTTCAGAGCTGCTCTGTCAAGAGGAAAGTTCAATTCTTGAAGTGGAACACAAACATTACAAAGCAGTTTCTGAGAATGCTTCTGTTTAGTTTTTCTGTGAAGATGAACCCGTTTCCAACGAAATCTTCACAGAGGTCCACATATCCACTTGCAGAATCCAAAGAAAGAGAGTTTCAAAACTGCTCCATCAGCAGGATTGTTCACCTCTGTGAGTTGAATGCAGTCATCACAGGAAACATTCTGAGAATGCTTCTGTCTAGGTTTGATGTGAAGATATACCCGTTTCGAAGGAAGGCCACAAAATGGTCCAAATATCCACTTGCAGATTCTACAAAAAGAGTGTTTGAAAGCTGAACTATGAAAGCAAGGTTCAACTCTGTGAGTTGAATGCAAACATCACAAAGAAGTTTCTCAGCATGCTTCCGTGTAGTTCTGGGAAGTTTATCCCGTTTCCAACGAAATCCTCAGAGAAGTCCAAATATCCACTTGCAGATTCTACAGAAAGTGGGTTTGGAAACTGCTCCATCTAAAGGAATGTTCAGCTCTGTTAGTTCAATCCAATGATCACTAAGAATTGTCTGTGAATGCTTCCGTTTGGTTTTTAGATGAAGTTATTTCCTTTACTACAGTAGGCCTCAAAGCAGTCCAAATCTCCAATCGCAGATTCTACAAAAAGATTGTTTACAACCTGCTCTATCTATAGGAATGTTCAACTCTGTGAGTCGAATGCAATCATCACAAAGTAGTTTCTGAGAATGCTTCCATCTAGTTTTTATGTGAAGATTTTCCTTTTCCACCACAGGCCTCAAAGCCCTCCAAATGTCCACTTGCAGATTCTAGAATAAGAGGGTTTCAGAGCTGCTCTGTCAAGAGGAAAGTTCAATTCCTGAAGTGGAACACAAACATAACAAAGCAGTTTCTGAGAATGCTTCTGTTTAGTTTTTCTGTGAAGATGAACCCGTTTCCAACGAAATCTTCACAGAGGTCCACATATCCACTTGCAGAATCCAAAGAAAGAGAGTTTCAAAACTGCTCCATCAGCAGGATTGTTCACCTCTGTGAGTTGAATGCAGTCATCACAGGAAACATTCTGAGAATGCTTCTGTCTAGGTTTGATGTGAAGATATACCCGTTTCGAAGGAAGGCCAGAAAGTGGTCCAAATATCCACTTGCAGATTCTACAAAAAGAGTGTTTGAAAGCTGAACTATGAAAGCAAGGTTCAACTCTGTGAGTTGAATGCAAACATCACAAAGAAGTTTCTCAGAATGCTTCCGTGTAGTTCTGGGAAGTTTATCCCGTTTCCAACGAAATCCTCAGAGAAGTCTAAATATCCACTTGCAGATTCTACAGAAAGTGGGTTTGGAAACTGCTCCATCTAAAGGAATGTTCAGCTCTGTTAGTTCAATCCAATGATCACTAAGAATTGTCTGTGAATGCTTCCGTTTGGTTTTTAGATGAAGTTATTTCCTTTACTACAGTAGGCCTCAAAGCAGTCCAAATCTCCAATCGCAGATTCTACAAAAAGATTGTTTACAACCTGCTCTATCTATAGGAATGTTCAACTCTGTGAGTCGAATGCAATCATCACAAAGTAGTTTCTGAGAATGCTTCCATCTAGTTTTTATGTGAAGATTTTCCTTTTCCACCACAGGCCTCAAAGCCCTCCAAATGTCCACTTGCAGATTCTAGAATAAGAGGGTTTTAGAGCTGCTCTGTCAAGAGGAAAGTTCAATTCCTGAAGTGGAACACAAACATCACAAAGCAGTTTCTGAGAATGCTCCTGTTTAGTTTTTCTGTGAAGATGAACCCGTTTCCAATGAAATCTTCACAGAGGTCCACATATCCACTTGCAGAATCCAAAGAAAGAGAGTTTCAAAACTGCTCCAACAGCAGGATTGTTCACCTCTGTGAGTTGAATGCAGTCATCACAGGAAACATTCTGAGAATGCTTCTGTCTAGGTTTGATGTGAAGATATACCCTTTTCAAAGGAAGGCCACAAAGTGGTCCAAATATCCACTTGCAGATTCTACAAAAAGAGTGTTTGAAAGCTGAACTATGAAAGCAAGGTTCAACTCTGTGAGTTGAATGCAAACATCACAAAGAAGTTTCTCACAATGCTTCCGTGTAGTTCTGGGAAGTTTATCCCGTTTCCAACGAAATCCTCAGAGAGGTCCAAATATCCACTTGCAGATTCTACAGAAAGTGTGTTTGGAAACTGCTCCATCTAAATGAATGTTCAGCTCTGTTAGTTCAATCCAATGATCACTAAGAATTGTCTGTGAATGCTTCCGTTTGGTTTTTAGATGAAGTTATTTCCTTTACTACAGTAGGCCTCAAAGCAGTCCAAATCTCCAATCGCAGATTCTACAAAAACATTGTTTACAACCTGATCTATCTATACGAATGTTCAACTCTGTGAGTCGAATGCAATCATCACAAAGTAGTTTCTGAGAATGCTTCCATCTAGTTTTTATGTGAAGATTTTCCTTTTCCACCACAGGCCTCAAAGCCCTCCAAATGTCCACTTGCAGATTCTAGAAAAAGAGGGTTTCAAAGCTGCTCTGTCAAGAGGAAAGTTCAATTCTTGAAGTGGAACACAAACATCACAAAGTAGTTTCTGAGAATGCTTCTGTTTAGTTTTTCTGTGAAGATGAACCCGTTTCCAACGAAATCTTCACAGAGGTCCACATATCCACTTGCAGAATCCAAAGAAAGAGAGTTTCAAAACTGCTCCATCAGCAGGATTGTTCACCTCTGTGAGTTGAATGCAGTCATCACAGGAAACATTCTGAGAATGCTTCTGTCTAGGTTTGATGTGAAGATATACCCGTTTCGAAGGAAGGCCACAAAGTGGCCCAAATATCCACTTGCAGATTCTACAAAAGGAGTGTTTGAAAGCTGAACTATGAAAGCAAGGTTCAACTCTGTGAGTTGAATGCAAACATCACAAAGAAGTTTCTCACAATGCTTCCGTGTAGTTCTGGGAAGTTTATCCCGTTTCCAACGAAATCCTCAGAGAAGTCCAAATATCCACTTGCAGATTCTACAGAAAGTGGGTTTGGAAACTGCTCCATCTAAAGGAATGTTCAGCTCTGTTAGTTCAATCCAATGATCACTAAGAATTGTCTGTGAATGCTTCCGTTTGTTTTTTAGATGAAGTTATTTCCTTTACTACAGTAGGCCTCAAAGCAGTCCAAATCTCCAATCGCAGATTCTACAAAAAGATTGTTTACAACCTGCTCTATCTATAGGAATGTTCAACTCTGTGAGTCGAATGCAATCATCACAAAGGAGTTTCTGAGAATGCTTCCATCTAGTTTTTATGTGAAGAGTTTCCTTTTCCACCACAGGCCTCAAAGCCCTCCAAATGTCCACTTGCAGATTCTAGAAAAAGAGGGTTTCAGAGCTGCTCTGTCAAGAGGAAAGTTCAATTCTTGAAGTGGAACACAAACATCACAAAGCAGTTTCTGAGAATGCTCCTGGTTATTTTTTCTGTGAAGATGAACCCGTTTCCAACGAAATCTTCACAGAGGTCCACATATCCACTTGCAGAATCCAAAGAAAGAGAGTTTCAAAACTGCTCCATCAGCAGGATTGTTTACCTCTGTGAGTTGAATGCAGTCATCACAGGAAACATTCTGAGAATGCTTCTGTCTAGGTTTGATGTGAAGATATACCCGTTTCGAAGGAAGGCCACGAAGTGGTCCAAGTATCCACATGCAGATTCTACAAAAAGAGTGTTTGAAAGCTGAACTATGAAAGCAAGGTTCAACTCTGTGAGTTGAATGCAAACATCACAAAGAAGTTTCTCAGAATGCTTCCGTGTAGTTCTGGGAAGTTTATCCCGTTTCCAACGAAATCCTCAGAGAAGTCCAAATATCCACTTGCAGATTCTACAGAAAGTGTGTTTGGAAACTGCTCCATCTAAAGGAATGTTCAGCTCTGTTAGTTCAATGCAATGATCACTAAGAATTGTCTGTGAATGCTTCCGTTTGGTTTTTAGATGAAGTTATTTCCTTTTCTACAGTAGGCCTCAAAGCAGTCCAAATCTCCAATCGCAGATTCTACAAAAAGATTGTTTACAACCTGCTCTATCTATACGAATGTTCAACTCTGTGAGTCGAATGCAATCATCACAGAGTAGTTTCTGAGAATCCTTCCATCTAGTTTTTATGTGAAGATTTTCCTTTTCCACCACAGGCCTCAAAGCCCTCGAAATGTCCACTTGCAGATTCTAGAAAAAGAGGGTTTCAGAGCTGCTCTGTCAAGAGGAAAGTTCAATTCTTGAAGTGGAACACAAACATCACAAAGCAGTTTCTGAGTATGCTCCTGTTTAGTTTTTCGGTGAAGATGAACCCGTTTCCAACGAAATCTTCACAGAGGTCCACATATCCACTTGCAGAATCCAAAGAAAGAGAGTTTCAAAACTGCTCCATCAGCAGGATTGTTCACCTCTGTGAGTTGAATGCAGTCATCACAGGAAACATTCTGAGAATGCTTCTGTCTAGGTTTGATGTGAAGATATACCCGTTTCGAAGGAAGGCCACAAAGTGGTCCAAATATCCACTTGCAGATTCTACAAAAAGAGTGTTTGAAAGCTGAACTATGAAAGCAAGGTTCAACTCTGTGAGTTGAATGCAAACATCACAAAGAAGTTTCTCACAATGCTTCCGTGTAGTTCTGGGAAGTTTATCCCGTTTCCAACGAAATCCTCAGAGAGGTCCAAATATCCACTTGCAGATTCTACAGAAAGTGTGTTTGGAAACTGCGCCATCTAAAGCAATGTTCAGCTCTGTTAGTTCAATGCAATGATCACTAAGAATTGTCTGTGAATGCTTCCGTTTGGTTTTTAGAATGAAGTTATTTCCTTTACTACAGTAGGCCTCAAAGCAGTCCAAATCTCCAATCGCAGATTCTACAAAAAGATTGTTTACAACCTGCTCTATCTATAGGAATGTTCAACTCTGTGAGTCGAATGCAATCATCACAAAGTAGTTTCTGAGAATGCTTCCATCTAGTTTTTATGTGAAGATTTTCCTTTTCCACCACAGGCCTCAAAGCCCTCCAAATGTCCACTTGCAGATTCTAGAAAAAGAGGGTTTCAGAGCTGCTCTGTCAAGAGGAAAGTTCAATTCTTGAAGTGGAACACAAACATCACAAAGTAGTTTCTGAGAATGCTCCTGTTTAGTTTTTCTGTGAAGATGAACCCGTTTCCAACGAAATCTTCACAGAGGTCCACATATCCACTTGCAGAATCCAAAGAAAGAGAGTTTCAACACTGCTCCATCAGCAGGATTGTTCACCTCTGTGAGTTGAATGCAGTCATCACAGGAAACATTCTGAGAATGCTTCTGTCTAGGTTTGATGTGAAGATATACCCGTTTCGAAGGAAGGCCACAAAGTGGTCCAAATATCCACTTGCAGATTCTACAAAAAGAGTGTTTGAAAGCTGAACTATGAAAGCAAGGTTCAACTCTGTGAGTTGAATGCAAACATCACAAAGAAGTTTCTCAGAATGCTTCCGTGTAGTTCTGGGAAGTTTATCCCGTTTCCAACGAAATCCTCAGAGAGGTCCAAATATCCCCTTGCAGATTCTACAGAAAGTGTGTTTGGAAACTGCGCCATCTAAAGGAATGTTCAGCTCTGTTAGTTCAATGCAATGATCACTAAGAATTGTCTGTGAATGCTTCCGTTTGGTTTTTAGATGAAGTTATTTCCTTTACTACAGTAGGCCTCAAAGCAGTCCAAATCTCCAATCGCAGATTCTACAAAAAGATTGTTTACAACCTGCTCTATCTATAGGAATGTTCAACTCTGTGAGTCGAATGCAATCATCACAAAGTAGTTTCTGAGAATGCTTCCATCTAGTTTTTATGTGAAGATTTTCCTTTTCCACCACAGGCCTCAAAGCCCTCCAAATGTCCACTTGCAGATTCTAGAATAAGAGGGTTTCAGAGCTGCTCTGTCAAGAGGAAAGTTCAATTCCTGAAGTGGAACACAAACATCACAAAGCAGTTTCTGAGAATGCTCCTGTTTAGTTTTTCTGTGAAGGTGAAACCGTTTCCAACGAAATCTTCACAGAGGTCCACATATCCACTTGCAGAATCCAAAGCAAAGAGAGTTTCAAAACTGCTCCATCAACAGGATTGTTCACCTCTGTGAGTTGAATGCAGTCATCACAGGAAACATTCTGAGAATGCTTCTGTCTAGGTTTGATGTGAAGATATACCCGTTTCGAAGGAAGGCCACAAAGTGGTCCAAATATCCACTTGCAGATTCTACAAAAAGAGTGTTTGAAAGCTGAACTAAGAAAGCAAGGTTCAACTCTGTGAGTTGAATGCAAACATCACAAAGAAGTTTCTCAGAATGCTCCGTGTAGTTCTGGGAAGTTTATCACGTTTCCAACGAAATCCTCAGAGAGGTCCAAATATCCACTTGCAGATTCTACAGAAAGTGTGTTTGGAAACTGCTCCATCTAAAGGAATGTTCAGCTCTGTTAGTTCAATCCAATGATCACTAAGAATTGTCTGTGAATGCTTCCGTTTGGTTTTTAGATGAAGTTATTTCCTTTACTACAGTAGGCCTCAAAGCAGTCCAAATCTCCAATCGCAGATTCTACAAAAAGATTGTTTACAACCTGCTCTATGTATAGGAATGTTCAACTCTGTGAGTCGAATGCAATCATCACAAAGTAGTTTCTGAGAATGCTTCCATCTAGTTTTTATGTGAAGATTTTCCTTTTCCACCACAGGCCTCAAAGCCCTCCAAATGTCCACTTGCAGATTCTAGAAAAAGAGGGTTTCAGAGCTGCTCTGTCAAGAGGAAAGTTCAACTCTTGAAGTGGAACACAAACATGATAATGCAGTTTCTGAGAATGCTCCTGTTTAGTTTTTCTGTGAAGATGAACCCGTTTCCAACAAAATCTTCACAGAGGTCCACATATCCACTTGCAGAATCCAAAGAAAGAGAGTTTGAAAACTGCTCCATCAACAGGATTGTTCACCTCTGTGAGTTGAATGCAGTCATCACAGGAAACATTCTGAGAATGCTTCTGTCTAGGTTTGATGTGAAGATATACCCGTTTCGAAGGAAGGCCACAAAGTGGTCCAAATATCCACTTGCAGATTCTACAAAAAGAGTGTTTGAAAGCTGAACTATGAAAGCAAGGTTCAACTCTGTGAGTTGAATGCAAACATCACAAAGAAGTTTCTCACAATGCTTCCGTGTAGTTCTGGGAAGTTTATCCCGTTTCCAACGAAATCCTCAGAGAGGTCCAAATATCCACTTGCAGATTCTACAGAAAGTGTGTTTGGAAACTGCGCCATCTAAAGGAATGTTCAGCTCTGTTAGTTCAATGCAATGATCACTAAGAATTGTCTGTGAATGCTTCCGTTTGGTTTTTAGATGAAGTTATTTCCTTTACTACAGTAGGCCTCAAAGCAGTCCAAATCTCCAATCGCAGATTCTACAAAAAGATTGTTTTCAACCTGCTCTATCTATAGGAATGTTCAACTCTGTGAGTCGAATGCAAACATCACAAAGTAGTTTCTGAGAATGCTTCCATCTAGTTTTTATGTGAAGATTTTCCTTTTCCACCACAGGCCTCAAAGCCCTCCAAATGTCCACTTGCAGATTCTAGAAAAAGAGGGTTTCAGAGCTGCTCTGTCAAGAGGAAAGTTCAATTCTTGAAGTGGAACACAAACATCACAAAGCAGTTTCTGAGAATGCTTCTGTTTAGTTTTTCTGTGAAGATGAACCCGTTTCCAACGAAATCTTCACAGAGGTCCACATATCCACTTGCAGAATCCAAAGAAAGAGAGTTTCAAAACTGCTCCATCAGCAGGATTGTTCACCTCTGTGAGTTGAATGCAGTCATCACAGGAAACATTCTCAGAATGCTTCTGTCTAGGTTTGATGTGAAGATATACCCGTTTCGAAGGAAGGCCAGAAAGTGGTCCAAATATCCACTTGCAGATTCTACAAAAAGAGTGTTTGAAAGCTGAACTATGAAAGCAAGGTTCAACTCTGTGAGTTGAATGCAAACATCACAAAGAAGTTTCTCAGAATGCTTCCGTGTAGTTCTGGGAAGTTTATCCCGTTTCCAACGAAATCCTCAGAGAGGTCCAAATATCCACTTGCAGATTCTACAGAAAGTGTGTTTGGAAACTACGCCATCTAAAGGAATGTTCAGCTCTGTTAGATCAATCCAATGATCACTAAGAATTGTCTGTGAATGCTTCCGTTTGGTTTTTAGATGAAGTTATTTCCTTTACTACAGTAGGCCTCAAAGCAGTCCAAATCTCCAATCGCAGATTCTACAAAAAGATTGTTTACAACCTGCTCTATCTATAGGAATGTTCAACTCTGTGAGTCGAATGCAATCATCACAAAGTAGTTTCTGAGAATGCTTCCATCTAGTTTTTATGTGAAGATTTTCCTTTTCCACCACAGGCCTCAAAGCCCTCCAAATGTCCACTTGCAGATTCTAGAAAAAGAGGGTTTCAGAGCTGCTCTGTCAAGAGGAAAGTTCAATTCTTGAAGTGGAACACAAACATCACAAAGTAGTTTCTGAGAATGATTCTGTTTAGTTTTTCTGTGAAGATGAACCCGTTTCCAACGAAATCTTCACAGAGGTCCACATATCCACTTGCAGAATCCAAAGAAAGAGAGTTTCAAAACTGCTCCATCAGCAGGATTGTTCACCTCTGTGAGTTGAATGCAGTCATCACAGGAAACATTCTGAGAATGCTTCTGTCTAGGTTTGATGTGAAGATATACCCTTTTCGAAGGAAGGCCACAAAGTGGTCCAAATATCCACTTGCAGATTCCACAAAAAGAGTGTTTGAAAGCTGAACTATGAAAGCAAGGTTCAACTCTGTGAGTTGAATGCAAACATCACAAAGAAGTTTCTCACAATGCTTCCGTGTAGTTCTGGGAAGTTTATCCCGTTTCCAACGAAATCCTCAGAGAAGTCCAAATATCCACTTGCAGATTCTACAGAAAGTGGGTTTGGAAACTGCTCCATCTAAAGGAATGTTCAGCTCTGTTAGTTCAATCCAATGATCACTAAGAATTGTCTGTGAATGCTTCCGTTTGGTTTTTAGATGAAGTTATTTCCTTTACTACAGTAGGCCTCAAAGCAGTCCAAATCTCCAATCGCAGATTCTACAAAAAGATTGTTTACAACCTGCTCTATCTATAAGAATGTTCAACTCTGTGAGTCGAATGCAATCATCACAAAGTAGTTTCTGAGAATGCTTCCATCTAGTTTTTATGTGAAGATTTTCCTTTTCCACCACAGGCCTCAAAGCCCTCCAAATGTCCACTTGCAGATTCTAGAAAAAGAGGGTTTCAGAGCTGCTCTGTCAAGAGGAAAGTTCAATTCTTGAAGTGGAACACAAACATCACAAAGCAGTTTCTGAGAATGCTTCTGTTTAGTTTTTCTGTGAAGATGAACCCGTTTCCAACGAAATCTTAACAGAGTTCCACATATCCACTTGCAGAATCCAAAGAAAGAGAGTTTCAAAACTGCTCCATCAGCAGGATTGTTCACCTCTGTGAGTTGAATGCAGTCATCACAGGAAACATTCTGAGAATGCTTCTGTCTAGGTTTGATGTGAAGATATACCCGTTTCGAAGGAAGGCCAAAAAGTGGTCCAAATATCCACTTGCAGATTCTACAAAAAGAGTGTTTGAAAGCTGAACTATGAAAGCAGGGTTCAACTCTGTGAGTTGAATGCAAACATCACAAAGAAGTTTCTCAGAATGCTTCCGTGTAGTTCTGGGAAGTTTATCCCGTTTCCAACGAAATCCTCACAGAAGTCCAAATATCCACTTGCAGATTCTACAGAAAGTGGGTTTGGAAACTGCTCCATCTAAAGGAATGTTCAGCTCTGTTAGTTCAATGCAATGATCACTAAGAATTGTCTGTGAATGCTTCCGTTTGGTTTTTAGATGAAGTTATTTCCTTTACTACAGTAGGCCTCAAAGCAGTCCAAAACTCCAATCGCAGATTCTACAAAAAGATTGTTTACAACCTGCTCTATCTATAGGAGTGTTCAACTCTGTGAGTCGAATGCAATCATCACAAAGAAGTTTCTGAGAATGCTTCCATCTAGTTTTTATGTGAAGATTTTCCTTTTCCACCACAGGCCTCAAAGCCCTCCAAATGTCCACTTGCAGATTCTAGAATAAGAGGGTTTTAGAGCTGCTCTGTCAAGAGGAAAGTTCAATTCCTGAAGTGGAACACAAACATCACAAAGCAGTTTCTGAGAATGCTTCTGTTTAGTTTTTCTGTGAAGATGAACCCGTTTCCAACGAAATCTTCACAGAGGTCCACATATCAACTTGCAGAATCCAAAGAAAGAGAGTTTCAAAAGTGCTCCATCAACAGGATTGTTCACCTCTGTGAGTTGAATGCAGTCATCACAGGAAACATTCTGAGAATGCTTCTGTCCAGGTTTGATGTGAAGATATACCCGTTTCGAAGGAAGGCCACAAAGTGGTCCAAATATCCACTTGCAGATTCTACAAAAAGAGTGTTTGAAAGCTGAACTATGAAAGCAAGGTTCAACTCTGTGAGTTGAATGCAAACATCACAAAGAAGTTTCTCACAATGCTTCCGTGTAGTTCTGGGAAGTTTATCCCGTTTCCAACGAAATCCTCAGAGAGGTCCAAATATCCACTTGCAGATTCTACAGAAAGTGTGTTTGGAAACTGCGCCATCTAAAGCAATGTTCAGCTCTGTTAGTTCAATGCAATGATCACTAAGAATTGTCTGTGAATGCTTCCGTTTGGTTTTTAGATGAAGTTATTTCCTTTACTACAGTAGGCCTCAAAGCAGTCCAAATCTCCAATCGCAGATTCTACAAAAAGATTGTTTACAACCTGCTCTATCTATAGGAATGTTCAACTCTGTGAGTCGAATGCAATCATCACAAAGTAGTTTCTGAGAATGCTTCCATCTAGTTTTTATGTGAAGATTTTCCTTTTCCACCACAGGCCTCAAAGCCCTCCAAATGTCCACTTGCAGATTGTAGAAAAAGAGGGTTTCAGAGCTGCTCTGTCAAGAGGAAAGTTCAATTCCTGAAGTGGAACACAAACATCACAAAGCAGTTTCTGAGAATGCTCCTGTTTAGTTTTTCTGTGAAGATGAACCCGTTTCCAACGAAATCTTCACAGAGGTCCACATATCCACTTGCAGAATCCAAAGAAAGAGAGTTTCAAAACTGCTCCATCAGCAGGATTGTTCACCTCTGTGAGTTGAATGCAGTCATCACAGGAAACATTCTGAGAATGCTTCTGTCTAGGTTTGATGTGAAGATATACCCGTTTCGAAGGAAGGCCACAAAGTGTTCCAAATATCCACTTGCAGATTCTACAAAAAGAGTGTTTGAAAGCTGAACTATGAAAGCAAGGTTCAACTCTGTGAGTTGAATGCAAACATCCCAAAGAAGTTTCTCAGAATACTTCCGTGTAGTTCTGGGAAGTTTATCCCGTTTCCAACGAAATCCTCAGTAGAGGTCCAAATATCCACTTGCAGATTCTACCGAAAGTGTGTTTGGAAACTGCGCCATCTAAAGGAATGTTCAGCTCTGTTTGTTCAATCCAATGATCACTAAGAATTGTCTGTGAATGCTTCCGTTTGGTTTTTAGATGAAGTTATTTCCTTTACTACAGTAGGCCTCAAAGCAGTCCAAATCTCCAATCGCAGATTCTACAAAAAGATTGTTTACAACGTACTCTATCTATACGAATGTTCAACTCTGTGAGTCGAATGCAATCATCACAAAGTAGTTTCTGAGAATGCTTCCATCTAGTTTTTATGTGAAGATTTTCCTTTTCCACCACAGGCTTCAAAGCCCTCCAAATGTCCACTTGCAGATTCTAGAAAAAGAGGGTTTCAGAGCTGCTCTGTCAAGAGGAAAGTTCAATTCTTGAAGTGGAACACAAACATCACAAAGCAGTTTCTGAGAATACTTCTGTTTAGTTTTTCTGTGAAGATGAACCCGTTTCCAACGAAATCTTCACAGAGGTCCACATATCAACTTGCAGAATCCAAAGAAAGAGAGTTTCAAAACTGCTCCATCAACAGGATTGTTCACCTCTGTGAGTTGAATGCAGTCATCACAGGAAACATTCTGAGAATGCCTCTGTCTAGGTTTGATGTGAAGATATACCCGTTTCGAAGGAAGGCCACAAAGTGGTCCAAATATCCACTTGCAGATTCTACAAAAAGAGTGTTTGAAAGCTGAACTATGAAAGCAAGGTTCAACTCTGTGAGTTGAATGCAAACATCACAAAGAAGTTTCTCAGAATGCTTCCGTGTAGTTCTGGGAAGTTTATCCCGTTTCCAACGAAATCCTCAGAGAGGTCCAAATATCCACTTGCAGATTCTACAGAAAGTGTGTTTGGAAACTGCGCCATCTAAAGGAATGTTCAGCTCTGTTAGTTCAATCCAATGATCACTAAGAATTGTCTGTGAATGCTTCCGTTTGGTTTTTAGATGAAGTTATTTCCTTTACTACAGTAGGCCTCAAAGCAGTCCAAATCTCCAATCGCAGATTCTACAAAAAGATTGTTTACAACCTGCTCTATCTATAGGAATGTTCAACTCTGTGAGTCGAATGCAATCATCACAAAGTAGTTTCTGAGAATGCTTCCATAAAGTTTTTATGTGAAGATTTTCCTTTTCCACCACAGGCCTCAAAGCCCTCCAAATGTCCACTTGCAGATTCTAGAAAAAGAGGGTTTCAGAGCTGCTCTGTCAAGAGGAAAGTTCAATTCTTTAAGTGGAACACAAACATCACAAAGCAGTTTCTGAGAATGCTTCTGTTTAGTTTTTCTGTGAAGATGAACCCGTTTCCAACGAAATCTTCACAGAGGTCCACATATCCACTTGCAGAATCCAAAGAAAGAGAGTTTCAAAACTGCTCCATCAGCAGGATTGTTCACCTCTGTGAGTTGAATGCAGTCATCACAGGAAACATTCTGAGAATGCTTCTGTCTAGGTTTGATGTGAAGATATACCCGTTTCTAAGGAAGGCCACAAAGTGGTCCAAATATCCACTTGCAGATTCAACAAAAAGAGTGTTTGAAAGCTGAACTATGAAAGCAAGGTTCAACTCTGTGAGTTGAATGCAAACATCACAAAGAAGTTTCTCAGAATACTTCCGTGTAGTTCTGGGAAGTTTATCCCGTTTCCAACGAAATCCTCAGAGAGGTCCAAATATCCACTTGCAGATTCTACAGAAAGTGTGTTTGGAAACTGCTCCATCTAAAGGAATGTTCAGCTCTGTTAGTTCAATCCAATGATCACTAAGAATTGTCTGTGAATGCTTCCGTTTGGTTTTTAGATGAAGTTATTTCCTTTACTACAGTAGGCCTCAAAGCAGTCCAAATCTCCAATCGCAGATTCTAGAAAAAGATTGTTTACAACCTGCTCTATCTATAGGAATGTTCAACTCTGTGAGTCAAATGCAATCATCACAAAGTAGTTTCTGAGAATGCTTCCATCTAGTTTTTATGTGAAGATTTTCCTTTTCCACCACAGGCCTCAAAGCCCTCCAAATGTCCACATGCAGATTCTAGAAAAAGAGGGTTTCAGAGCAGCTCTGTCAAGAGGAAAGTTCAATTCCTGAAGTGGAACACAAACATCACAAAGCAGTTTCTGAGAATGCTCCTGTTTAGTTTTTCTGTGAAGATGAACCTGTTTCCAACGAAATCTTCACAGAGGTCCACATATCCACTTGCAGAATCCAAAGAAAGAGAGTTTCAAAACTGCTCCATCAGCAGGATTGTTCACCTCTGTGAGTTGAATGCAGTCATCACAGGAAACATTCTGAGAATGCTTCTGTCTAGGTTTGATGTGAAGATATACCCGTTTCGAAGGAAGGCCACAAAGTGGTCCAAATATCCACTTGCAGATTCTACAAAAAGAGTGTTTGAAAGCTGTACTATGAAAGCAAGTTTCAACTCTGTGAGTTGAATGCAAACATCAGAAAGAAGTTTCTCAGAATGCTTCCGTGTAGTTCTGGGAAGTTTATCCCGTTTCCAACGAAATCCTCAGAGAAGTCCAAATATCCACTTGCAGATTCTACAGAAAGTGTGTTTGGAAACTGCGCCATCTAAAGGAATGTTCAGCTCTGTTAGTTCAATGCAATGATCACTAAGAATTGTCTGTGAATGCTTCCGTTTGGTTTTTAGATGAAGTTATTTCCTTTACTACAGTAGGCCTCAAAGCAGTCCAAATCTCCAATCGCAGATTCTACAAAAAGATTGTTTACAACCTGCTCTATCTATAGGAATGTTCAACTCTGTGAGTCGAATGCAATCATCACAAAGTAGTTTCTGAGAATGCTTCCATCTAGTTTTTATGTGAAGATTTTCCTTTTCCACCACAGGCCTCAAAGCCCTCCAAATGTCCACTTGCAGATTCTAGAAAAAGAGGGTTTCAGAGCTGCTCTGTCAAGAGGAAAGTTCAACTCTTGAAGTGGAACACAAACATCACAAAGCAGTTTCTGAGAATGCTCCTGTTTAGTTTTTCTGTGAAGATGAACCCGGTTCCAACGAAATCTACACAGAGGTCCACATATCCACTTGCAGAATCCAAAGAAAGAGAGTTTCAAAACTGCTCCATCAGCAGGATTGTTCACCTCTGTGAGTTGAATGCAGTCATCACAGGAAACATTCTGAGAATGCTTCTGTCTAGGTTTGATGTGAAGATATACCCGTTTCGAAGGAAGGCCACAAAGTGGTCCAAATATCCACTTGCAGATTCTACAAAAAGAGTGTTTGAAAGCTGAACTATGAAAGCAAGGTTCAACTCTGTGAGTTGAATGCAAACATCACAAAGAAGTTTCTCAGAATGCTTCCGTGTAGTTCTGGGAATTTTATCCCGTTTCCAACGAAATCCTCAGAGAGGTCCAAATATCCACTTGCAGATTCTACAGAAAGTGTGTTTGGAATCTGCTCCATCTAAAGGAATGTTCAGCTCTGTTAGTTCAATCCAATGATCACTAAGAATTGTCTGTGAATGCTTCCGTTTGGTTTTTAGATGAAGTTATTTCCTTTACTACAGTAGGCCTCAAAGCAGTCCAAATCTCCAATCGCAGATTCTACAAAAAGATTGTTTACAACCTGCTCTATCTATAGGAATGTTCAACTCTGTGAGTCGAATGCAATCATCACAAAGTAGTTTCTGAGAATGCTTCCATCTAGTTTTTATGTGAAGATTTTCCTTTTCCACCACAGGCCTCAAAGCCCTCCAAATGTCCACTTGCAGATTCTAGAAAAAGAGGGTTTCAGAGCTGCTCTGTCAAGAGGAAAGTTCAATTCTTGAAGTGGAACACAAACATCACAAAGCAGTTTCTGAGAATGCTTCTGTTTAGTTTTTCTGTGAAGATGAACCTGTTTCCAACGAAATCTTCACAGAGGTCCACATATCCACCTGCAGAATCCAAAGAAAGAGAGTTTCAAAACTGCTCCATCAGCAGGATTGTTCACCTCTGTGAGTTGAATGCAGTCATCACAGGAAACATTCTGAGAATGCTTCTGTCTAGGTTTGATGTGAAGATATACCCGTTTCAAAGGAAGGCCACAAAGTGGTCCAAATATCCACTTGCAGATTCTACAAAAAGAGTGTTTGAAAGCTGAACTATGAAAGCAAGGTTCAACTCTGTGAGTTGAATGCAAACATCACAAAGAAGTTTCTCACAATGCTTCCCTGTAGTTCTGGGAAGTTTATCCCGTTTCCAACAAAATCCTCAGAGAAGTCCAAATATCCACTTGCAGATTCTACAGAAAGTGGGTTTGGAAACTGCTCCATCTAAAGGAATGTTCAGCTCTGTTAGTTCAATCCAATGATCACTAAGAATTGTCTGTGAATGCTTCCGTTTGGTTTTTAGATGAAGTTATTTCCTTTACTACAGTAGGCCTCAAAGCAGTCCAAATCTCCAATCGCAGATTCTACAAAAAGATTGTTTACAACCTGCTCTATCTATAGGAATGTTCAACTCTGTGAGTCGAATGCAATCATCACAAAGTAGTTTCTGAGAATGCTTCCATCTAGTTTTTATGTGAAGATTTTCCTTTTCCACCACAGGCCTCAAAGCCCTCCAAATGTCCACTTGCAGACTCTAGAAAAAGAGGGTTTCAGAGCTGCTCTGTCAAGAGGAAAGTTCAATTCTTGAAGTGGAACACAAACATCACAAAGCAGTTTCTGAGAATGCTTCTGTTTAGTTTTTCTGTGAAGATGAACCCGTTTCCAACGAAATCTTCACAGAGGTCCACATATCCACTTGCAGAATCCAAAGAAAGAGAGTTTCAAAACTGCTCCATCAGCAGGATTGTTCACCTCTGTGAGTTGAATGCAGTCATCAGAGGAAACATTCTGAGAATGCTTCTGTCTAGGTTTGATGTGAAGATATACCCGTTTCGAAGGAAGGCCACAAAGTGGTCCAAATATCCACTTGCAGATTCTACAAAAAGAGTGTTTGAAAGCTGAACTATGAAAGCAAGGTTCAACTCTGTGAGTTGAATGCAAACATCACAAAGAAGTTTCTCACAATGCTTCCGTGTAGTTCTGGGAAGTTTAGTCCGTTTCCAACGAAATCCTCAGAGAGGTCCAAATATCCAATTGCAGATTCTACAGAAAGTGTGTTTGGAATCTGCTCCATCTAAAGGAATGTTCAGCTCTGTTAGTTCAATCCAATGATCACTAAGAATTGTCTGTGAATGCTTCCGTTTGGTTTTTAGATGAAGTTATTTCCTTTACTACAGTAGGCCTCAAAGCAGTCCAAATCTCCAATCGCCGATTCTACAAAAAGATTGTTTACAACCTGCTCTATCTATAGGAATGTTCAACTCTGTGAGTCGAATGCAATCATCACAAAGTAGTTTCTGAGAATGCTTCCATCTAGTTTGTATGTGAAGATTTTCCTTTTCCACCACAGGCCTCAAAGCCCTCCAAATGTCCACTTGCAGATTCTGGAAAAAGAGGGTTTCAGAGCTGCTCTGTCAAGAGGAAAGTTCAATTCTTGAAGTGGAACACAAACATCACAAAGCAGTTTCTGAGAATGCTTCCTGTTTAGTTTTTCTGTGAAGATGAACCCGTTTCCAACGAAATCTTCACAGAGGTCCACATATCCACTTGCAGAATCCAAAGAAAGAGAGTTTCAAAACTGCTCCATCAGCAGGATTGTTCACCTCTGTGAGTTGAATGCAGTCATCACAGGAAAACATTCTGAGAATGCTTCTGTCTAGGTTTGATGTGAAGATATACCCGTTTCGAAGGAAGGCCACAAAGTGGTCCAAATATCCACTTGCAGATTCTACAAAAAGAGTGTTTGAAAGCTGAACTATGAAAGCAAGGTTCAACTCTGTGAGTTGAATGCAAACATGACAAGGAAGTTTCTCAGAATGCTTCCGTGTAGTTCTGGGAAGTATATCCCGTTTCCAACGACATCCTCAGAGAAGTCCAAATATCCACTTGCAGATTCTACAGAAAGTGTGTTTGGAAACTGCTCCATCTAAAGGAATGTTCAGCTCTGTTAGTTCAATCCAATGATCACTAAGAATTGTCTGTGAATGCTTCCGTTTGGTTTTTAGATGAAGTTATTTCCTTTACTACAGTAGGCCTCAAAGCAGTCCAAATCTCCAATCGCAGATTCTACAAAAAGATTGTTTACAACCTGCTCTATCTATAGGAATGTTCAACTCTGTGAGTCGAATGCAATCATCACAAAGTAGTTTCTGAGAATGCTTCCATCTACTTTTTATGTGAAGATTTTCCTTTGCCACCACAGGCCTCAAAGCCCTTCAAATGTCCACTTGCAGATTCTAGAATAAGAGGGTTTCAGAGCTGCTGTGTCAAGAGGAAAGTTCAATTCCTGAAGTGGAACACAAACATCACAAAGCAGTTTCTGAGAATGCTTCTGTTTAGTTTTTCTGTGAAGATGAACCCGTTTCCAACGAAATCTTCACAGAGGTCCACATATCCACTTGCAGAATCCAAAGAAAGAGAGTTTCAAAACTGCTCCATCAGCAGGATTGTTCACCTCTGTGAGTTGAATGCAGTCATCACAGGAAACATTCTGAGAATGCTTCTGTCAAGGTTTGATGTGAAGATATACCCGTTTCGAAGGAAGGCCCCAAAGTGGTCCAAATATCCACTTGCAGATTCTACAAAAAGAGTGTTTGAAAGCTGAACTATGAAAGCAAGGTTCAACTCTGTGAGTTGAATGCAAACATGACAAAGAAGTTTCTCAGAATACTTCCGTGTAGTTCTGGGAATTTTATCCCGCTTCCAACGAAATCCTCAGAGAGGTCCAAATATCCACTTGCAGATTTTACAGAAAGTGTGTTTGGAAACTACGCCATCTAAAGGAATGTTCAGCTCTGTTAGATCAATGCAATGATCACTAAGAATTGTCTGTGAATGCTTCCGTTTGGTTTTTAGATGAAGTTATTTCCTTTACTACAGTAGGCCTCAAAGCAGTCCAAATCTCCAATCGCAGATTCTACAAAAACATTGTTTACAACCTGCTCTATCTATAGGAATGTTCAACTCTGTGAGTCGAATGCAATCATCACAAAGTAGTTTCTGAGAATGCTTCCATCTAGTTTTTATGTGAAGATTTTCCTTTTCCACCACAGGCCTCAAAGCCCTCCAAATGTCCACTTGCAGATTCTAGAATAAGAGGGTTTCAGAGCTGCTCTGTCAAGAGGAAAGTTCAATTCCTGAAGTGGAACACAAACATCACAAAGCAGTTTCTGAGAATGCTTCTGTTTAGTTTTTCTGTGAAGATGAACCCGTTTCCAACGAAATCTTCACAGAGGTCCACATATCCACTTGCAGAATCCAAAGAAAGAGAGTTTCAAAACTGCTCCATCAGCAGGATTGTTGACCTCTGTGAGTTGAATGCAGTCATCACAGGAAACATTCTGAGAATGCTTCTGTCTAGGTTTGATGTGAAGATATACCCGTTTCGAAGGAAGGCCACAAAGTGGTCCAAATATCCACTTGCAGATTCTACAAAAAGAGTGTTTGAAAGCTGAACTATGAAAGCAAGGTTCAACTCTGTGAGTTGAATGCAAACATCACAAAGAAGTTTCTCAGAATGCTTCCTTGTAGTTCTGGGAAGTTTATCCCGTTTCCAACGAAATCCTCAGAGAAGTCCAAATATCCACTTGCAGATTCTACAGAAAGTGGGTTTGGAAACTGCTCCATCTAAAGGAATGTTCAGCTCTGTTAGTTCAATCCAATGATCACTAAGAATTTTCTGTGAATGCTTCTGTTTGGTTTTTAGATGAAGTTATTTCCTTTACTACAGTAGGCCTCAAAGCAGTCCAAATCTCCAATCGCAGATTCTACAAAAAGATTGTTTACAACCTGCTCTATCTATAGGAATGTTCAACTCTGTGAGTCGAATGCAATCATCACAAAGTAGTTTCTGAGAATGCTTCCATCTAGTTTTTATGTGAAGATTTTCCTTTTCCACCACAGGCCTCAAAGCCCTCCAAATGTCCACTTGCAGATTCTAGAAAAAGAGGGTTTCAGAGCTGCTCTGTCAAGAGGAAAGTTCAATTCTTGAAGTGGAACACAAACATCACAAAGCAGTTTCTGAGAATGCTCCTGTTTAGTTTTTCTGTGAAGATGAACCCGTTTCCAACGAAATCTTCACAGAGGTCCACATATCCACTTGCAGAATCCAAAGAAAGAGAGTTTCAAAACTGCTCCATCAGAAGGATTGTTCACCTCTGTGAGTTGAATGCAGTCATCACAGGAAACATTCTGAGAATGCTTCTGTCTAGGTTTGATGTGAAGATATACCCGTTTCGAAGGAAGGCCACAAAGTAGTCCAAATATCCACTTGCAGATTCTACAAAAAGAGTGTTTGAAAGCTGAACTATGAAAGCAAGGTTCAACTCTGTGAGTTGAATGCAAACATCTCAAAGAAGTTTCTCACAATGCTTCCGTGTAGTTCTGGGAAGTTTATCCCGTTTCCAACGAAATCCTCAGAGAAGTCCAAATATCCACTTGCAGATTCTACAGAAAGTGTGTTTGGAAACAGCGCCATCTAAAGGAGTGTTCAGCTCTGTTAGTTCAATCCAATGATCACTAAGAATTGTCTGTGAATGCTTCCGTTTGGTTTTTAGATGAAGTTATTTCCTTTACTACAGTAGGCCTCAAAGCAGTCCAAATCTCCAATCACAGATTCTACAAAAAGACTGTTTACAACCTGCTCTATCTATAGGAATGTTCAACTCTGTGAGTCGAATGCAATCATCACAAAGTAGTTTCTGAGAATGCTTCCATCTAGTTTTTATGTGAAGATTTTCCTTTTCCACCACAGGCCTCAAAGACCTCCAAATGTCCACTTGCAGATTCTAGAAAAAGAGGGTTTCATTGCTGCTCTGTCAAGAGGAAAGTTCAATTCTTGAAGTGGAACACAAACATCACAAAGCAGTTTCTGAGAATGCTCCTGTTTAGTTTTTCTGTGAAGATGAACCCGTTTCCAACGAAATCTTCACAGAGGTCCACATATCCACTTGCAGAATCCAAAGAAAGAGAGTTTCAAAACTGCTCCATCAGCAGGATTGTTCACCTCTGTGAGTTGAATGCAGTCATCACAGGAAACATTCTGAGAATGCTTCTGTCTAGGTTTGATGTGAAGATATACCCGTTTCGAAGGAAGGCCACAAAGTGGTCCAAATATCCACTTGCAGATTCTACAAAAAGAGTGTTTGAAAGCTGAACTATGAAAGCAAGGTTCAACTCTGTGAGTTGAATGTAAACATCCAAAGAAGTTTCTCAGAATGCTTCCGTGTAGTTCTGGGAAGTTTATCCCGTTTCCAACGAAATCCTCAGAGTGGTCCAAATATCCACTTGCAGATTCTACAGAAAGTGTGTTTGGAAACTGCGCCATCTAAGGGAATGTTCAGCTCTGTTAGTTCAATCCAATGATCACTAAGAATTGTCTGTGAATGCTTCCGTTTGGTTTTTAGATGAAGTTATTTCCTTTACTACAGTAGGCCTCAAAGCAGTCCAAATCTCCAATCGCAGATTCTACAAAAAGATTGTTTACAACCTGCTCTATCTATAGGAATGTTCAACTCTGTGAGTCGAATGCAATCATCACAAAGTAGTTTCTGAGAATGCTTCCATCTAGTTTTTATGTGAAGATTTTCCTTTTCCACCACAGGCCTCAAAGCCCTCCAAATGTCCACTTGCAGATTCTAGAATAAGAGGGTTTCAGAGCTGCTCTGTCAAGAGGAAAGTTCAATTCTTGAAGTGGAACACAAACATCACAAAGCAGTTTCTGAGAATGCTTCTGTTTAGTTTTTCTGTGAAGATGAACCCGTTTCCAACGAAATCTTCACAGAGGTCCACATATCCACTTGCAGAATCCAAAGAAAGAGAGTTTCAAAACTGCTCCATCGACAGGATTGTTCACCTCTGTGAGTTGAATGCAGTCATCACAGGAAACATTCTGAGAATGCTTCTGTCTAGGTTTGATGTGAAGATATACCCGTTTCGAAGGAAGGCCACAAAGTGGTCCAAATATCCACTTGCAGATTCTACAAAAAGAGTGTTTGAAAGCTGAACTATGAAAGCAAGGTTTAACTCTGTGAGTTGAATGCAAACATCACAAAGAAGTTTCTCAGAATACTTCCGTGTAGTTCTGGGAAGTTTATCCCGTTTCCAACGAAATCCTCAGAGAGGTCCAAATATCCAGTTGCAGATTCTACAGAAAGTGTGTTTGGAAACTGCGCCATCTAAAGGAATGTTCAGCTCTGTTGGTTCAATCCAATGATCACTAAGAATTGTCTGTGAATGCTTCCGTTTGGTTTTTAGATGAAGTTATTTCCTTTACTACAGTAGGCCTCAAAGCATTCCAAATCTCTAATCGCAGATTCTACAAAGAGATTGTTTACAACCTGCTCTCTCTATAGGAATGTTCAACTCTGTGAGTCGAATGCAATCATCACAAAGTAGTTTCTGAGAATGCTTCCATCTAGTTTTTATGTGAAGATTTTCCTTTTCCACCACAGGCCTCAAAGCCCTTCAAATGTCCACTTGCAGATTCTGGAAAAAGAGGGTTTCAGAGCTGCTCTGTCAAGAGGAAAGTTCAATTCTTGAAGTGGAACACAAACATCACAAAGTAGTTTCTGAGAATGCTCCTGTTTAGTTTTTCGGTGAAGATGAACCCGTTTCCAACGAAATCTTCACAGAGGTCCACATATCAACTTGCAGAATCCAAAGAAAGGGAGTTTCAAAAGTGCTCCATCAACAGGATTGTTCACCCCTGTGAGTTGAATGCAGTCATCCCAGGAAACATTCTGAGAATGCTTCTGTCTAGGTTTGATGTGAAGATATACCCGTTTCGAAGGAAGGCCACAAAGTGGTCCAAATATCCACTTGCAGATTCTACAAAAAGAGTGTTTGAAAGCTGAACTATGAAAGCAAGGTTCAACTCTGTGAGTTGAATGCAAACATCACAAAGAAGTTTCTCACAATGCTTCCGTGTAGTTCTGAGAAGTTTATCCCGTTTCCAACGAAATCCTCAGAGAAGTCCAAATATCCACTTGCAGATTCTACAGAAAGTGGGTTTGGAAACTGCTCCATGTAAAGGAATGTTCAGCTCTGTTAGTTCAATGCAATGATCACTAAGAATTGTCTGTGAATGCTTCCGTTTGGTTTTTAGATGAAGTTATTTCCTTTACTACAGTAGGCCTCAAAGCAGTCCAAATCTCCAATCGCAGATTCTACAAAAAGATTGTTTACAACCTGCTCTATCTATAGGAATGTTCAACTCTGTGAGTCGAATGCAATCATCACAAAGTAGTTTCTGAGAATGCTTCCATCTAGTTTTTATGTGAAGATTTTCCTTTTCCACCACAGGCCTCAAAGCCCTCCAAATGTCCACTTGCAGATTGTAGAAAAAGAGGGTTTCAGAGCTGCTCTGTCAAGAGGAAAGTTCATTTCTTGAAGAGGAACACAAACATCACAAAGCAGTTTCTGAGAATGCTTCTGTTTAGTTTTTCTGTGAAGATGAACCCGTTTCCAACGAAATCTTCACAGAGGTCCACATATCCACTTGCAGAATCCAAAGAAAGAGAGTTTCAAAACTGCTCCATCAACAGGATTGTTCACCTCTGTGAGTTGAATGCAGTCATCACAGGAAACATTCTGAGAATGCTTCTGTCTAGGTTTGATGTGAAGATATACCCGTTTCGAAGGAAGGCCACAAAGTGGTCCAAATATCCACTTGCAGATTCTACAAAAAGAGTGTTTGAAAGCTGAACTATGAAAGCAAGGTTCAACTCTGTGAGTTGAATGCAAACATCACAAAGAAGTTTCTCACAATGCTTCCGTGTAGTTCTGGGAAGTTTATCCCGTTTCCAACGAAATCCTCAGAGAGGTCCAAATATCCACTTGCAGATTCTACAGAAAGTGTGTTTGGAAACTGCTCCATCTAAAGGAATGTTCAGCTCTGTTAGTTCAATCCAATGATCACTAAGAATTGTCTGTGAATGCTTCCGTTTGGTTTTTAGATGAAGTTATTTCCTTTACTACAGTAGGCCTCAAAGCAGTCCAAATCTCCAATCGCAGATTCTACAAAAAGATTGTTTTCAACCTGCTCTATCTATAGGAATGTTCAACTCTGTGAGTCGAATGCAATCATCACAAAGTAGTTTCTGAGAATGCTTCCATCTAGTTTTTATGTGAAGATTTTCCTTTTCCACCACAGGCCTCAAAGCCCTCCAAATGTCCACTTGCATATTCTAGAAAAAGAGGGTTTCAGAGCTGCTCTGTCAAGAGGAAAGTTCAATTCTTTAAGTGGAACACAAACATCACAAAGCAGTTTCTGAGAATGCTCCTGTTTAGTTTTTCTGTGAAGATGAACCCGTTTCCAACGAAATCTTCACAGAGGTCCACATATCCACTTGCAGAATCCAAAGAAAGAGAGTTTCAAAACTGCTCCATCAGCAGGATTGTTCACCTCTGTGAGTTGAATGCAGTCATCACAGGAAACATTCTGAGAATGCTTCTGTCTAGGTTTGATGTGAAGATATACCCGTTTCGAAGGAAGGCCAGAAAGTGGTCCAAATATCCACTTGCAGATTCTACAAAAAGAGTGTTTGAAAGCTGAACTATGAAAGCAAGGTTCAACTCTGTGAGTTGAATGCAAACATCACAAAGAAGTTTCTCAGAATGCTTCCGTGTAGTTCTGGGAAGTTTATCCCGTTTCCAACGAAATCCTCAGAGAGGTCCAAATATCCACTTGCAGATTCTACAGAAAGTGTGTTTGGAAACTGCGCCATCTAAAGGAATGTTCAGCTCTGTTAGTTCAATGCAATGATCACTAAGAATTGTCTGTGAATGCTTCCGTTTGGTTTTTAGATGAAGTTATTTCCTTTACTACAGTAGGCCTCAAAGCAGTGCAAATCTCCAATCGCAGATTCTACAAAAAGATTGTTTACAACCTGCTCTATCTATAGGAATGTTCAAATCTGTGGGTCGAATGCAATCATCACAAAGTTGTTTCTGAGAATGCTTCCATCTAGTTTTTAAGTGAAGATTTTCCTTTTCCACCACAGGCCTCAAAGCCCTCCAAATGTCCACTTGCAGATTCTAGAAAAAGAGGGTTTCAGAGCTGCTCTGTCAAGAGGAAAGTTCAATTCCTGAAGTGGAACACAAACATCACAAAGCAGTTTTCTGAGAATGCTCCTGTTTAGTTTTTCTGTGAGGATGAACCCGTTTCCAACGAAATCTTCACAGAGGTCCACATATCCACTTGCAGAATCCAAAGAAAGAGAGTTTCAAAACTGCTCCGTCAGCAGGATTGTTCACCTCTGTGAGTTGAATGCAGTCATCACAGGAAACATTCTGAGAATGCTTCTGTCTAGGTTTGATGTGAAGATATACCCGTTTCGAAGGAAGGCCACAAAGTGGTCCAAATATCCACTTGCAGATTCTACAAAAAGAGTGTTTGAAAGCTGAACTATGAAAGCAAGGTTCAACCCTGTGAGTTGAATGCAAACATCACAAAGAAGTTTCTCAGAATGCTTCCGTGTAGTTCTGGGAAGTTTATCCCGTTTCCAACGAAATCCTCAGAGAGGTCCAAATATCCACTTGCAGATTCTACAGAAAGTGTGTTTGGAAACTGCGCCATCTAAAGGAATGTTCAGCTCTGTTAGTTCAATGCAATGATCACTAAGAATTGTCTGTGAATGCTTCCGTTTGGTTTTTAGATGAAGTTATTTCCTTTACTACAGTAGGCCTCAAAGCAGTCCAAATCTCCAATCGCAGATTCTACAAAAAGATTGTTTACAACCTGCTCTATCTATAGGAGTGTTCAACTCTGTGAGTCGAATGCAATCATCACAAAGTAGTTTCTGAGAATGCTTCCATCTAGTTTTTATGTGAAGATTTTCCTTTTCCACCAGAGGCCTCAAAGCCCTCCAAATGTCCACTTGCAGATTCTAGAAAAAGAGGGTTTCAGAGCTGCACTTTCAAGAGGAAAGTTGAATTCCTGAAGTGGAACACAAACATCACAAAGCAGTTTCTGAGAATGCTTCCTGTTTAGTTTTTCTGTGAAGATGAACCCGTTTCCAACGAAATCTTCACAGAGGTCCACATATCCACTTGCAGAATCCAAAGAAAGAGAGTTTCAAAACTGCTCCATCAGCAGGATTGTTCACCTCTGTGAGTTGAATGCAGTCATCACAGGAAAACATTCTGAGAATGCTTCTGTCTAGGTTTGATGTGAAGATATACCCCTTTCGAAGGAAGGCCACAAAGTGGTCCAAATATCCACTTGCAGATTCTACAAAAAGAGTGTTTGAAAGCTGAACTATGAAA
The DNA here is from genome assembly GCF_000001405.40 of Homo sapiens. Taxonomy (NCBI): domain Eukaryota; kingdom Metazoa; phylum Chordata; class Mammalia; order Primates; family Hominidae; genus Homo; species Homo sapiens. The sequence goes on along the minus strand of NC_000011.10, from coordinate 52,850,090 downwards.
GCAAGGTTCAACTCTGTGATTTGAATGCAAACATCACAAAGAAGTTTCTCAGAACGCTTCCGTGTAGTTCTGGGAAGTTTATCCCGTTTCCAAAGAAATCCTCAGAGAGGTCCAAATATCCACTTGCAGATTCTACAGAAAGTGTGTTTGGAAACTGCGCCATCTAAAGGAATGTTCAGCTCTGTTAGTTCAATCCAATGATCACTAAGAATTGTCTGTGAATGCTTCCGTTTGGTTTTTAGATGAAGTTATTTCCTTTACTACAGTAGGCCTCAAAGCAGTCCAAATCTCCAATCGCAGATTCTACAAAAAGATTGTTTACAACCTGCTCTATCTATAGGAATGTTCAACTCTGTGAGTCGAATGCAATCATCACAAAGTAGTTTCTGAGAATGCTTCCATCTAGTTTTTATGTGAAGATTTTCCTTTTCCACCACAGGCCTCAAAGCCCTCCAAATGTCCACTTGCAGATTCTAGAAAAAGAGGGTTTCAGAGCTGCACTGTCAAGAGGACAGTTCAATTCTTGAAGTGGAACACAAACATCACAAAGCAGTTTCTGAGAATGCTCCTGTTTAGTTTTTCTGTGAAGATGAACCCGTTTCCAACGAAATCTTCACAGAGGTCCACATATCCACTTGCAGAATCCAAAGAAAGAGAGTTTCAAAACTGCTCCATTAGCAGGATTGTTCACCTCTGTGAGTTGAATGGAGTCATCACAGGAAACATTCTGAGAATGCTTCTGTCTAGGTTTGATGTGAAGATATACCCGTTTCGAAGGAAGGCCACAAAGTGGTCCAAATATCCACTTGCAGATTCTACAAAAAGAGTGTTTGAAAGCTGAACTATGAAAGCAAGGTTCAACCCTGTGAGTTGAATGCAAACATCACAAAGAAGTTTCTCAGAATGCTTCCGTGTAGTTCTGGGAAGTTTATCCCGTTTCCAACGAAGTCCTCAGAGAGGTCCAAATATCCACTTGCAGATTCTACAGAAAGTGTGTTTGGAAACTGGTCCATCTAAAGGAATGTTCAGCTCTGTTAGTTCAATCCAATGATCACTAAGAATTGTCTGTGAATGCTTCCGTTTGGTTTTTAGATGAAGTTTTTTCCTTTACTACAGTAGGCCCCAAAGCACTCCAAATCTCCAATCGCAGATTCTACAAAAAGATTGTTTACAACCTGCTCTATCTATAGGAATGTTCAACTCTGTGAGTCGAATGCAATCATCACAAAGTAGTTTCTGAGAATGCTTCCATCTAGTTTTTATGTGAAGATTTTCCTTTTCCACCACAGGCCTCAAAGCCCTCCAAATGTCCACTTGCAGATTCTAGAAAAAGAGGGTTTCAGAGCTACTCTGTCAAGAGGAAAGTTCAATTCCTGAAGTGGAACACAAACATCACAAAGCAGTTTCTGAGAATGCTCCTGTTTAGTTTCTCTGTGAACATGAACCCGTTTCCAACGAAATCTTCACAGAGGTCCACATATCCACTTGCAGAATCCAAAGAAAGAGAGTTTCAAAACTGCTCCATCAGCAGGATTGTTCACCTCTGTGAGTTGAATGCAGTCATCACAGGAATCATTCTGAGAATGCTTCTGTCTAGGTTTGATGTGAAGATATACCCGTTTCGAAGGAAGGCTACAAAGTGGTCCCAATATCCACTTGCAGATTCTACAAAAAGAGTGTTTGAAAGCTGAACTATGAAAGCAAGGTTCAACTCTGTGAGTTGAATGCAAACATCACAAAGAAGTTTCTCAGAATGCTTCCGTGTAGTTCTGGGAAGTTTATCCCTTTTCCAACGATATCCTCAGAGAGGTCCAAATATCCACTTGCAGATTCTACAGAAAGTGTGTTTGTAAACTGCTCTATCTAAAGGAATGTTCAGCTCTGTTTGTTCAATCCAATGATCACTAAGTATTGTCTGTGAATGCTTCCGTTTGGTTTTTAGGTGAAGTTATTTCCTTTACTACAGTAGGCCTCAAAGCAGTCCAAATCTCCAATCGAAGATTCTACAAAAAGATTGTTTACAACCTGCTCTATCTATAGGAATGTTCAACTCTGTGAGTCGAATGCAATCATCACAAAGTAGTTTCTGAGAATGCTTCCATCTAGTTTTTATGTTTAGATTTTCCTTTTCCACCACAGGCCTCAAAGCCCTCCAAATGTCCACTTGCAGATTCTAGAATAAGAGGATTTCAGAGCTGCTCTGTCAAGAGGAAAGTTCAATTCCTGAAGTGGAACACAAACATCACAAAGCAGTTTCTGAGAATGCTTCTGTTTAGTTTTTCTGTGAAGATGAACCCGTTTCCAACGAAATCTTCACAGAGGTCCACATATCCACTTGCAGAATCCAAAGAAAGAGAGTTTCAAAACTGCTCCATCAGCAGGATAGTTCACCTCTGTGAGTTGAATGCAGTCATCACAGGAAACATTCTGAGAATGCTTCTGTCTAGGTTTGATGTGAAGATATACCCGTTTCGAAGGAAGGCCACAAAGTGGTCCAAATATCCACTTGCAGATTCTACAAAAAGAGTGTTTGAAAGCTGAACTATGAAAGCAAGGTTCAACTCTGTGAGTTGAATGCAAACATCACAAAGAAGTTTCTCAGAATGCTTCCGTGTAGTTCTGGGAAGTTTATCCCGTTTCCAACGAAATCCTCAGAGACGTCCAAATATCCACTTGCAGATTCTAGAGAAAGTGGGTTTGGAAACTGCGCCATCTAAAGGAATGTTCAGCTCTGTTAGTTCAATCCAATGATCAGTAAGAATTGTCTGTGAATGCTTCCGTTTGGTTTTTAGATGAAGTTATTTCCTTTACTACAGTAGGCCTCAAAGCAGTCCAAATCTCCAATCGCAGATTCTACAAAAAGAGTGTTTACAACCTGCTCTATCTATAGGAATGTTCAACTCTGTGAGTCGAATGCAATCATCACAAAGTAGTTTCTGAGAATGCTTCCATCTAGTTTTTATGTGAAGATTTTCCTTTTGCACCACAGGCCTCAAAGCCCTCCAAATGTCCACTTGCAGATTCTAGAATAAGAGGGTTTCAGAGCTGCTCTTTCAAGAGGAAAGTTCAATTCCTGAAGTGGAACACAAACATCACAAAGCAGTTTCTGAGAATGCTTCTGTTTAGTTTTTCTGTGAAGATGAACCCGTTTCCAACGAAATCTTCACAGAGGTCCACATATCCACTTGCAGAATCCAAAGAAAGAGAGTTTCAAAACTGCTCCATCAGCAGGATTGTTCACCTCTGTGAGTTGAATGCAGTCATCACAGGAAACATTCTGAGAATGCTTCTGTCTAGGTTTGATGTGAAGATATACCCGTTTCGAAGGAAGGCCACAAAGTGGTCCAAATATCCACTTGCAGATTCTACAAAAAGAGTGTTTGAAAGCTGAACTATGAAAGCAAGGTTCAACTCTGTGAGTTGAATGCAAACATCACAAAGAAGTTTCTCAGAATGCTTCCGTGTAGTTCTGGGAAGTTTATCCCGTTTCCAACGAAATCCTCAGAGAGGTCCAAATATCCACTTGCAGATTCTACAGAAAGTGTGTTTGGAAACTGCTCCATCTAAAGCAATGTTCAGCTCTGTTAGTTCAATGCAATGATCACTAAGAATTGTCTGTGAATGCTTCCGTTTGGTTTTTAGATGAAGTTATTTCCTTTACTACAGTAGGCCTCAAAGCAGTTCAAATTTCCAATAGCAGATTCTACAAAAAGATTGTTTACAACCTGCTCTATCTATAGGAATGTTCAACTCTGTGAGTCGAATGCAATCATCACAAAGTAGTTTCTGAGAATGCTTCCATCTAGTTTTTATGTGAAGATTTTCCTTTTCCACCACAGGCCTCAAAACCCTCCAAATGTCCACTTGCAGATTCTAGAATAAGAGGGTTTCAGAGCTGCTCTGTCAAGAGGAAAGTTCAATTCCTGAAGTGGAACACAAACATCACAAAGCAGTTTCTGAGAATGCTTCCTGTTTAGTTTTTCTGTGAAGATGAACCCGTTTCCAACGAAATCTTCACAGAGGTCCACATATCCACTTGCAGAATTCAAAGAAAGAGAGTTTCAAAACTGCTCCATCAACAGGATTGTTCACCTCTGTGAGTTGAATGCAGTCATCACAGGAAACATTCTGGGAATGCTTCTGTCTAGGTTTGATGTGAAGATATACCCGTTTCGAAGGAAGGACACAAAGTGGTCCAAATATCCACTTGCAGATTCTACAAAAAGAGTGTTTGAAAGCTGAACTATGAAAGTAAGGTTCAACTCTGTGAGTTGAATGCAAACATCACAAAGAAGTTTCTCAGAATGCTTCCGTGTAGTTCTGGGAAGTTTATCCCGTTTCCAACGAAATCCTCAGAGAAGTCCAAATATCCACTTGCAGATTCTACAGAAAGTGGGTTTGGAAACTGCTCCATCTAAAGGAATGTTCAGCTCTGTTAGTTCAATCCAATGATCACTAAGAATTGTCTGTGAATGCTTCCGTTTGGTTTTTAGATGAAGTTATTTCCTTTACTACAGTAGGCCTCAAAGCAGTCCAAATCTCCAATCGCAGATTCTAGAAAAAGATTGTTTACAACCTGCTCCATCTATAGGAATGTTCAACTCTGTGAGTCGAATGCAATCATCACAAAGTAGTTTCTGAGAATGCTTCCATCTAGTTTTCATGTGAAGATTTTCCTTTTCCACCACAGGCCTCAAAGCCCTCCAAATGTCCACTTGCAGATTCTAGAAAAAGAGGGTTTCAGAGCTGCTCTGTCAAGAGGAAAGTTCAATTCTTGAAGTGGAACACAAACATCACAAAGCAGTTTCTGAGAATGCTCCTGTTTAGTTTTTCTGTGAAGATGAACACGTTTCCAACGAAATCTTCACAGAGGTCCACATATCCACTTGCAGAATCCAAAGAAAGAGAGTTTCAAAACTGCTCCATCAGCAGGATTGTTCACCTCTGTGAGTTGAATGCAGTCATCACAGGAAACATTCTGAGAATGCTTCTGTCTAGGTTTGATGTGAAGATATACCCGTTTCGAAGGAAGGCCACAAAGTGGTCCAAATATCCACTTGCAGATTCCACAAAAAGAGTGTTTGAAAGCTGAACTATGAAAGCAAGGTTCAATTCTGTGAGTTGAATGCAAACATCACAGAGAAGTTTCTCACAATGCTTCCGTGTAGTTCTGGGAAATTTATCCCGTTTCCAACGAAATCCTCAGAGAAGTCCAAATATCCACTTGCAGATTCTACAGAAAGTGTGTTTGGAAACTGCTCCATCTAAAGGAATGTTCAGCTCTGTTAGTTCAATCCAATGATCACTAAGAATTGTCTGTGAATGCTTCCGTTTGGTTTTTAGATGAAGTTATTTCCTTTACTACAGTAGGCCTCAAAGCAGTCCAAATCTCCAATCGCAGATTCTACAAAAAGATTGTTTACAACCTGCTCTATCTATAGGAATGTTCAACTCTGTGAGTCGAATGCAATCATCACAAAGTAGTTTCTGAGAATGCTTCCATCTAGTTTTTATGTGAAGATTTTCCTTTTCCACCACAGGCCTCAAAGCCCTCCAAATGTCCACTTGCAGATTCTAGAAAAAGAGGGTTTCAGAGCTGCTCTGTCAAGAGGAAAGTTCAATTCTTGAAGTGGAACACAAACATCACAAAGCAGTTTCTGAGAATGCTTCTGTTTAGTTTTTCTGTGAAGATGAACCCGTTTCCAACGAAATCTTCACAGAGGTCCACATATCCACTTGCACAATCCAAAGAAGGAGAGTTTCAAAACTGCTCCATCAGCAGGATTGTTCACCTCTGTGAGTTGAATGCAGTCATCACAGGAAACATTCTGAGAATGCTTCTGTCTAGGTTTGATGTGAAGATATACCCGTTTCGAAGGAAGGCCACAAAGTGGTCCAAATATCCACTTGCAGATTCTACAAAAAGAGTGTTTGAAAGCTGAACTATGAAAGCAAGGTTCAACTCTGTGAGTTGAATGCAAACATCACAAAGAAGTTTCTCACAATGCTTCCGTGTAGTTCTGGGAAGTTTATCCCGTTTCCAACGAAATCCTCAGAGAGGTCCAAATATCCACTTGCAGATTCTACAGAAAGTGTGTTTGGAAACTGCGCCATCTAAAGGAATGTTCAGCTCTGTTAGTTCAATCCAATGATCACTAAGGATTGTCTGTGAATGCTTCCGTTTGGTTTTTAGATGAAGTTATTTCCTTTACTACAGTAGGCCTCAAAGCAGTCCAAATCTCCAATCGCAGATTCTACAAAAAGATTGTTTACAACCTGCTCTATCTATAGGAATGTTCAACTCTGTGAGTCGAATGCAATCATCACAAAGTAGTTTCTGAGAATGCTTCCATCTAGTTTTTATGGGAAGATTTTCCTTTTCCACCACAGGCCTCAAAGCCCTCCAAATGTCCACTTGCAGATTCTAGAAAAAGAGGGTTTCAGAGCTGCTCTCTCAAGAGGAAAGTTCAATTCCTGAAGTGGAACACAAACATCACAAAGCAGTTTCTGAGAATGCTTCTGTTTAGTTTTTCTGTGAAGATGAACCCGTTTCCAACCAAATCTTCACAGAGGTCCACATATCCACTTGCAGAATCCAAAGGAGGAGAGTTTCAAAACTGCTCCATCAACAGGATTGTTCACCTCTGTGAGTTGAATGCACTCATCACAGGAAACATTCTGAGAATGCTTCTGTCTAGGTTTGATGTGAAGATATACCCGTTTCGAAGGAAGGCCACAAAGTGGTCCAAATATCCACTTGCAGATTCTACAAAAAGAGTGTTTGAAAGCTGAACTATGAAAGCAAGGTTCAACTCTGTGAGTTGAATGCAAACATCACAAAGAAGTTTCTCAGAATGCTTCCGTGTAGTTCTGGGAAGTTTATCCCTTTTCCAACGAAATCCTCAGAGAGGTCCAAATATCCACTTGCAGATTCTACAGAAAGTGTGTTTGGAAACTGCTCCATCTAAAGGAATGTTCAGCTCTGTTAGTTCAATCCAATGATCACTAAGAATTGTCTGTGAATGCTTCCGTTTGGTTTTTAGATGAAGTTATTTCCTTTACTACAGTAGGCCTCAAAGCAGTCCAAATCTCCAATCGCAGATTCTACAAAAAGATTGTTTACAACCTGCTCTATCTATAGGAATGTTCAACTCTGTGAGTCGAATGCAATCATCACAAAGTAGTTTCTGAGAATGCTTCCATCTAGTTTTTATGTGAAGATTTTCCTTTTCCACCACAGGCCTCAAAGCCCTCCAAATGCCCACTTGCAGATTCTAGAATAAGAGGGTTTCAGAGCTGCTCTGTCAAGAGGAAAGTTCAATTCCTGAAGTGGAACACAAACATCACAAAGCAGTTTCTGAGAATGCTTCTGTTTAGTTTTTCTGTGAAGAGAACCCGTTTCCAATGAAATCTTCACAGAGGTCCACATATCCACTTGCAGAATCCAAAGAAAGAGAGTTTCAAAAGTGCTCCATCAACAGGATTGTTCACCTCTGTGAGTTGAATGCAGTCATCACAGGAAACATTCTGAGAATGCTTCTGTCTAGGTTTGATGTGAAGATATACCCGTTTCGAAGGAAGGCCACAAAGTGGTCCAAATATCCACTTGCAGATTCTACAAAAAGAGTGTTTGAAAGCTGAACTATGAAAGCAAGGTTCAACTCTGTGAGTTGAATGCAAACATCACAAAGAAGTTTCTCAGCATGCTTCCGTGTAGTTCTGGGAAGTTTTCCCGTTTCCAACGAAATCCTCAGAGAGGTCCAAATATCCACTTGCAGATTCTACAGAAAGTCTGTTTGGAAACTGCGCCATCTAAACGAATGTTCAGCTCTGTTAGTTCAATGGAATGATCACTAAGAATTGTCTGTGAATGCTTCCGTTTGGTTTTTAGATGAAGTTTTTTCCTTTACTACAGTAGGCCCCAAAGCACTCCAAATCTCCAATCGCGGATTCTACAAAAAGATTGTTTACAACCTGCTCTATCTATAGGAATGTTCAACTCTGTGAGTCGAATGCAATCATCACAAAGTAGTTTCTGAGAATGCTTCCATCTAGTTTTTATGTGAAGATTTTCCTTTTCCACCACAGGCCTCAAAGCCCTCCAAATGTCCACTTGCAGACTCTAGAAAAAGAGGGTTTCAGAGCTGCTCTGTCAAGAGGAAAGTTCAATTCTTGAAGTGGAACACAAACATCACAAAGCAGTTTCTGAGAATGCTTCTGTTTAGTTTTTCTGTGAAGATGAACCCGTTTCCAACGAAATCTTCACAGAGGTCCACATATCCACTTGCAGAATCCAAAGAAAGAGAGTTTCAAAACTGCTCCATCAACAGGATTGTTCACCTCTGTGAGTTGAATGCAGTCATCACAGGAAACATTCTGAGAATGCTTCTGTCTAGGTTTGATGTGAAGATATACCCGTTTCGAAGGAAGGCCACAAAGTGGTCCAAATATCCACTTGCAGATTCTACAAAAAGAGTGTTTGAAAGCTGAACTATGAAAGCAAGGTTCAACTCTGTGAGTTGAATGCAAACATCACAAAGAAGTTTCTCAGAATGCTTCCGTGTAGTTCTGGGAAGTTTATCCCGTTTCCAACGAAATCCTCAGAGAAGTCCAAATATCCACTTGCAGATTCTACAGAAAGTGTGTTTGGAAACTGCGCCATCTAAAGGAATGTTCAGCTCTGTTAGTTCAATCCAATGATCACTAAGAATTGTCTGTGAATGCTTCCGTTTGGTTTTTAGATGAAGTTATTTCCTTTACTACAGTAGGCCTCCAAGCAGTCCAAATCTCCAATCGCAGATTCTACAAAAAGATTGTTTGCAACCTGCTCTATCTATAGGAATGTTCAACTCTGTGAGTCGAATGCAATCATCACAAAGTAGTTTCTGAGAATGCTTCCATCTAGTTTTTATGGGAAGATTTTCCTTTTCCACCACAGGCCTCAAAGCCCTCCAAATGTCCACTTGCAGATTCTAGAAAAAGAGGGTTTCAGAGCTGCTCTGTCAAGAGGAAAGTTCAATTCTTGAAGTGGAACACAAACATCACAAAGCAGTTTCTGAGAATGCTTCTGTTTAGTTTTTCTGTGAAGATGAACCCGTTTCCAACGAAATCTTCACAGAGGTCCACATATCAACTTGCAGAATCCAAAGAAAGAGAGTTTCAAAAGTGCTCCATCAACAGGATTGTTCACCTCTGTGAGTTGAATGCAGTCATCACAGGAAACATTCTGAGAATGCTTCTGTCTAGGTTTGATGTGAAGATATACCCGTTTCGAAGGAAGGCCACAAAGTGGTCCAAATATCCACTTGCAGATTCTACAAAAAGAGTGCTTGAAAGCTGAACTATGAAAGCAAGGTTCAACTCTGTGAGTTGAATGCAAACATCACAAAGAAGTTTCTCACAATGCTTCCGTGTAGTTCTGGAAAGTTTATCCCGTTTCCAACGAAATCCTCAGAGAGGTCCAAATATCCAGTTGCAGATTCTACAGAAAGTGTGTTTGGAATCTGCTCCATCTAAAGGAATGTTCAGCTCTGTTAGTTCAATCCAATGATCACTAAGAATTGTCTGTGAATGCTTCCGTTTGGTTTTTAGATGAAGTTATTTCCTTTACTACAGTAGGCCTCAAAGCAGTCCAAATCTCCAATCGCAGATTCTACAAAAAGATTGTTTACAACCTGCTCTATCTATAGGAATGTTCAACTCTGTGAGTCGAATGCAATCATCACAAAGTAGTTTCTGAGAATGCTTCCATCTAGTTTTTATGTGAAGATTTTCCTTTTCCACCACAGGCCTCAAAGCCCTCCAAATGTCCACTTGCAGATTCTAGAAAAAGAGGGTTTCAGAGCTGCTCTGTCAAGAGGAAAGTTCAATTCTTGAAGTGGAACACAAACATCACAAAGTAGTTTCTGAGAATGCTTCTGTTTAGTTTTTCTGTGAAGATGAACCCGTTTCCAACGAAATCTTCACAGAGGTCCACATATCAACTTGCAGAATCCAAAGAAAGAGAGTTTCAAAAGTGCTCCATCAACAGGATTGTTCACCTCTGTGAGTTGAATGCAGTCATCACAGGAAACATTCTGAGAATGCTTCTGTCTAGGTTTGATGTGAAGATATACCCGTTTCGAAGGAAGGCCACAAAGTGGTCCAAATATCCACTTGCAGATTCTACAAAAAGAGTGTTTGAAAGCTGAACTATGAAAGCAAGTTTCAACTCTGTGAGTTGAATGCAAACATCACAAAGAAGTTTCTCACAATGCTTCCGTGTAGTTCTGGGAAGTTTATCCTGTTTCCAACGAAATCCTCAGAGAAGTCCAAATATCCACTTGCAGATTCTACAGAAAGTGTGTTTGGAAACTGCGCCATCTAAAGGAATGTTCAGCTCTGTTAGTTCAATGCAATGATCACTAAGAATTGTCTGTGAATGGTTCCGTTTGGTTTTTAGATGAAGTTATTTCCTTTACTACAGTAGGCCTCAAAGCAGTCCAAATCTCCAATCGCAGATTCTACAAAAAGATTGTTTACAACCTGCTCTATCTATAGGAATGTTCAACTCTGTGAGTCGAATGCAATCATCACAAAGTAGTTTCTGAGAATGCTTCCATCTAGTTTTTATGTGAAGATTTTCCTTTTCCACCACAGGCCTCAAAGCCCTCCAAATGTCCACTTGCAGATTCTAGAATAAGAGGGTTTTAGAGCTGCTCTGTCAAGAGGAAAGTTCAATTCCTGAAGTGGAACACAAACATCACAAAGCAGTTTCTGAGAATGCTTCTGTTTAGTTTTTCTGTGAAGATGAACCCGTTTCCAACGAAATCTTCACAGAGGTCCACATATCAACTTGCAGAATCCAAAGAAAGAGAGTTTCAAAACTGCTCCATCAACAGGATTGTTCACCTCTGTGAGTTGAATGCAGTCATCACAGGAAACATTCTGAGAATGCTTCTGTCAAGGTTTGATGTGAAGATATACCCGTTTCGAAGGAAGGCCACAAAGTGGTCCAAATATCCACTTGCAGATTCTACAAAAAGAGTGTTTGAAAGCTGAACTATGAAAGCAAGGTTCAACTCTGTGAGTTGAATGCAACCATCACAAAGAAGTTTCTCAGAATACTTCCGTGTAGTTCTGGGAAGCATATCCCGTTTCCAACGAAATCCTCAGAGAAGTCCAAATATCCCCTTGCAGATTCTACAGAAAGTGTGTTTGGAAACTGCGCCATCTAAAAGTATGTTCAGCTCTGTTAGTTCAATGCAATGATCACTAAGAATTGTCTGTGAATGCTTCCGTTTGGTTTTTAGATGAAGTTATTTCCGTTACTACAGTAGGCCTCAATGCAGTCCAAATCTCCAATCGCAGATTCTACAAAAAGATTGTTTACAACCTGCTCTATCTATAGGAATGTTCAACTCTGTGAGTCGAATGCAATCATCACAAAGTAGTTTCTGAGAATGCTTCCATCTAGTTTTTATGTGAAGATTTTCCTTTTCCACCACAGGCCTCAAAGCCCTCCAAATGTCCACTTGCAGATTCTAGAAAAAGAGGGTTTCAGAGCTGCTCTGTCAAGAGGAAAGTTCAATTCTTGAAGTGGAACACAAACATCACAAAGCAGTTTCTGAGAATGCTTCTGTTTAGTTTTTCTGTGAAGATGAACCCGTTTCCAACGAAATCTTCACAGAGGTCCACATATCAACTTGCAGAATCCAAAGAAAGAGAGTTTCAAAAGTGCTTCATCAACAGGATTGTTCACCTCTGTGAGTTGAATGCAGTCATCACAGGAAACATTCTGAGAATGCTTCTGTCTAGGTTTGATGTGAAGATATACCCGTTTCAAAGGAAGGCCACAAAGTGGTCCAAATATCCACTTGCAGATTCTACAAAAAGAGTGTTTGAAAGCTGAACTATGAAAGCAAGGTTCAACTCTGTGAGTTGAATGCAAACATCACAAAGAAGTTTCTCACAATGCTTCCGTGTAGTTCTGGGAAGTTTATCCCGTTTCCAACGAAATCCTCAGAGAGGTCCAAATATCCACTTGCAGATTCTACAGAAAGTGTGTTTGGAAACTGCGCCATCTAAAGTAATGTTCAGCTCTGTTAGTTCAATGCAATGATCACTAAGAATTCTCTGTGAATGCTTCCGTTTGGTTTTTAGATGAAGTTATTTCCTTTACTACAGTAGGCCTCAAAGCAGTCCAAATCTCCAATCGCAGATTCTACAAAAAGATTGTTTACAACCTGCTCTATCTATAGGAATGTTCAACTCTGTGAGTCGAATGCAATCATCACAAAGTAGTTTCTGAGAATGCTTCCATCTAGTTTTTATGTGAAGATTTTCCTTTTCCACCAGAGGCCTCAAAGCCCTCCAAATGTCCACTTGAAGATTCTAGAATAAGAGGGTTTCAGAGCTGCTCTGTCAAGAGGAAAGTTCAATTCCTGAAGTGGAACACAAACATCACAAAACAGTTTCTGAGAATGCTTCTGTTTAGTTTTTCTGTGAAGATGAACCCGTTTCCAAGGAAATCTTCACAGAGGTCCACATATCCACTTGCAGAATCCAAAGAAAGAGAGTTTCAAAACTGCTCCATCAGCAGGATTGTTCACCTCTGTGAGTTGAATGCAGTCATCACAGGAAACATTCTGAGAATGCTTCTGTCTAGGTTTGATGTGAAGATATACCCGTTTCGAAGGAAGGCCACAAAGTGGTCCAAATATCCACTTGCAGATTCTACAAAAAGAGTGTTTGAAAGCTGAACTATGAAAGCAAGGTTCAACTCTGTGAGTTGAATGCAAACATCACAAAGAAGTTTCTCAGAATGCTTCCGTGTAGTTCTGGGAAGTTTATCCCGTTTCCAACGAAATCCTCAGAGAAGTCCAAATATCCACTTGCAGATTCTGCAGAAAGTGTGTTTGGAAACTGCTCCATCTAAAGGAATGTTCAGCTCTGTTAGCTCAATCCAATGATCACCAAGAATTGTCTGTGAATGCTTCCGTTTGGTTTTTAGATGAAGTTATTTCCTTTACTACAGTAGGCCTCAAAGCAGTCCAAATCTCCAATCGCAGATTCTACAAAAAGATTGTTTACAACCTGCTCTATCTATAGGAATGTTCAACTCTGTGAGTCGAATGCAATCATCACAAAGTAGTTTCTGAGAATGCTCCATCTAGTTTTTATGTGAAGATTTTCCTTTTGCACCACAGGCCTCAAAGCGCTCCAAATGTCCACTTGCAGATTCAAGAAAAAGAGGGTTTCAGAGCTGCTCTATCAAGAGGAAAGTTCAATTCCTGAAGTGGAACACAAACATCACAAAGCAGTTTCTGAGAATGCTCCCTGTTTAGTTTTTCTGTGAAGATGAACCCGTTTCCAACGAAATCTTCACAGAGGTCCACATATCCACTTGCAGAATCCAAAGAAAGAGAGTTTCAAAACTGCTCCATCAGCAGGATTGTTCACCTCTGTGAGTTGAATGCAGTCATCACAGGAAACATTCTGAGAATGCTTCTCTCTAGGTTTGATGTGAAGATATACCCGTTTCGAAGGAAGGCCACAAAGTGGTCCAAATATCCACTTGCAGATTCTACAAAAAGAGTGTTTGAAAGCTGAACTATGAAAGGAAGGTTCAACTCTGTGAGTTGAATGCAAACATCACAAAGAAGTTTCTCAGAATGCTTCCGTGTAGTTCTGGGAAGTTTATCCCGTTTCCAACGAAATCCTCAGAGAGGTCCAAATATCCACTTGCAGATTCTACAGAAAGTGTGTTTGGAAACTGCGCCATCTAAAGCAATGTTCAGCTCTGTTAGTTCAATGCAATGATCACTAAGAATTGTCTGTGAATGCTTCCGTTTGGTTTTTAGATGAAGTTATTTCCTTTACTACAGTAGGCCTCAAAGCAGTCCAAATCTCCAATCGCAGATTCTACAAAAAGATTGTTTACAACCTGCTCTGTCTATAGGAATGTTCAACTCTGTGAGTCGAATGCAATCATCACAAAGTAGTTTCTGAGAATGCTTCCATCTAGTTTTTATGTGAAGATTTTCCTTTTCCACCACAGGCCTCAAAGCCCTCCAAATGTCCACTTGCAGATTCTAGAATAAGAGGGTTTTAGAGCTGCTCTGTCAAGAGGAAAGTTCAATTCCTGAAGTGGAACACAAACATCACAAAGCAGTTTCTGAGAATGCTCCTGTTTAGTTTTTCTGTGAAGATGAACCCGTTTCCAACGAAATCTTCACAGAGGTCCACATATCCACTTGCAGAATCCAAAGAAAGAGAGTTTCAAAACTGCTCCATCAGCAGGATTGTTCACCTCTGTGAGTTGAATGCAGTCATCACAGGAAACATTCTGAGAATGCTTCTGTCTAGGTTTGATGTGAAGATATACCCGTTTCGAAGGAAGGCCACAAAGTGGTCCAAATATCCACTTGCAGATTCTACAAAAAGAGTGTTTGAAAGCTGAACTATGAAAGCAAGGTTCAACTCTGTGAGTTGAATGCAAACATCACAAAGAAGTTTCTCACAATGCTTCAGTGTAGTTCTGGGAAGTTTATCCCGTTTCCAACGAAATCCTCAGAGAAGTCCAAATATCCACTTGCAGATTCTACAGAAAGTGGGTTTGGAAACTGCTCCATCTAAAGGAATGTTCAGCTCTGTTAGTTCAATGCAATGATCACTAAGAATTGTCTGTGAATGCTTCCGTTTGGTTTTTAGATGAAGTTATTTCCTTTACTACAGTAGGCCTCAAAGCAGTCCAAATCTCCAATCGCAGATTCTACAAAAAGATTGTTTACAACCTGCTCTATCTATAGGAATGTTCAACTCTGTGAGTCGAATGCAATCATCACAAAGTAGTTTCTGAGAATGCTTCCATCTAGTTTTTATGTGAAGATTTTCCTTTTCCACCACAGGCATCAAAGCCCTCCAAATGTCCACTTGCAGATTCTAGAAAAAGAGGGTTTCAGAGCTGCTCTGTCAAGAGGAAAGTTCAATTCTTGAAGTGGAACACAAACATCACAAAGCAGTTTCTGAGAATGCTCCTGTTTAGTTTTCCTGTGAAGATGAACCCGTTTCCAACGAAATCTTCACAGAGGTCCACATATCCACTTGCAGAATCCAAAGAAAAAGAGTTTCAAAACTTCTCCATCAACAGGATTGTTCACCTCTATGAGTTGAATGCAGTCATCACAGGAAACATTCTGAGAATGCTTCTGTCTAGGTTTGATGTGAAGATATACCCGTTTCAAAGGAAAGCCACAAAGTGGTCCAAATATCCACTTGCAGATTCTACAAAAAGAGTGTTTGAAAGCTGAACTATGAAAGCAAGGTTCAACTCTGTGAGTTGAATGCAAACATCACAAAGAAGTTTCTCACAATGCTTCCGTGTAGTTCTGGGAAGTTTATCCCGTTTCCAACGAAATCCTCAGAGAAGTCCAAATATCCACTTGCAGATTCTACAGAAAGTGTGTTTGGAAACTGCGCCATCTAAAGGAATGTTCAGCTCTGTTAGTTCAATGCAATGATCACTAAGAATTGTCTGTGAATGCTTCCGTTTGGTTTTTAGATGAAGTTATTTCCTTTACTACAGTAGGCCTCAAAGCAGTCCAAATCTCCAATCGCAGATTCTACAAAAAGATTGTTTACAACCTGCTCTATCTATAGGAATGTTCAACTCTGTGAGTCGAATGCAATCATCAAAAAGTAGTTTCTGAGAATGCTTCCATCTAGTTTTTATGTGAAGATTTTCCTTTTCCACCACAGGCCTCAAAGCCCTCCAAAGGTCCACTTGCAGATTCTAGAAAAAGAGGGTTTCAGAGCTGCTCTGTCAAGAGGAAAGCTCAATTCTTGAAGTGGAACACAAACATCACAAAGCAGTTTCTGAGAATGCTTCTGTTTAGTTTTTCTGTGAAGATGAACCCGTTTCCAACGAAATCTTCGCAGAGGTCCACATATCCACTTGCAGAATCCAAAGAAAGAGAGTTTCAAAACTGCTCCATCAGCAGGATTGTTCACCTCTGGGAGTTGAATGCAGTCATCACAGGAAACATTCTGAGAATGCTTCTGTCTAGGTTTGATGTGAAGATATACCTGTTTCGAAGGAAGGCCACAAAGTGGTCCAAATATCCACTTGCAGATTCTACAAAAAGAGTGTTTGAAAGCTGAAGTATGAAAGCAAGGTTCAACTCTGTGAGTTGAATGCAAACATCACAAAGAAGTTTCTCACAATGCTTCCGTGTAGTTCTGGGAAGTTTATCCCGTTTCCAACGAAATCCTCAGAGAGGTCCAAATATCCACTTGCAGATTCTACAGAAAGTGTGTTTGGAAACTGCGCCATCTAAAGGAATGTTCAGCTCTGTTAGTTCAATGCAATGATCACTAAGAATTGTCTGTGAATGCTTCCGTTTGGTTTTTAGATGAAGTTATTTCCTTTACTACAGTAGGCCTCAAAGCAGTCCAAATCTCCAATCGCAGATTCTACAAAAAGATTGTTTACAACCTGCTCTATCTATAGGAATGTTCAACTCTGTGAGTCGAATGCAATCATAACAAAGTAGTTTCTGAGAATGCTTCCATCTAGTTTTTATGTGAAGATTTTCCTTTTCCACCACAGGCCTCAAAGCCCTCCAAATGTCCACTTGCAGATTCTAGAAAAAGAGGGTTTCAGAGCTGCTCTGTCAAGAGGAAAGTTCAATTCCTAAAGTGGAACACAATCATCACAAAGCAGTTTCTGAGAATGCTTCTGTTTAGTTTTTCTGTGAAGATGAACCCGTTTCCAACGAAATCTTCCCAGAGGTCCACATATCAACTTGCAGAATCCAAAGAAAGAGAGTTTCAAAACTGCTCCATCAACAGGATTGTTCACCTATGTGAGTTGAATGCAGTCATCACAGGAAACATTCTGAGAATGCTTCTGTCTAGGTTTGATGTGAAGATATACCCGTTTCGAAGGAAGGCCACAAAGTGGTCCAAATATCCACTTGCAGATTCTACAAAAAGAGTGTTTGAAAGCTGAACTATGAAAGCAAGGTTCAACTCTGTGAGTTGAATGCAAACATCACAAAGAAGTTTCTCAGAATGCTTCCGTGTAGTTCTGGGAAGTTTATCCCGTTTCCAACGAAATCCTCAGAGAGGTCCAAATATCCACTTGCAGATTCTACAGAAAGTGTGTTTGGAAACTGCTCCATCTAAAGGAATGTTCAGCTCTGTTAGTTCAATCCAATGATCACTAAGAATTGTCTGTGAATGCTTCCGTTTGGTTTTTAGATGAAGTTATTTCCTTTACTACAGTAGGCCTCAAAGCAGTCCAAATCTCCAATCGCAGATTCTACAAAAAGATTGTTTACAACCTGCTCTATCTATAGGAATGTTCAACTCTGTGAGTCGAATGCAATCATCACAAAGTAGTTTCTGAGAATGCTTCCATCTAGTTTTTATGTGAAGATTTTCCTTTTCCACCACAGGCCTCAAAGCCCTCCAAATGTCCACTTGCAGATTCTAGAATAAGAGGGTTTTAGAGCTGCTCTGTCAAGAGGAAAGTTCAATTCCTGAAGTGGAACACAAACATCACAAAGCAGTTTCTGAGAATGCTCCTGTTTAGTTTTTCTGTGAAGATGAACCCGTTTCCAACGAAATCTTCACAGAGGTTCACATATCCACTTGCAGAATCCAAAGAAAGAGAGTTTCAAAACTGCTCCATCAGCAGGATTGTTCACCTCTGTGAGTTGAATGCAGTCATCACAGGAAACATTCTGAGAATGCTTCTGTCTAGGTTTGATGTGAAGATATACCCGTTTCGAAGGAAGGCCACAAAGTGGTCCAAATATCCACTTGCAGATTCTACAAAAAGAGTGTTTGAAAGCTGAACTATGAAAGCAAGGTTCAACTCTGTGAGTTGAATGCAAACATCACAAAGGAAGTTTCTCACAATGCTTCCGTGTAGTTCTGGGAAGTTTATCCCGTTTCCAACGAAATCCTCAGAGAAGTCCAAATATCCACTTGCAGATTCTACAGAAAGTGTGTTTGGAAACTGCTCCATCTAAAGGAATGTTCAGCTCTGTTAGTTCAATCCAATGATCACTAAGAATTGTCTGTGAATGCTTCCGTTTGGTTTTTAGATGAAGTTATTTCCTTTACTACAGTAGGCCTCAAAGCAGTCCAAATCTCCAATCGCAGATTCTACAAAAAGATTGTTTACAACCTGCTCTATCTAAGGGAATGTTCAACTCTGTGAGTCGAATGCAATCATCACAAAGTAGTTTCTGAGAATGCTTCCATCTAGTTTTTATGTGAAGATTTTCCTTTTCCACCACAGGCCTCAAAGCCCTCCAAATGTCCTCTTGCAGATTCTAGAAAAAGAGGGTTTCAGAGCTGCTCTGTCAAGAGGAAAGTTCAATTTTTGAAGTGGAACACAAACATCACAAAGCAGTTTCTGAGAATGCTTCTGTTTAGTTTTTCTGTGAAGATGAACCCGTTTCCAACGAAATTCTTCACAGAGGTCCACATATCCACTTGCAGAATCCAAAGAAAGAGAGTTTCAAAACTGCTCCATCAACAGGATTGTTCACCTCTGTGAGTTGAATGCAGTCATCACAGGAAACATTCTGAGAATGCTTCTGTCTAGGTTTGATGTGAAGATATACCCGTTTCGAAGGAAGGCCACAAAGTGGTCCAAATATCCACTTGCAGATTCTACAAAAAGAGTGTTTGAAAGCTGAACTATGAAAGCAAGGTTCAACTCTGTGAGTTGAATGCAAACATCACAAAGAAGTTTCTCAGAATGCTTCCGTGTAGTTCTGGGAAGTTTATCCCGTTTCCAACGAAATCCTCAGAGAGGTCCAAATATCCACTTGCAGATTCTACAGAAAGTGTGTTTGGAAACTGCTCCATCTAAAGGAATGTTCAGCTCTGTTAGTTCAATCCAATGATCACTAAGAATTGTCTGTGAATGCTTCCGTTTGATTTTTAGATGAAGTTATTTCCTTTACTACAGTAGGCCTCAAAGCAGTCCAAATCTCCAATCGCAGATTCTACAAAATGATTGTTTTCAACCTGCTCTATCTATAGGAATGTTCAACTCTGTGAGTCGAATGCAATCATCACAATGTAGTTTCTGAGAATGCTTCCATCTAGTTTTTATGTGAAGATTTTCCTTTTCCACCACAGGCCTCAAAGCCCTCCAAATGTCCACTTGCAGATTCTAGAAAAAGAGGGTTTCAGAGCTGCTCTGTCAAGAGGAAAGTTCAATTCCTGAAGTGGAACACAAATATCACAAAGCAGTTTCTGAGAATGCTTCTGTTTAGTTTTTCTGTGAAGATGAACCCGTTTCCAACGAAATCTTCACAGAGGTCCACATATCCACTTGCAGAATCCAAAGAAAGAGAGTTTCAAAACTGCTCCATCAGCAGGATTGTTCACCTCTGTGAGTTGAATGCAGTCATCACAGGAAACATTCTGAGAATGCTTCTGTCTAGGTTTGATGTGAAGATATACCCGTTTCGAAGGAAGGCCACAAAGTGGTCCAAATATCCACTTGCAGATTCTACAAAAAGAGTGTTTGAAAGCTGAACTATGAAAGCAAGGTTCAACTCTGTGAGTTGAATGCAAACATCACAAAGAAGTTTCTCACAATGCTTCCGTGTAGTTCTGGGAAGTTTATCCCGTTTCCAACGAAATCCTCAGAGAAGTCCTAATATCCACTTGCAGATTCTACAGAAAGTGTGTTTGGAAACTTCTCCATCTAAAGGAATGTTCAGCTCTGTTAGTTCAATGCAATGATCACTAAGAATTGTCCTGTGAATGTTTCCGTTTGGTTTTTAGATGAAGTTATTTCCTTTACTACAGTAGGCCTCAAAGCAGTCCAAATCTCCAATCGCAGATTCTACAAAAAGATTGTTTACAACCTGCTCTATCTATAGGAATGTTCAACTATGTGAGTCGAATGCAATCATCACAAAGTAGTTTCTGAGAATGCTTCCATCTAGTTTTTATGTGAAGATTTTCCTTTTCCACCACAGGCCTCAAAGCCCGCCAAATGTCCACTTGCAGATTCTAGAAAAAGAGGGTTTCAGAGCTGGTCTGTCAAGAGGAAAGTTCAATTCTTGAAGTGGAACACAAACATCACAAAGCAGTTTCTGAGAATGCTTCTGTTTAGTTTTTCTGTGAAGATGAACCCGTTTCCAACGAAATCTTCACAGAGGTCCACATATCCACTTGCAGAATCCAAAGAAAGAGAGTTTCAAAACTGCTCCATCAGCAGGATTGTTCACCTCTGTGAGTTGAATGCAGTCATCACAGGAAACATTCTGAAAATGCTTCTGTCTAGGTTTGATGTGAAGATATACCCGTTTCCAAGGAAGGCCACAAAGTGGTCCAAATATCCACTTGCAGATTCTACAAAAGGAGTGTTTGAAAGCTGAACTATGAAAGCAAGGTTCAACTCTGTGAGTTGAATGCAAACATCACAAAGAAGTTTCTCACAATGCTTCCGTGTAGTTCTGGGAAGTTTATCCTTTTCCAACGAAATCCTCAGAGAAGTCCAAATATCCACTTGCAGATTCTACAGAAAGTGTGTTTGGAAACTGCTCCACCTAAAGGAATGTTCAGCTCTGTTAGTTCAATCCAATGATCACTAAGAATTGTCTGTGAATGCTTCCGTTTGGTTTTTAGATGAAGTTATTTCCTTTACTACAGTAGGCCTCAAAGCAGTCCAAATCTCCAATCGCAGATTCTACAAAAAGATTGTTTACAACCTGCTCTATCTATAGGAATGTTCAACTCTGTGAGTCGAATGCAATCATCACAAAGTAGTTTCTGAGAATGCTTCCATCTAGTTTTTATGTGAAGATTTTCCTTTTCCACCACAGGCCTCAAAGCCCTCCAAATGTCCACTTGCAGATTCTAGAATAAGAGGGTTTCAGAGCTGCTCTGTCAAGAGGAAAGTTCAATTCCTGAAGTGGAACACAAACATCACAAAGCAGTTTCTGAGAATGCTTCTGTTTAGTTTTTCTGTGAAGATGAACCCGTTTCCAACGAAATCTTCACAGAGGTCCACATATCCACTTGCAGAATCCAAAGAAAGAGAGTTTCAAAACTGCTCCATCAGCAGGATTGTTCACCTCTGTGAGTTGAATGCAGTCATCACAGGAAACATTCTGAGAATGCTTCTGTCTAGGTTTGATGTGAAGATATACCCTTTTCGAAGGAAGGCCACAAAGTGGTCCAAATATCCACTTGCAGATTCTACAAAAAGAGTGTTTGAAAGCTGAACTATGAAAGCAAGGTGCAAATCCTGTGAGTTGAATGCAAACATCACAAAGAAGTTTCTCAGAATGCTTTCCGTGTAGTTCTGGGAAGTTTATCCCGTTTCCAACGAAATCCTCAGAGAAGTCCAAATATCCACTTGCAGATTCTACAGAAAGTGGGTTTGGAAACTGCGCCATCTAAAGGAATGTTCAGCTCTGTTAGTTCAATCCAATGATCACTAAGAATTGCCTGTGAATGCTTCCGTTTGGTTTTTAGATGAAGTTATTTCCTTTACTACAGTAGGCCTCAAAGCAGTCCAAATCTCCAATCGCAGATTCCACAAAAAGATTGTTTTCATCCTGCTCTATCTATAGGAATGTTCAACTCTGTGAGTCGAATGCAATCATCACAAAGTAGTTTCTGAGAATGCTTCCATCTAGTTTTTATGGGAAGATTTTCCTTTTCCACCACAGGCCTCAAAGCCCTCCAAATGTCCACTTGCAGATTCTAGAAAAAGAGGGTTTCAGAGCTGCTCTGTCAAGAGGAAAGTTCAATTCTTGAAGTGGAACACAAACATCACAAAGCAGTTTCTGAGAATGCTTCCTGTTTAGTTTTTCTGTGAAGATGAACCCGTTTCCAACGAAATCTTCACAGAGGTCCACATATCCACTTGCAGAATCCAAAGAAAGAGAGTTTCAAAACTGCTCCGTCAGCAGGATTGTTCACCTCTGTGAGTTGAATGCAGTCATCACAGGAAACATTCTGAGAATGCTTCTGTCTAGGTTTGATGTGAAGATATACCCGTTTCGAAGGAAGGCCACAAAGTGGTCCAAATATCCACTTGCAGATTCTACAAAAAGAGTGTTTGAAAGCTGAACTATGAAAGCAAGGTTCAACTCTGTGAGATGAATGCAAACATCACAAAGAAGTTTCTCAGCATACTTCCGTGTAGTTCTGGGAAGTTTATCCCGTTTCCAACGAAATCCTCAGAGAGGTCCAAATATCCACTTGCAGATTCTACAGAAAGTGGGTTTGGAAACTGCGCCATCTAAAGCAATGTTCAGCTCTGTTAGTTCAATGCAATGATCACTAAGAATTGTCTGTGAATGCTTCCGTTTGGTTTTTAGATGAAGTTATTTCCTTTACTACAGTAGGCCTCAAAGCAGTCCAAATCTCCAATCGCAGATTCTACAAAAAGATTGTTTACAACCTGCTCTATCTATAGGAATGTTCAACTCTGTGAGTCGAAAGCCATCATCACAAAGTAGTTTCTGAGAATGCTTCCATCTAGTTTTTATGTGAAGATTTTCCTTTTCCACCACAGGCCTCAAAGCCCTCCAAATGTCCACTTGCAGATTCTAGAAAAAGAGGGTTTCAGAGCTGCTCTGTCAAGAGGAAAGTTCAATTCTTGAAGTGGAACACAAACATCACAAAGTAGTTTCTGAGAATGCTTCTGTTTAGTTTTTCTGTGAAGATGAACCCGTTTCCAACGAAATCTTCACAGAGGTCCACATATCCACTTGCAGAATCCAAAGAAAGAGAGTTTCAAAACTGCTCCATCAGCAGGATTGTTCACCTCTGTGAGTTGAATGCAGTCATCACAGGAAACATTCTGAGAATGCTTCTGTCTAGGTTTGATGTGAAGATATACCCGTTTCAAAGGAAGGCCACAAAGTGGTCCAAATATCCACTTGCAGATTCTACAAAAAGAGTGTTTGAAAGCTGAACTATGAAAGCAAGGTTCAACTCTGTGAGTTGAATGCAAACATCACAAAGAAGTTTCTCACAATGCTTCCGTGTAGTTCTGGGAAGTTTATCCCGTTTCCAACGAAATCCTCAGAGAAGTCCAAATATCCACTTGCAGATTCTACAGAAAGTGTGTTTGGAAACTGCTCCATCTAAAGGAATGTTCAGCTCTGTTAGTTCAATCCAATGATCACTAAGAATTGTCTGTGAATGCTTCCGTTTGGTTTTTAGATGAAGTTATTTCCTTTACTACAGTAGGCCTCAAAGCAGTCCAAATCTCCAATCGCAGATTCTACAAAAAGATTGTTTACAACCTGCTCTATCTATAGGAATGTTCAACTCTGTGAGTCGAATGCAATCATCACAAAGTTTTTTCTGAGAATGCTTCCATCTAGTTTTTATGTGAATATTTTCCTTTTCCACCACAGGCCCCAAAGCCCTCCAAATGTCCACTTGCAGATTCTAGAATTCTGTCAAGAGGAAAGTTCAATTCCTGGAATGGAACACAAACATCACAAAGCAGTTTCTGAGAATGCTTCTGTTTAGTTTTTCTGTGACGATGAACCCGTTTCCAACGAAATCTTCACAGAGGTCCACATATCCACTTGCAGAATCCAAAGAAAGAGAGTTTCAAAACTGCTCCAGCAGCAGGATTGTTCACCTCTGTGAGTTGAATGCAGTCGTCACAGGAAACATTCTGAGAATGCTTCTGTCTAGGTTTGATGTGAAGATATACCCGTTTCGAAGGAAGGCCACAAAGTGGTCCAAATATCCACTTGCAGATTCTACAAAAAGAGTGTTTGAAAGCTGAACTATGAAAGCAAGGTTCAACTCTGTGAGTTGAATGCAAACATCACAAAGAAGTTTCTCACAATGCTTCCGTGTAGTTCTGGGAAGCATATCCCGTTTCCAACGAAATCCTCAGAGAAGTCCAAATATCCACTTGCAGATTCTACAGAAAGTGGGTTTGGAAACTGCTCCATCTAAAGGAATGTTCAGCTCTGTTAGTTCAATCCAATGATCACTAAGAATTTTCTGTGAATGCTTCCGTTTGGTTTTTAGATGAAGTTATTTCCTTTACTACAGTAGGCCTCAAAGCAGTCCAAATCTCCAATCGCAGATTCTACAAAAAGATTGTTTACAACCTGCTCTATCTATAGGAATGTTCAACTCTGTGAGTCGAATGCAATCATCACAAAGGAGTTTCTGAGAATGCTTCCATCTAGTTTTTATGGGAAGATTTTCCTTTTCCACCACAGGCCTCAAAGCCCTCCAAATGTCCACTTGCAGATTCTAGAAAAAGAGGGTTTCAGAGCTGCTCTGTCAAGAGGAAAGTTCAATTCTTGAAGTGGAACACAAACATCACAAAGCAGTTTCTGAGAATGTTTCTGTTTAGTTTTTCTGTGAAGATGAACCCGTTTCCAACGAAATCTTCACAGAGGTCCACATATCAACTTGCAGAATCCAAAGAAAGAGAGTTTCAAAACTGCTCCATCAACAGGATTGTTCACCTCTGTGAGTTGAATGCAGTCATCACAGGAAACACTCTGAGAATGCTTCTGTCTAGGTTTGATGTGAAGATATACCCGTTTCGAAGGAAGGCCACAAAGTGGTCCAAATATCCACTTGCAGATCCTACAAAAAGAGTGTTTGAAAGCTGAACTATGAAAGCAGGGTTCAACTCTGTGAGTTGAATGCAAACATAACAAAGAAGTTTCTCAGAATGCTTCCGTGTAGTTCTGGGAAGTTTATCCCGTTTCCAACGAAATCCTCAGAGAAGTCCAAATATCCACTTGCAGATTCTACAGAAAGTGTGTTTGGAAACTGCTCCATCTAAAGGAATCTTCAGCTCTGTTAGTTCAATCCAATGATCACTAAGAATTATCTGTGAATGCTTCCGTTTGGTTTTTAGATGAAGTTATTTCCTTTACTACAGTAGGCCTCAAAGCAGTCCAAATCTCCAATCGCAGATTCTACAAAAAGATTGTTTACAACCTGCTCTATCTATAGGAATGTTCAACTCTGTGAGTCGAATGCAATCATCACAAAGTAGTTTCTGAGAATGCTTCCATCTAGTTTTTATGTGAAGATTTTCCTTTTCCACCACTGGCCTCAAACCCTCCAAATGTCCACATGCAGATTCTAGAAAAAGAGGGTTTCAGAGCTGCTCTGTCAAGAGGAAAGTTCAATTCCTGAAGTGGAACACAAACATCATAAAGCAGTTTCTGAGAATGCTTCTGTTTAGTTTTTCTGTGAAGATGAACCCGTTTCCAACGAAATCTTCACAGAGGTCCACATATCCACTTGCAGAATCCAAAGAAAGAGAGTTTCAAAACTGCTCCATCAGCAGGATTGTTCACCTCTGTGAGTTGAATGCAGTCATCACAGGAAACATTCTGAGAATGCTTCTGTCTAGGTTTGATGTGAAGATATACCCTTTTCAAAGGAAGGCCACAAAGTGGTCCAAATATCCACTTGCAGATTCTACAAAAAGAGTGTTTGAAAGCTGAACTATGAAAGCAAGGTTCAACTCTGTGAGTTGAATGCAAACATCACAAAGAAGTTTCTCACAATGCTTCCGTGTAGTTCTGGGAAGTTTATCCCGTTTCCAAAGAAATCCTCAGAGAGGTCCAAATATCCACTTGCAGGTTCTACAGAAAGTGGGTTTGGAAACTGCTCCATCTAAAGGAATGTTCAGCTCTGTTAGTTCAATCCAATGATCACTAAGAATTGTCTGTGAATGCTTCCGTTTGGTTTTTAGATGAAGTTATTTCCTTTACTACAGTAGGCCTCAAAGCAGTCCAAATCTCCAATCGCAGATTCTACAAAAAGATTGTTTACAACCTGCTCTATCTATAGGAATGTTCAACTCTGTGAGTCGAATGCAATCATCACAAAGTAGTTTCTGAGAATGCTTCCATCTAGTTTTTATGGGAAGATTTTCCTTTTCCACCACAGGCCTCAAAGCCCTCCAAATGTCCACTTGCAGATTCTAGAAAAAGAGGGTTTCAGAGCTGCTCTGTCAAGAGGAAAGTTCAATTGCTTGAAGTGGAACACAAACATCACAAAGCAGTTTCTGAGAATGCTTCTGTTTAGTTTTTCTGTGAAGATGAACCCGTTTCCAACGAAATCTTCACAGAGGTCCACATATCCACTTGCAGAATCCAAAGAAAGAGAGTTTCAAAACTGCTCCATCAGCAGGATTGTTCACCTCTGTGAGTTGAATGCAGTCATCACAGGAAACATTCTGAGAATGCTTCTGTCTAGGTTTGATGTGAAGATGTACCCGTTTCAAAGGAAAGCCACAAAGTGGTCCAAATATCCACTTGCAGATTCTACAAAAAGAGTGTTTGAAAGCTGAACTATGAAAGCAAGGTTCAACTCTGTGAGTTGAATGCAAACATCACAAAGATGTTTCTCACAATGCTTCCGTGTAGTTCTGGGAAGTTTATCCCGTTTCCAACGAAATCCTCAGAGAAGTCCAAATATCCACTTGCAGATTCTACAGAAAGTGTGTTTGGAAACTGCGCCATCTAAAGGAATGTTCAGCTCTGTTAGTTCAATGCAATGATCACTAAGAATTGTCTGTGAATGCTTCCGTTTGGTTTTTAGATGAAGTTATTTCCTTTACTACAGTAGGCCTCAAAGCAGTCCAAATCTCCAATCGCAGATTCTACAAAAAGATTGTTTACAACCTGCTCTATGTATAGGAATGTTCAACTCTGTGAGTCGAATGCAATCATCACAAAGTAGTTTCTGAGAATGCTTCCATCTAGTTTTTATGTGAAGATTTTCCTTTTCCACCACAGGCCTCAAAGCCCTCCAAATGTCCACTTGCAGATTCTAGAATAAGAGGGTTTCAGAGCTGCTCTGTCAAGAGGAAAGTTCAATTCCTGAAGTGGAACACAAACATCACAAAGCAGTTTCCGAGAATGCTTCTGTTTAGTTTTTCTGTGAAGATGAACCCGTTTCCAACGAAATCTTCACAGAGGTCCACATATCCACTTGCAGAATCCAAAGAAAGAGAGTTTCAAAACTGCTCCATCAGCAGGATTGTTCACCTCTGTGAGTTGAATGCAGTCATCACAGGAAACATTCTGAGAATGCTTCTGTCTAGGTTTGATGTGAAGATATACCCGTTTCGAAGGAAGGCCACAAAGTGGTCCAAATATCCACTTGCAGATTCTACAAAAAGAGTGTTTGAAAGCTGAACTATGAAAGCAAGTTTCAACTCTGTGAGTTGAATGCAAACATCACAAAGAAGTTTCTCAGAATGCTTCCGTGTAGTTCTGGGAAGTTTATCCCGTTTCCAACGAAATCCTCAGAGAAGTCCAAATATCCACTTGCAGATTCTACAGAAAGTGGGTTTGGCAACTGCTCCATCTAAAGGAATGTTCAGCTCTGTTAGTTCAATCCAATGGTCACTAAGAATTGTCTGTGAATGCTTCCGTTTGGTTTTTAGATGAAGTTATTTCCTTAACTACAGTAGGCCTCAAAGCAGTCCAAATCTCCAATCGCAGATTCTACAAAAAGATTGTTTACAACCTGCTCTATATATAGGAATGTTCAACTCTGTGAGTCGAATGCAATCATCACAAAGTAGTTTCTGAGAATGCTTCCATCTAGTTTTTATGTGAAGATTTTCCTTTTCCACCACAGGCCTCAAAGCCCTCCAAATGTCCACTTGCAGATTCTAGAAAAAGAGGGTTTCAGAGCTGCTCTGTCAAGAGGAAAGTTCAATTCTTGAAGTGGAACACAAACATCACAAAGTAGTTTCTGAGAATGCTCCTGTTTAGTTTTTCTGTGAAGATGAACCCGTTTCCAACGAAATCTTCACAGAGGTCCACATATCCACTTGCAGAATCCAAAGAAAGAGAGTTTCAAAACTGCTCCATCAGCAGGATTGTTCACCTCTGTGAGTTGAATGCAGTCATCACAGGAAACATTCTGAGAATGCTTCTGTCTAGGTTTGATGTGAAGATATACCCGTTTCGAAGGAAGGCCACAAAGTGGTCCAAATATCTACTTGCAGATTCTACAAAAAGAGTGTTTGAAAGCTGAACTATGAAAGCAAGGTTCAACTCTGTGAGTTGAATGCAAACATCACAAAGAAGTTTCTCAGAATGCTTCCGTGTAGTTCTGGGAAGCATATCCCGTTTCCAACGAAATCCTCAGAGAAGTCCAAATATCCACTTGCAGATTCTACAGAAAGTGGGTTTGGAAACTGCACCATCTAAAGGAATGTTCAGCTCTGTTAGTTCAATCCAATGATCACTAAGAATTTTCTGTGAATGCTTCCGTTTGGTTTTTAGATGAAGTTATTTCCTTTAGTACCGTAGGCCTCAATGCAGTCCAAATCAGCAATCGCAGATTCTACAAAAAGAGTGTTTACAAACTGCTTTCTCCATTGGAAGGTTTAACTCTGTGAGTCGAATGCAATCATCACAAAGTAGATTCTCAGAATGCTTCTATCTAGTTATTATATGCAGATATTTACGTTTCCGCCAAAGGCCCCAAAACCCTCCAAATGTCCACTTGCAGATTCTGGAAAAACAATGTTTCATAGCTGCTCTGTCAAGAGGAAAGGTCAACTCTGCAAGTTGAACACAAACATCACAAAGTTGTTTCTGAGAATGCTTCTGTTTAGTTTTTCTTTGAAGATGAACCCTTTTCCAACGAAATCTTCAAAGAGGTCCACATATCCACTTTCAGATTCCAGAGAAAGAGAGATTCAAAACTGCTCCATCAACAGGATTGTTCACCTCTGTGCGTTGAATGCAGTCATCACAGGAAACATTCTGAGAATGCTTCTGTCTAGGTTTGATGTGAAGATATTCCCGTTTCGAAGGAAGGCCACAAAGTGGTCCAAATATCCACTTGCAGATTCTACAAAAAGAGTGTTTGGAAGCTGAACTATGAAAGCAAGGTTCAAGTCTGTGAGTTGAATGCAACATCACAAAGAAGTTTCTGAGAATGCTTGTGTGTGGTTCTGGGATTTTATCCCGTTTCCAACGAAATCCTCAGAGAGGTCCAAATATCCACTTGCAGATTCTAGAGATAGTGTGTTTGGAAACTGCGCCATCTAAAGGAATGTTCAGGTCTCTTAGTTCAATCCAATGATCACAAAGAATTGTCTGTGAATGCTTCCGTTTGGTTTTTAGATGAAGTTATTTCCTTTACTACAGTAGGCCTCAAAGCAGTCCAAATCTCCAATCTCAGATTCTACAAAAAGATTGTTTACAACCTGCTCTATCTATAGGAATGTTCAACTCTGTGAGTCGAATGCAATCATCACAAAGTAGTTTCTGAGAATGCTTCCATCTAGTTTTTATGTGAAGATTTTCCTTTTCCACCATAGGCCTCAAAGCCCTCCAAATGTCCACTTGCAGATTCTAGAAAAAGAGGGTTTCAGAGCTGCTCTGTCAAGAGGAAAGTTCAATTCTTGAAGTGGAACACAAACATCACAAAGCAGTTTCTGAGAATGCTTCTGTTTAGTTTTTCTGTGAAGATGAACCCGTTTCCAACGAAATCTTCACAGAGGTCCACATATCCACTTGCAGAATCCAAAGAAAGAGAGTTTCAAAACTGCTCCATCAGCAGGATTGTTCACCTCTGTGAGTTGAATGCAGTCATCACAGGAAACATTCTGAGAATGCTTCTGTCTAGGTTTGATGTGAAGATATACCCGTTTCGAAGGAAGGCCACAAAGTGGTCCAAATATCCACTTGCAGATTCCACAAAAAGAGTGTTTGAAAGCTGAACTATGAAAGCAAGGTTCAACTCTGTGAGTTGAATGCTAACATCACAGAGAAGTTTCTCACAATGCTTCCGTGTAGTTCTGGGAAGTTTATCCCGTTTCCAACGAAATCCTCAGAGAAGTCCAAATATCCACTTGCAGATTCTACAGAAAGTGTGTTTGGAAACTGCTCCATCTAAAGGAATGTTCAGCTCTGTTAGTTCAATCCAATGATCACTAAGAATTGTCTGTGAATGCTTCCGTTTGGTTTTTAGATGAAGTTATTTCCTTTACTACAGTAGGCCCCAAAGCAGTCCAAATCTCCAATCGCAGATTCTACAAAAAGATTGTTTACAACCTGCTCTATCTATAGGAATGTTCAACTCTGTGAGTCGAATGCAATCATCACAAAGTAGTTTCTGAGAATGCTTCCATCTAGTTTTTATGTGAAGATTTTCCTTTTCCACCACAGGCCTCAAAGCCCTCCAAATGTCCACTTGCAGATTCTAGAATAAGAGGGTTTCAGAGCTGCTCTGTTAAGAGGAAAGTTCAATTCCTGAAGTGGAACACAAACATCACAAAGCAGTTTCTGAGAATGCTCCTGTTTAGTTTTTCTGTGAAGATGAACCCGTTTCCAACGAAATCTTCACAGAGTTCCACATATCCACTTGCAGAATCCAAAGAAAGAGAGTTTCAAAACTGCTCCATCAACAGGATTGTTCACCTCTGTGTGTTGAATGCAGTCATCACAGGAAACATTCTGAGAATGCTTCTGTCTAGGTTTGATGTGAAGATATACCCGTTTCGAAGGAAGGCCACAAAGTGGTCCAAATATCCACTTGCAGATTCTACAAAAAGAGTGTTTGAAAGCTGAACTATGAAAGCAAGTTTCAACTCTGTGAGTTGAATGCAAACATCACAAAGAAGTTTCTCAGAATGCTTCCGTGTAGTTCTGGGAAGTTTATCCCGTTTCCAACGAAATCCTCAGAGAAGTCCAAATATCCCCTTGCAGATTCTACAGAAAGTGGGTTTGGAAACTGCTCCATCTAAAGGAATGTTCAGCTCTGTTAGTTCAATCCAATAATCACTAAAAATTGTCTGTGAATGCTTCCGTTTGGTTTTTAGATGAAGTTATTTCCTTTACTACAGTAGGCCTCAAAGCAGTCCAAATCTCCAATCGCAGATTCTACAAAAAGATTGTTTACAACCTGCTCTATCTATAGGAATGTTCAACTCTGTGAGTCGAATGCAATCATCACAAAGTAGTTTCTGAGAATGCTTCCATCTAGTTTTTATGTGAAGATTTTCCTTTTCCACCACAGGCCTCAAAGCCCTCCAAATGTCCACTTGCAGATTCTAGAAAAAGAGGGTTTCAGAGCTGCTCAGTCAAGAGGAAAGTTCAATTCCTGAAGTGGAACACAAACATCACAAAGCAGTTTCTGAGAATGCTTCTGTTTAGTTTTTCTGTGAAGATGAACCCGTTTCCAACGAAATCTTCACAGAGGTCCACATATCCACTTGCAGAATCCAAAGAAAGAGAGTTTCAAAACTGCTCCATCAGCAGGATTGTTCACCTCTGTGAGTTGAATGCAGTCATCACAGGAAACATTCTGAGAATGCTTCTGTCTAGGTTTGATGTGAAGATATACCCGTTTCGAAGGAAGGCCACAAAGTGGTCCAAATATCCACTTGCAGATTCTACAAAAAGAGTGTTTGAAAGCTGACCTATGAAAGCAAGGTTCAACTCTGTGAGTTGAATGCAAACATCACAAAGAAGTTTCTCACAATGCTTCCGTGTAGTTCTGGGAAGTTTATCCCCTTTCCAACGAAATCCTCAGAGAAGTCCAAATATCCACTTGCAGATTCTACAGAAAGTGTGTTTGGAAACTGCTCCATCTAAAGGAATGTTCAGCTCTGTTAGTTCAATCCAATGATCACTAAGAATTGTCTGTGAATGCTTCCGTTTGGTTTTTAGATGAAGTTATTTCCTTTACTACAGTAGGCCTCAAAGCAGTCCAAATCTCCAATCGCAGATTCTACAAAAACATTGTTTACAACCTGCTCTATCTATAGGAATGTTCAACTCTGTGAGTCGAATGTAATCATCACAAAGTAGTTTCTGAGAATGCTTCCATCTAGTTTTTATGTGAAGATTTTCCTTTTCCACCACAGGCCTCAAAGCCCTCCAAATGTCCACTTGCAGATTCTAGAAAAAGAGGGTTTCAGAGCTGCTCTGTCAAGAGGAAAGTTGAATTCTTGAAGTGGAACACAAACATCACAAAACAGTTTCTGAGAATGGTCCTGTTTAGTTTTTCTATGAAGAGAACCCGTTTCCAACGAAATCTTCACAGAGGTCCACATATCCACTTGCAGAATCCAAAGAAAGAGAGTTTCAAAACTGCTCCATCAGCAGGATTGTTCACCTCTGTGAGTTGAATGCAGTCATCACAGGAAACATTCTGAGAATGCTTCTGTCTAGGTTTGATGTGAAGATATACCCGTTTCGAAGGAAGGCCACAAAGTGGTCCAAATATCCACTTGCAGATTCTACAAAAAGAGTGTTTGAAAGCTGAACTATGAAAGCAAGGTTCAACTCTGTGAGTTGAATGCAAACATCACAAAGAAGTTTCTCACAATGCTTCCCTGGTAGTTCTGGGAAGTTTATCCCGTTTCCAACGAAATCCTCAGAGAAGTCCAAATATCCACTTGCAGATTCTACAGAAAGTGTGTTTGGAAACTGCTCCATCTAAAGGAATGTTCAGCTCTGTTAGTTCAATCCAATGATCACTAAGAATTGTCTGTGAATGCTTCCGTTTGGTTTTTAGATGAAGTTATTTCCTTTACTACAGTAGGCCTCAAAGCAGTCCAAATCTCCAATCGCAGATTCTACAAAAAGATTGTTTACAACCTGCTCTATCTATAGGAATGTTCAACTCTGTGAGTCGAATGCAATCATCACAAAGTAGTTTCTGAGAATGCTTCCATCTAGTTATTATGTGAAGATTTTCCTTTTCCAGCACAGGCCTCAAAGCCCTCCAAATGTCCACTTGCAGATTCTAGAATAAGAGGGTTTCAGAGCTGCTCTGTCAAGAGGAAAGTTGAATTCCTGAAGTGGAACACAAACATCACAAAGCAGTTTCTGAGAATGCTTCTGTTTAGTTTTTCTTTGAAGATGAACCCTTTTCCAACGAAATCTTCAAAGAGGTCCACATATCCACTTTCAGATTCCAGAGAAAGAGAGATTCAAAACTGCTCCATCAACAGGATTGTTCACCTCTGTGCGTTGAATGCAGTCTTCACAGGAAACATTCTGAGAATGCTTCTGTCTAGGTTTCATGTGAAGATATACCCGTTTCGAAGGAAGGCCACAAAGTGGTCCAAATATCCACTTGCAGAGTCTACAAAAAGAGTGTTTGAAAGCTGAACTATGAAAGCAAGGTTCAACTCTGTGAGTTGAATGCAAACATCACAAAGAAGTTTCTCAGAATGCTTCCATGTAGTTCTGGGAAGTTTATCCCGTTTCCAACGAAATCCTCAGAGAGGTCCAAATATCCACTTGCAGATTCTACAGAAAGTGTGTTTGGAAACTGTGCCATCTAAAGGAATGTTCAGCTCTGTTAGTTCAATCCAATGATCACTAAGAATTTTCTGTGAATGCTTCCGTTTGGTTTTTAGATGAAGTTATTTCCTTTACTACAGTAGGCCTCAAAGCAGTCCAAATCTCCAATCGCAGATTCTACAAAAAGATTGTTTACAACCTGCTCTATCTATAGGAATGTTCAACTCTGTGAGTCGAATGCAATCATCACAAAGTAGTTTCTGAGAATGCTTCCATCTAGTTTTTATGTGAAGATTTTCCTTTTGCACCACAGGCCTCAAAGCCCTCCAAATGTCCACTTGCAGATTCTAGAAAAAGAGGGTTTCAGAGCTGCTCTTTCAAGAGGAAAGTTCAATTCCTGAAGTGGAACACAAACATCACAAAGCAGTTTCTGAGAATGCTTCTGTTTAGTTTTTCTGTGAAGATGAACCCGTTTCCAACGAAATCTTCACAGAGGTCCACATATCCACTTGCAGAATCCAAAGAAAGAGAGTTTCAAAACTGCTCCATCAGCAGGATTGTTCACCTCTGTGAGTTGAATGCAGTCATCACAGGAAGCATTCTGAGAATGCTTCTGTCTAGGTTTGATGTGAAGATATACCCGTTTCGAAGGAAGGCCACAAAGTGGTCCAAATATCCACTTGCAGATTCTACAAAAAGAGTGTTTGAAAGCTGAACTATGAAAGCAAGGTTCAACTCTGTGAGTTGAATGCAAACATCACAAAGAAGTTTCTCACAATGCTTCCGTGTAGTTCTGGGAAGTTTATCCCGTTTCCAACGAAATCCTCAGAGAAGTCCAAATATCCACTTGCAGATTCTACAGAAAGTGTGTTTGGAAACTGCTCCATCTAAAGGAATGTTCAGCTCTGTTAGTTCAATCCAATGATCACTAAGAATTGTCTGTGAATGTTTCCGTTAGGTTTTTAGATGAAGTTATTTCCTTTACTACAGTAGGCCTCAAAGCAGTCCAAATCTCCAATCGCAGATTCTACAAAAAGATTGTTTACAACCTGCTCTATGTATAGGAATGTTCAACTCTGTGAGTCGAATGCAATCATCACAAAGTAGTTTCTGAGAATGCTTCCATCTAGTTTTTATGTGAAGATTTTCCTTTTCCACCACAGGCCTCAAAGCCCTACAAATGTCCACTTGCAGATTCTAGAAAAAGAGGGTTTCAGAGCTGCTCTGTCAAGAGGAAAGTTCAATTCCTGAAGTGGAACACAAACATCACAATGCAGTTTCTGAGAATGCTTCTGTTTAGTTTTTCTGTGAAGATGAACCCGTTTCCAACGAAATCTTTACAGAGGTCCACATATCCACTTGCAGAATCCAAAGAAAGAGAGTTTCAAAACTGCTCCATCAACAGGATTGTTCACCTCTGTGAGTTGAATGCAATCATCACAGGAAACATTCTGAGAATGCTTCTGTCTAGGTTTGATGTGAAGATATACCCGTTTCGAAGGAAGGCCACAAAGTGGTCCAAATATCCACTTGCAGATTCTACAAAAAGAGTGTTTGAAAGCTGAACTATGAAAACAAGGTTCAACTCTGTGAGTTGAATGCAAACATCACAAAGAAGTTTCTCACAATGCTTCCGTGTAGTTCTGGGAAGTTTATCCCGTTTCCAACGAAATCCTCAGAGAAGTCCAAATATCCACTTGCAGATTCTACAGAAAGTGTGTTTGGAAACTTCTCCATCTAAAGGAATGTTCAGCTCTGTTAGTTCAATGCAATGATCACTAAGAATTGTCTGTGAATGCTTCCGTTTGGTTTTTAGATGAAGTTATTTCCTTTACTACAGTAGGCCTCAAAGCAGTCCAAATCTCCAATCGCAGATTCTACAAAAAGATTGTTTACAACCTGCTCTATCTATAGGAATGTTCAACTATGTGAGTCGAATGCAATCATCACAAAGTAGTTTCTGAGAATGCTTCCATCTATTTTTTATGTGAAGATTTTCCTTTTCCACCACAGGCATCAAAGCCCTCCAAATGTCCACTTGCAGATTCTAGAAGAAGAGGGTTTCAGAGCTGCTCTGTCAAGAGGAAAGTTCAATTCTTGAAGTGGAACACAAACATCACAAAGCAGTTTCTGAGAATGCTCCTGTTTAGTTTTTCTGTGAAGATGAACCCGTTTCCAACGAAATCTTCACAGAGGTCCACATATCCACTTGCAGAATCCAAAGAAAGAGAGTTTCAAAACTGCTCCATCAACAGGATGGTTCACCTCTGTGAGTTGAATGCAGTCATCACAGGAAACATTCTGAGAATGCTTCTGTCTAGGTTTCATGTGAAGATATACCCGTTTCGAAGGAAGGCCACAAAGTGGTCCAAATATCCACTTGCAGATTCTACAAAAAGAGTGTGTGAAAGCTGAACTATGAAAGCAAGGTTCAACTCTGTGAGTTGAATGCAAACATCACAAAGAAGTTTCTCAGAATGCTTCCGTGTAGTTCTGGGAAGTTTATCCCGTTTCCAACGAAATCCTCAGAGAGGTCCAAATATCCACTTGCAGATTCTACAGAAAGTGTGTTTGGAAACTGCACCATCTAACGGAATTTTCAGCTCTGTTAGTTCAATCCAATGATCACTAAGAATTGTCTGTGAATGCTTCCGTTTGGTTTTTAGATGAAGTTATTTCCTTTACTACAGTAGGCCTCAAAGCAGTCCAAATCTCCAATCGCAGATTCTACAAAAAGATTGTTTACAACCTGCTCTATCTATAGGAATGTTCAACTCTGTGAGTCGAATGCAATCATCACAAAGGAGTTTCTGAGAATGCTTCCATCTAGTTTTTATGTGAAGATTTTCCTTTTCCACCACAGGCCTCAAAGCCCTCCAAATGTCCACTTGCAGAACTAGAATAAGAGGGTTTCAGAGCTGCTCTGTCAAGAGGAAAGTTCAATTCCTGAAGTGGAACACAAACATCACAAAGCAGTTTCTGAGAATGCTTCTGTTTAGTTTTTATGTGAAGATGAACCCGTTTCCAACGAAAACTTCAAAGAGGTCCACATATCCACTTGCAGATTACAAAGAAAGAGAGTTTCGAAACTGCTCCATCAACAGGATTGTTCACCTCTGTGAGTTGAATGCAGTCATCACAGGAAACATTCTGAGAATGCTTCTGTCTAGGTTTGATGTGAAGATATACCCGTTTCGAAGGAAGGCCACAAAGTGGTCCAAATATCCACTTGCAGATTCTACAAAAAGAGTGTTTGAAAGCTGAACTATGAAAGCAAGGTTCAACTCTGTGAGTTGAATGCAAACATCACAAAGAAGTTTCTCACAATGCTTCCGTGTAGTTCTGGGAAGTTTATCCCGTTTCCAACGAAATCCTCAGAGAAGTCCAAATATCCACTTGCAGATTCTACAGAAAGTGGGTTTGGAAACTGCTCCATCTAAAGGAATGTTCAGCTCTGTTAGTTCAATCCAATGATCACTAAGAATTGTCTGTGAATGCTTCCGTTTGGTTTTTAGATGAAGTTATTTCCTTTACTACAGTAGGCCTCAAAGCAGTCCAAATCTCCAATCGCAGATTCTACAAAAAGATTGTTTACAACCTGCTCTATCTATAGGAATGTTCAACTCTGTGAGTCGAAAGCCATCATCACAAAGTAGTTTCTGAGAATGCTTCCATCTAGTTTTTATGTGAAGATTTTCCTTTTCCACCACAGGCCTCAAAGCCCTCCAAATGTCCACTTGCAGATTCTAGAAAAAGAGGGTTTCAGAGCTGCTCTGTCAAGAGGAAAGTTCAATTCTTGAAGTGGAACACAAACATCACAAAGCAGTTTCTGAGAATGCTCCTGTTTAGTTTTTCTGTGAAGATGAACACGTTTCCAACGAAATCTTCACAGAGGTCCACATATCCACTTGCAGAATCCAAAGAAAGAGAGTTTCAAAACTGCTCCATCAGCAGGATTGTTCACCTCTGTGAGTTGAATGCAGTCATCAGAGGAAACATTCTGAGAATGCTTCTGTCTAGGTTTGATGTGAAGATATACCCGTTTCAAAGGAAGGCCACAAAGTGGTCCAAATATCCACTTGCAGATTCTACAAAAAGAGTGTTTGAAAGCTGAACTATGAAAGCAAGGTTCAACTCTGTGAGTTGAATGCAAACATCACAAAGAAGTTTCTCACAATGCTTCCGTGTAGTTCTGGGAAGTTTAGCCCGTTTCCAACGAAATCCTCAGAGAGGTCCAAATATCCAGTGGCAGATTCTACAGAAAGTGTGTTTGGAAACTGCGCCATCTAAAGGAATGTTCAGCTCTGTTAGTTCAATCCAATGATCACTAAGAATTGTCTGTGAATGCTTCCGTTTGGTTTTTAGATGAAGTTATTTCCTTTACTACAGTAGGCCTCAAAGCAGTCCAAATCTCCAATCGCAGATTCTACAAAAGATTGTTTACAACCTGCTCTATCTATAGGAATGTTCAACTCTGTGAGTCGAATGCAATCATCACAAAGTAGTTTCTGAGAATGCTTCCATCTAGTTTTTATGTGAAGATTTTCCTTTTCCACCACAGGCCTCAAAGCCCTCCAAATGTCCACTTGCATATTCTAGAAAAAGAGGGTTTCAGAGCTGCTCTGTCAAGAGCAAAGTTCAATTCTTTAAGTGGAACACAAACATCACAAAGCAGTTTCTGAGAATGCTCCTGTTTAGTTTTTCTGTGAAGATGAACCCCTTTCCAACGAAATCTTCACAGAGGTCCACATATCCACTTGCAGAATCCAAAGAAAGAGAGTTTCAAAACTGCTCCATCAGCAGGATTGTTCACCTCTGTGAGTTGAATGCAGTCATCACAGGAAACATTCTGAGAATGCTTCTGTCTAGGTTTGATGTGAAGATATACCCGTTTCGAAGGAAGGCCACAAAGTGGTCCAAATATCCACTTGCAGATTCTAAAAAAAGAGTGTTTGAAAGCTGAACTATGAAAGCAAGGTTCAACTCTGTGAGTTGAATGCAAACATCACAAAGAAGTTTCGCACAATGCTTCCGTGTAGTTCTGGGAAGTTTATCCCGTTTCCAACGAAATCCTCAGAGAGGTCCAAATATCCACTTGCAGATTCTACAGAAAGTGTGTTTGGAAACTGCGCCATCTAAAGGAATGTTCAGCTCTGTTAGTTCAATGCAATGATCACTAAGAATTGTCTGTGAATGCTTCCGTTTGGTTTTTAGATGAAGTTATTTCCTTTACTACAGTAGGCCTCAAAGCAGTCAAAATCTCCAATCGCAGATTCTACAAAAAGATTGTTTTCAACCTGCTCTATCTATAGGAATGTTCAACTCTGTGAGTCGAATGCAATCATCACAAAGTAGTTTCTGAGAATGCTTCCATCTAGTTTTTATGTGAAGATTTTCCTTTTCCACCACAGGCCTCAAAGCCCTCCAAATGTCCACTTGCAGATTCTAGAAAAAGAGGGTTTCAGAGCTGCTCTGTCAAGAGGAAAGTTCAATTCCTGAAGTGGAACACAAACATCACAAAGCAGTTTCTGAGAATGTTCCTGTTTAGTTTTTCTGTGAAGATGAACACGTTTCCAACGAAATCTTCACAGAGGTCCACATATCCACTTGCAGAATCCAAAGAAAGAGAGTTTCAAAACTGCTCCATCAGCAGGATTGTTCACCTCTGTGGGTTGAATGCAGTCATCAGAGGAAACATTCTGAGAATGCTTCTGTCTAGGTTTGATGTGAAGATATACCCGTTTCGAAGGAAGGCCAGAAAGTGGTCCAAATATCCACTTGCAGATTCTACAAAAAGAGTGTTTGAAAGCTGAACTATGAAAGCAAGGTTCAACTCTGTGAGTTGAATGCAAACATCACAAAGAAGTTTCTCAGAATGCTTCCGTGTAGTTCTGGGAAGTATATCCCGTTTCCAACGAAATCCTCAGAGAAGTCCAAATATCCACTTGCAGATTCTACAGAAAGTGGGTTTGGAAACTGCTCCATCTAAAGGAATGTTCAGCTCTGTTAGTTCAATGCAATGATCACTAAGAATTGTCTGTGAATGCTTCCGTTTGGTTTTTAGATGAAGTTATTTCCTTTACTACAGTAGGCCTCAAAGCAGTCCAAATCTCCAATCGCAGATTCTACAAAAAGATTGTTTACAACCTGCTCTATCTATAGGAATGTTCAACTCTGTGAGTCGAATGCAATCATCACAAAGTAGTTTCTGAGAATGCTTCCATCTAGTTTTTATGTGAAGATTTTCCTTTTCCACCACAGGCCTCAAAGCCCTCCAAATGTCCACTTGCAGATTCTAGAAAAAGAGGGTTTCAGAGCTGCTCTGTCAAGAGGAAAGTTCAATTCTTGAAGTGGAACACAAACATCACAAAGCAGTTTCTGAGAATGCTTCTGTTTAGTTTTTCTGTGAAGATGAACCCGTTTCCAACGAAATCTTCACAGAGGTCGACATATCCACTTGCAGAATCCAAAGAAAGAGAGTTTCAAAACTGCTCCATCAGCAGGATTGTTCACCTCTGTGAGTTGAATGCAGTCATCACAGGAAACATTCTGAGAATGCTTCTGTCTAGGTTTGATGTGAAGATATACCCGTTTCGAAGGAAGGCCACAAAGTGGTCCAAATATCCACTTGCAGATTCTACAAAAAGAGTGTTTGAAAGCTGAACTATGAAAGCAAGGTTCAACTCTGTGAGTTGAATGCAAACATCACAAAGAAGTTTCTCAGAATGCTTCCGTGTAGTTCTGGGAAGTTTATCCCGTTTCCAACGAAATCCTCAGAGAGGTCCAAATATCCACTTGCAGATTCTACAGAAAGTGTGTTTGGAAACTGCGCCATCTAAGGGAATGTTCAGCTCTGTTAGTTCAATCCAATGATCACTAAGAATTGTCTGTGAATGCTTCCGTTTGGTTTTTAGATGAAGTTATTTCCTTTACTACAGTAGGCCTCAAAGCAGTCCAAATCTCCAATCGCAGATTCTACAAAAAGATTGTTTACAACCTGCTCTATCTATAGGAATGTTCAACTCTGTGAGTCGAATGCAATCATCACAAAGTAGTTTCTGAGAATGCTTCCATAAAGTTTTTATGTGAAGATTTTCCTTTTCCACCACAGGCCTCAAAGCCCTCCAAATGTCCACTTGCAGATTCTAGAAAAAGAGGGTTTCAGAGCTGCTCTGTCAAGAGGAAAGTTCAATTCTTTAAGTGGAACACAAACATCACAAAGCAGTTTCTGAGAATGCTCCTGTTTAGTTTTTCTGTGAAGATGAACCCGTTTCCAACGAAATCTTCACAGAGGTCCACATATCCACTTGCAGAATCCAAAGAAAGAGAGTTTCAAAACTGCTCCATCAACAGGATTGTTCACCTCTGTGAGTTGAATGCAGTCATCACAGGAAACATTCTGAGAGTGCTTCTGTCTAGGTTTGATGTGAAGATATACCCGTTTCGAAGGAAGGCCACAAAGTGGTCCAAATATCCACTTGCAGATTCTACAAAAAGAGTGTTTGAAAGCTGAACTATGAAAGCAAGGTTCAACTCTGTGAGTTGAATGCAAACATCACAAAGAAGTTTCTCACAATGCTTCCCTGTAGTTCTGGGAAGTTTATCCCGTTTCCAACGAAATCCTCAGAGAGGTCCAAATATCCACTTGCAGATTCTACAGAAAGTGGGTTTGGAAACTGCTCCATCTAAAGGAATGTTCAGCTCTGTTAGTTCAATCCAATGATCACTAAGAATTGTCTGTGAATGCTTCCGTTTGGTTTTTAGATGAAGTTATTTCCTTTACTACAGTAGGCCTCAAAGCAGTCCAAATCTCCAATCGCAGATTCTACAAAAAGATTGTTTACAACCTGCTCTATCTATAGGAATGTTCAACTCTGTGAGTCGAATGCAATCATCACAAAGTAGTTTCTGAGAATGCTTCCATCTAGTTTTTATGTGAAGATTTTCCTTTTCCACCACAGGCCTCAAAGCCCTCCAAATGTCCACTTGCAGATTCTAGAAAAAGAGGGTTTCAGAGCTGCTCTGTCAAGAGGAAAGTTCAATTCTTGAAGTGGAACACAAACATCACAAAGCAGTTTCTGAGAATGCTTCTGTTTAGTTTTTCTGTGAAGATGAACCCGTTTCCAACGAAATCTTCACAGAGGTCCACATATCCACTTGCAGAATCCAAAGAAAGAGAGTTTCAAAACTGCTCCATCAGCAGGATTGTTCATCTCTGTGAGTTGAATGCAGTCATCACAGGAAACATTCTGAGAATGCTTCTGTCTAGGTTTGATGTGAAGATATACCCGTTTCGAAGGAAGGCCACAAAGTGGTCCAAATATCCACTTGTAGATTCTACAAAAGGAGTGTTTGAAAGCTGAACTATGAAAGCAAGGTTCAACTCTGTGAGTTGAATGCAAACATCACAAAGAAGTTTCTCACAATGCTTCCGTGTAGTTCTGGGAAGTTTATCCCGTTTCCAACGAAATCCTCAGAGAGGTCCAAATATCCACTTGCAGATTCTACAGAAAGTGTGTTTGGAAACTGCGCCATCTAAAGGAATGTTCAGCTCTGTTAGTTCAATGCAATGATCACTAAGAATTGTCTGTGAATGCTTCCGTTTGGTTTTTAGATGAAGTTATTTCCTTTACTACAGTAGGCCTCAAAGCAGTCCAAATCTCCAATCGCAGATTCTACAAAAAGATTGTTTACAACCTGCTCTATCTATAGGAATGTTCAACTCTGTGAGTCGAATGCAATCATCACAAAGTAGTTTCTGAGAATGCTTCCATCTAGTTTTTATGGGAAGATTTTCCTTTTCCACCACAGGCCTCAAAGCCCTCCAAATGTCCACTTGCAGATTCTAGAAAAAGAGGGTTTCAGAGCTGCTCTGTCAAGAGGAAAGTTCAATTCTTGAAGTGGAACACAAACATCACAAAGCAGTTTCTGAGAATGCTTCTCTTTAGTTTTTCTGTGAAGATGAACCCGTTTCCAACGAAATCTTCACAGAGGTCCACATATCCACTTGCAGAATCCAAAGAAAGAGAGTTTCAAAACTGCTCCATCAGCAGGATTGTTCACCTCTGTGAGTTGAATGCAGTCATCACAGGAAACATTCTGAGAATGCTTCTGTCTAGGTTTGATGTGAAGATATACCCGTTTCGAAGGAAGGCCACAAAGTGGTCCAAATATCCACTTGCAGATTCTACAAAAAGAGTGTTTGAAAGCTGAACTATGAAAGCAAGGTTCAACTCTGTGAGTTGAATGCAAACATCACAAAGAAGTTTCTCACAATGCTTCCGTGTAGTTCTGGGAAGTTTATCCCGTTTCCAACGAAATCCTCAGAGAAGTCCAAATATCCACTTGCAGATTCTACAGAAAGTGTGTTTGGAAACTGCTCCATCTAAAGGAATGTTCAGCTCTGTTAGTTCAATGCAATGATCACTAAGAATTGTCTGTGAATGCTTCCGTTTGGTTTTTAGATGAAGTTATTTCCTTTACTACAGTAGGCCTCAAAGCAGTCCAAATCTCCAATCGCAGATTCTACAAAAAGATTGTTTACAACCTGCTCTATCTATAGGAATGTTTAACTCTGTGAGTCGAATGCAATCATCACAAAGTAGTTTCTGAGAATGCTTCCATCTAGTTTGTATGTGAAGATTTTCCTTTTCCACCACAGGCCTCAAAGCCCTCCAAATGTCCACTTGCAGATTCTAGAATAAGAGGGTTTCAGAGCTGCTCTGTCAAGAGGAAAGTTCAATTCTTGAAGTGGAACACAAACATCACAAAGCAGTTTCTGAGAATGCTCCTGTTTAGTTTTTCTGTGAAGATGAACCCGTTTCCAACGAAATCTTCACAGAGGTCCACATATCCACTTGCAGAATCCAAAGAAAGGGAGT
Organism: Homo sapiens; assembly: GCF_000001405.40. Classification (NCBI taxonomy): domain Eukaryota; kingdom Metazoa; phylum Chordata; class Mammalia; order Primates; family Hominidae; genus Homo; species Homo sapiens. The sequence continues at coordinate 52,806,949 of NC_000011.10, read as the reverse complement.
TTCAAAACTGCTCCATCAGCAGGATTGTTCACCTCTGTGAGTTGAATGCAGTCATCCACAGGAAACATTCTGAGAATGCTTCTGTCTAGGTTTGATGTGAAGATATACCCGTTTCGAAGGAAGGCCACAAAGTGGTCCAAATATCCACTTGCAGATTCTACAAAAAGAGTGTTTGAAAGCTGAACTATGAAAGCAAGGTTCAACTCTGTGAGTTGAATGCAAACATCACAAAGAAGTTTCTCAGAATGCTTCCGTGTAGTTCTGGGAAGTTTATCCCGTTTCCAACGAAATCCTCAGAGAAGTCCAAATATCCACTTGCAGATTCTACAGAAAGTGTGTTTGGAAACTGCTCCATCTAAAGGGAATGTTCAGCTCTGATAGTTCAATGCAATGATCACTAAGAATTGTCTGTGAATGCTTCCGTTTGGTTTTTAGATGAATTTATTTCCTTTACTACAGTAGGCCTCAAAGCAGTCCAAATCTCCAATCGCAGATTATACAAAAAGATTGTTTACAACCTGCTCTATCTATAGGAATGTTCAACTCTGTGAGTCGAATGCAATCATCACAATGTAGTTTCTGAGAATGCTTCCATCTAGTTTTTATGTGAAGATTTTCCTTTTCCACCACAGGCCTCAAAGCCCTCCAAATGTCCACTTGCAGATTCTAGAAAAAGAGGGTTTCAGAGCTGCTCTGTCAAGAGGAAAGTTCAATTCTTGAAGTGGAACACAAACATCACAAAGCAGTTTCTGAGAATGTTCCTGTTTAGTTTTTCTGTGAAGATGAACCCGTTTCCAACGAAATCTTCACAGAGGTCCACATATCCACCTGCAGAATCCAAAGAAAGAGAGTTTCAAAACTGCTCCATCAGCAGGATTGTTCACCTCTGTGAGTTGAATGCAGTCATCACAGGAAACATTCCGAGAATGCTTCTGTCTAGGTTTGATGTGAAGATATACCCGTTTCGAAGGAAGGCCACAAAGTGGTCCAAATATCCACTTGCAGATTCTACAAAAAGAGTGTTTGAAAGCTGAACTATGAAAGCAAGGTTCAACTCTGTGAGTTGAATGCAAACATCACAAAGAAGTTTCTCACAATGCTTCCGTGTAGTTCTGGGAAGTTTATCCCGTTTCCAACGAAATCCTCAGAGAGGTCCAAATATCCACTTGCAGATTCTACAGAAAGTGTGTTTGGAAACTGCTCCATCTAAAGGAATGTTCAGCTCTGTTAGTTCAATCCAATGATCACTAAGAATTGTCTGTGAATGCTTCCGTTTGGTTTTTAGATGAAGTTATTTCCTTTACTACAGTAGGCCTCAAAGCAGTCCAAATCTCCAATCGCAGATTCTACAAAAAGATTGTTTACAACCTGCTCTATCTATAGGAATGTTCAACTCTGTGAGTCGAATGCAATCATCACAAAGTAGTTTCTGAGAATGCTTCCATCTAGTTTTTATGGGAAGATTTTCCTTTTCCACCACAGGCCTCAAAGCCCTCCAAATGTCCACTTGCAGATTCTAGAAAAAGAGGGTTTCAGAGCTGCTCTGTCAAGAGGAAAGTTCAATTCTTGAAGTGGAACACAAACATCACAAAGCAGTTTCTGAGAATGCTTCTGTTTAGTTTTTCTGTGAAGATGAACCCGTTTCCAACGAAATCTACACAGAGGTCCACATATCCACTTGCAGAATCCAAAGAAAGAGAGTTTCAAAACTGCTCCATCAGCAGGATTGTTCACCTCTGTGAGTTGAATGCAGTCATCACAGGAAACATTCTGAGAATGCTTCTGTCTAGGTTTGATGTGAAGATATACCCGTTTCGAAGGAAGGCCAAAAAGTGGTCCAAATATCCACTTGCAGATTCTACAAAAGGAGTGTTTGAAAGCTGAACTATGAAAGCAAGGTTCAACTTCTGTGAGTTGAATGCAAACATCACAAAGAAGTTTCTCACAATGCTTCCGTGTAGTTCTGGGAAGTTTATCCCGTTTCCAACGAAATCCTCAGAGAGGTCCAAATATCCACTTGAAGATTCTACAGAAAGTGTGTTTGGAAACTGCTCCATCTAAAGGAATGTTCAGCTCTGTTAGTTCAATCCAATGATCACTAAGAATTGTCTGTGAATGCTTCCGTTTGGTTTTTAGATGAAGTTATTTCCTTTACTACAGTAGGCCTCAAAGCAGTCCAAATCTCCAATCGCAGATTCTACAAAAAGATTGTTTACAACCTGCTCTATCTATAGGAATGTTCAACTCTGTGAGTCGAATGCAATCATCACAAAGTAGTTTCTGAGAATGCTTCCATCTAGTTTTTATGTGAAGATTTTCCTTTTCCACCACAGGCCTCAAAGCCCTCCAAATGTCCACTTGCAGATTCTAGAATAAGAGGGTTTCAGAGCTGCTCTTTCAAGAGGAAAGTTCAATTCCTGAAGTGGAACACAAACATCACAAAGCAGTTTCTGAGAATGCTCCTGTTTAGTTTTTCTGTGAAGATGAACCCGTTTCCAACGAAATCTTCACAGAGGTCCAAATATCCACTTGGAGAATCCAAAGAAAGAGAGTTTCAACACTGCTCCATCAGCAGGATTGTTCACCTCTGTAAGTTGAATGCAGTCATCACAGGAAACATTCTGAGAATGCTTCTGTCTAGGTTTGATGTGAAGATATACCCGTTTCGAAGGAAGGCCACAAAGTGGTCCCAATATCCACTTGCAGATTCTACAAAAAGAGTGTTTGAAAGCTGAACTATGAAAGCAAGGTTCAACTCTGTGAGTTGAATGCAAACATCCAAAGAAGTTTCTCACAATGCTTCCGTGTAGTTCTGGGAAGTTTATCCCGTTTCCAACGAAATCCTCAGAGCAAGTCCAAATATCCACTTGCAGATTCTACAGAAAGTGTGTTTGGAAACTGCTCCATCTAAAGGAATGTTCAGCTCTGTTAGTTCAATCCAATGATCACTAAGAATTGTCTGTGAATGCTTCCGTTTGGTTTTTAGATGAAGTTATTTCCTTTACTACAGTAGGCCTCAAAGCAGTCCAAATCTCCAATCGCAGATTCTACAAAAACATTGTTTACAACCTGCTCTATCTATAGGAATGTTCAACTCTGTGAGTCGAATGCAATCATCACAAAGTAGTTTCTGAGAATGCTTCCATCTAGTTTTTATGTGAAGATTTTCCTTTTCCACCACAGGCCTCAAAGCCCTCCAAATGTCCACTTGCAGATTCTAGAATAAGAGGGTTTCAGAGCTGCTCTGTCAAGAGGAAAGTTCAATTCCTGAAGTGGAACACAAACATCACAAAGCAGTTTCTGAGAATGCTTCTGTTTAGTTTTTCTGTGAAGATGAACCCGTTTCCAACGAAATCTTCACACAGGTCCACATATCCACTTGCAGAATCCAAAGAAAGAGAGTTTCAAAACTGCTCCATCAGCAGGATTGTTCACCTCTGTGAGTTGAATGCAGTCATCACAGGAAACATTCTGAGAATGCTTCTGTCTAGGTTTGATGTGAAGATATACCCGTTTCAAAGGAAGGCCACAAAGTGGTCCAAATATCCACTTGCAGATTCTACAAAAAGAGTGTTTGAAAGCTGAACTATGAAAGCAAGGTTCAACTCTGTGAGTTGAATGCAAACATCACAAAGAAGTTTCTCACAATGCTTCCGTGTAGTTCTGGGAAGTTTATCCCGTTTCCAACGAAATCCTCAGAGAAGTCCAAATATCCACTTGCAGATTCTACAGAAAGTGTGTTTGGAAACTGCGCCATCTAAAGGAATGTTCAGCTCTGTTAGTTCAATGCAATGATCACTAAGAATTGTCTGTGAATGCTTCCGTTTGGTTTTTAGATGAAGTTATTTCCTTTACTACAGTAGGCCTCAAAGCAGTCCAAATCTCCAATCGCAGATTCTACAAAAAGATTGTTTACAACCTGCTCTATCTATAGGAATGTTCAACTCTGTGAGTCGAATGCAATCATCACAAAGTAGTTTCTGAGAATGCTTCCATCTAGTTTTTATGTGAAGATTTTCCTTTTCCACCACAGGCCTCAAAGCCCTCCAAATGTCCACTTGCAGATTCTAGAATTCTGTCAAGAGGAAAGTTCAATTCCTGAAGTGGAACACAAACATCACAAAGCAGTTTCTGAGAATGCTTCTGTTTAGTTTTTCTGTGAAGATGAACCCGTTTCCAACGAAATCTTCACAGAGGTCCACATATCCACTTGCAGAATCCAAAGAAAGAGAGTTTCAAAACTGCTCCATCAGCAGGATTGTTCACCTCTGTGAGTTGAATGCAGTCATCACAGGAAACATTCTGAGAATGCTTCTGTCTAGGTTTGATGTGAAGATATACCCGTTTCGAAGGAAGGCCACAAAGTGGTTCAAATATCCACTTGCAGATTCTACAAAAAGAGGGTTTGAAAGCTGAACTATGAAATCAAGGTTCAACTCTGTGAGTTGAATGCAAACATCACAAAGAAGTTTCTCAGAATGCTTCCGTGTAGTTCTGGGAAGTATATCCCGTTTCCAACGACATCCTCAGAGAAGTCCAAATATCCACTTGCAGATTCTACAGAAAGTGTGTTTGGAAACTGCTCCATCTAAAGGAATGTTCAGCTCTGTTAGTTCAATCCAATGATCACTAAGAATTGTCTGTGAATGCTTCCGTTTGGTTTTTAGATGAAGTTATTTCCTTTACTACAGTAGGCCTCAAAGCAGAACAAATCTCCAATCGCAGATTCTACAAAAAGATTGTTTACAACCTGCTCTATCTATAGGAATGTTCAACTCTGTGAGTCGAATGCAATCATCACAAAGTAGTTTCTGAGAATGCTTCCATCTAGTTTTTATGTGAAGATTTTCCTTTTCCACCACAGGCCTCAAAGCCCTCCAAATGTCCACTTGCAGATTCTAGAATAAGAGGGTTTTAGAGCTGCTCTGTCAAGAGGAAAGTTCAATTCCTGAAGTGGAACACAAACATCACAAAGCAGTTTCTGAGAATGCTCCTGTTTTGTTTTTCTGTGAAGATGAACCCGTTTCCAACGAAATCTTCACAGAGGTCCACATATCCACTTGCAGAATCCAAAGAAAGAGAGTTTCAAAACTGCTCCATCAGCAGGATTGTTCACCTCTGTGAGTTGAATGCAGTCATCACTGGAAACATTCTGAGAATGCTTCTGTCTAGGTTTGATGTGAAGATATACCCGTTTCGAAGGAAGGCCACAAAGTGGTCCAAATATCCACTTGCAGATTCTACAAAAAGAGTGTTTGAAAGCTGAACTATGAAAGCAAGGTTCAACTCTGTGAGTTGAATGCAAACATCACAAAGAAGTTTCTCAGAATGCTTCCCGTGTAGTTCTGGGAAGTTTATCCCGTTTCCAACGAAATCCTCAGAGAAGTCCAAATATCCACTTGCAGATTCTACAGAAAGTGGGTTTGGAAACTGCTCCATCTAAAGGAATGTTCAGCTCTGTTAGTTCAATGCAATGATCACTAAGAATTGTCTGTGAATGCTTTCCGTTTGCTTTTTAGATGAAGTTATTTCCTTTACTACAGTAGGCCTCAAAGCAGTCCAAATCTCCAATCGCAGATTCTACAAAAAGATTGTTTACAACCTGCTCTATCTATAGGAATGTTCAACTCTGTGAGTCGAATGCAATCATCACAAAGTAGTTTCTGAGAATGCTTCCATCTAGTTTTTATGTGAAGATTTTCCTTTTCCACCACAGGCCTCAAAGCCCTCCAAATGTCCACTTGCAGATTCTAGAAAAAGAGGGTTTCAGAGCTGCTCTGTCAAGAGGAAAGTTCAATTCCTGAAGTGGAACACAAACATCACAAAGCAGTTTCTAAGAATGCTGCTGTTTAGTTTTTCTGTGAAGATGAACCAGTTTCCAACGAAATCTTCACAGAGGTGCACATATCCACTTGCAGAATCCAAAGAAAGAGAGTTTCAAAACTGCTCCATCAACAGGATTTTTCACCTCTGTGAGTTGAATGCAGTCATCACAGGAAACATTCTGAGAATTCTTCTGTCTAGGTTTGATGTGAAGATATACCCGTTTCGAAGGAAGGCCACAAAGTGGTCCAAATATCCACTTGCAGATTCTACAAAAAGAGTGTTTGAAAGCTGAACTATGAAAGCAAGGTTCAACTCTGTGAGTTGAATGCAAACATCACAAAGAAGTTTCTCAGAATGCTTCCGTGTAGTTCTGGGAAGTTTATCCCGTTTCCAACGAAATCCTCAGAGAAGTCCAAATATCCACTTGCAGATTCTGCAGAAAGTGTGTTTGGAAACTGCTCCATCTAAAGGAATGTTCAGCTCTGTTAGCTCAATCCAATGATCACTAAGAATTGTCTGTGAATGTTTCCGTTTGGTTTTCAGATGAAGTTATTTCCTTTACTACAGTAGGCCTCAAAGCAGTCCAAATCTCCAATCGCAGATTCTACAAAAAGATTGTTTACAACCTGCTCTATCTATAGGAATGTTCAACTCTGTGAGTCGAATGCAATCATCACAAAGTAGTTTCTGAGAATGCTTCCATCTAGTTTTTATGTGAAGATTTTCCTTTTCCACCACAGGCCTCAAAGCCCTCCAAATGTCCACTTGCAGATTCTAGAAAAAGAGGGTTTCAGAGCTGCTCTGTCAAGAGGAAAGTTCAATTCTTGAAGTGGAACACAAACATCACAAAGCAGTTTCTGAGAATGCTCCTGTTTAGTTTTTCTGTGAAGATGAACCCGTTTCCAACGAAATCTTCACAGAGGTCCACATATCCACTTGCAGAATCCAAAGAAAGAGAGTTTCAAAACTGCTCCATCAGCAGGATTGTTCACCTCTGTGAGTTGAATGCAGTCATCACAGGAAACATTCTGAGAATGCTTCTGTCTAGGTTTGATGTGAAGATATACCCGTTTCGAAGGAAGGCCACAAAGTGGTCCAAATATCCACTTGCAGATTCTACAAAAAGAGTGTTTGAAAGCTGAACTATGAAAGCAAGGTTCACCTCTGTGAGTTGAATGCAAACATCACAAAGAAGTTTCTCAGAATGCTTCCGTGTAGTTCTGGGAAGTTTATCCCGTTTCCAACGAAATCCTCAGAGAGGTCCAAATATCCACTTGCAGATTCTACAGAAAGTGTGTTTGGAAACTGCGCCATCTAAAGCAATGTTCAGCTCTGTTAGTTCAATGCAATGATCACTAAGAATTGTCTGTGAATGCTTCCGTTTGGTTTTTAGATGAAGTTATTTCCTTTACTACAGTAGGCCTCAAAGCAGTCCAAATCTCCAATCGCAGATTCTACAAAAAGATTGTTTACAACCTGCTCTATCTATAGGAATGTTCAACTCTGTGAGTCGAATGCAATCATCACAAAGTAGTTTCTGAGAATGCTTCCATCTAGTTTTTATGTGAAGATTTTCCTTTTCCACCACAGGCCTCAAAGCCCTCCAAATGTCCACTTGCAGATTCTAGAAAAAGAGGGTTTCAGAGCTGCTCTGTCAAGAGGAAAGTTCAATTCCTGAAGTGGAACACAAACATCACAAAGCAGTTTCTGAGAATGCTTCTGTTTAGTTTTTCTGTGAAGATGAACCCGTTTCCAACGAAATCTTCACAGAGGTCCACATATCCACTTGCAGAATCCAAAGAAAGAGAGTTTCAAAACTGCTCCATCAGCAGGATTGTTCACCTCTGTGAGTTGAATGCAGTCATCACAGGAAACATTCTGAGAATGCTTCTCTCTAGGTTTGATGTGAAGATATACCCGTTTCAAAGGAAGGCCACAAAGTGGTCCAAATATCCACTTGCAGATTCTACAAAAAGAGTGTTTGAAAGCTGAACTATGAAAGCAAGGTTCAACTCTTGTGAGTTGAATGCAAACATCACAAAGAAGTTTCTCAGAATGCTTCCGTGTAGTTCTGGGAAGTTTATCCCGTTTCCAACGAAATCCTCAGAGAAGTCCAAATATCCACTTGCAGATTCTACAGAAAGTGTGTTTGGAAACTGCGCCATCTAAAGGAATGTTCAGCTCTGTTAGTTCAATGCAATGATCACTAAGAATTGTCTGTGAATGCTTCCGTTTGGTTTTTAGATGAAGTTATTTCCTTTACTACAGTAGGCCTCAAAGCAGTCCAAATCTCCAATCGCAGATTCTACAAAAAGATTGTTTACAACCTGCTCTATCTATAGGAATGTTCAACTCTGTGAGTCGAATGCAATCATCACAAAGTAGTTTCTGAGAATGCTTCCATCTAGTTTTTATGTGAAGATTTTCCTTTTCCACCACAGGCCTCAAAGCCCTCCAAATGTCCACTTGCAGATTCTAGAATAAGAGGGTTGCAGAGCTGCTCTGTCAAGAGGAAAGTTCAATTCCTGAAGTGGAACACAAACATCACAAAGCAGTTTCTGAGAATGCTCCTGTTAATTTTTCTGTGAAGATGAACCCGTTTCCAACGAAATCTTCACAGAGTTCCACATATCCACTTGCAGAATCCAAAGAAAGAGAGTTTCAAAACTGCTCCATCAACAGGATTGTTCACCTCTGTGAGTTGAATGCCGTCATCACAGGAAACATTCTGAGAATGCTTCTGTCAATGTTTGATGTGAAGATATACCCGTTTCGAAGGAAGGCCACAAAGTGGTCCAAATATCCACTTGCAGATTCTACAAAAAGAGTGTTTGAAAGCTGAACTATGAAAGCAAGGTTCAACTCTGTGAGTTGAATGCAAACATCACAAAGAAGTTTCTCACAATGCTTCCCTGTAGTTCTGGGAAGTTTATCCCGTTTCCAACGAAATCCTCAGAAAAGTCCAAATATCCACTTGCAGATTCTACAGAAAGTGTGTTTGGAAACTGCTCCATCTAAAGGAATGTTCAGCTCTGTTAGTTCAATGCAATGATCACTAAGAATTGTCTGTGAATGCTTCCGTTTGGTTTTTAGATGAAGTTATTTCCTTTACTACAGTAGGCCTCAAAGCAGTCCAAATCTCCAATCGCAGATTCTACAAAAAGATTGTTTACAACCTGCTCTATCTATAGGAATGTTCAACTCTGTGAGTCGAATGCAATCATCACAAAGTAGTTTCTGAGAATGCTTCCATCTAGTTTTTATGTGAAGATTTTCCTTTTCCACCACAGGCCTCAACGCCCTCCAAATGTCCACTTGCAGATTCTAGAATAAGAGGGTTTCAGAGCTGCTCTGTCAAGAGGAAAGTTCAATTCCTGAAGTGGAACACAAACATCACAAAGCAGTTTCTGAGAATGCTTCTGTTTAGTTTTTCTGTGAAGATGAACCCGTTTCCAACGAAATCTTCACATAGGTCCACATATCCACTTGCAGAATCCAAAGAAAGAGAGTTTCAAAACTGCTCCATCAGCAGGATTGTTCACCTCTGTGAGTTGAATGCAGTCATCACAGGAAACATTCTGAGAATGCTTCTGTCTAGGTTTGATGTGAAGATATACCCGTTTCGAAAGAAGGCCACAAAGTGGTCCAAATATCCACTTGCAGATTCTACAAAAAGAGTGTTTGAAAGCTGAACTATGAAAGCAAGGTTCAACTCTGTGAGTTGAATGCAAACATCACAAAGAAGTTTCTCAGAATGCTTCCGTGTAGTTCTGGGAAGTTTATCCCGTTTCCAACGAAATCCTCAGAGAGGTCCAAATATCCACTTGCAGATTCTACAGAAAGTGTGTTTGGAAACTGCGCCATCTAAAGGAATGTTCAGCTCTGTTAGTTCAATGCAATGATCACTAAGAATTGTCTGTGAATGCTTCCGTTTGTTTTTTAGATGAAGTTATTTCCTTTACTACAGTAGACCTCAAAGCAGTCCAAATCTCCAATCGCAGATTCTACAAAAAGATTGTTTACAACCTACTCTATCTATAGGAATGTTCAACTCTGTGAGTCGAATGCAATCATCACAAAGTAGTTTCTGAGAATGCTTCCATCTAGTTTTTATGTGAAGATTTTCCTTTTCCACCACAGGCCTCCAAGCCCTCCAAATGTCCACTTGCAGATTCTAGAAAAAGAGGGTTTCAGAGCTGCTCTGTCAAGAGGAAAGTTCAATTCCTGAAGTGGAACACAAACATCACAAAGCAGTTTCTGAGAATGTTTCTGTTTAGTTTTTCTGTGAAGATGAACCCGTTTCCAACGAAATCTTCACAGAGGTCCACATATCCACTTGCAGAATCCAAAGAAAGAGAGTTTCAAAACTGCTCCATCAGCAGGATTGTTCACCTCTGTGAGTTGAATGCAGTCATCACAGGAAACATTCTGAGAATGCTTCTGTCTAGGTTTGATGTGAAGATATACCCGTTTCGAAGGAAGGCCACAAAGTGGTCCAAATATCCACTTGCAGATTCTACAAAAAGAGTGTTTGAAAGCTGAACTATGAAAGCAAGGTTCAACTCTGTGAGTTGAATGCAAACATCACAAAGAAGTTTCTCAGAATGCTTCCGTGTAGTTCTGGGAAGTTTATCCCGTTTCCAACGAAATCCTCAGAGAAGTCCAAATATCCACTTGCAGATTCTACAGAAAGTGTGTTTGGAAAATGCTCCATCTAAAGGAATGTTCAGCTCTGTTAGTTCAATGCAATGATCACTAAGAATTGTCTGTGAATGCTTCCGTTTGGTTTTTAGATGATGTTATTTCCTTTACTGCAGTAGGCCTCAAAGCAGTCCAAATCTCCAATCGCAGATTCTTCAAAAAGATTGTTTACAACCTGCTCTATCTATAGGAATGTTCAACTCTGTGAGTCGAATGCAATCATCACAGAGTAGTTTCTGAGAATGCTTCCATCTAGTTTTTATGTGAAGATTTTCCTTTTCCACCACAGGCCTCAAAGCCCTCCAAATGTCCACTTGCAGATTCTAGAAAAAGAGGGTTTCAGAGCTGCTCTGTCAAGAGGGAAGTTCAATTCCTGAAGTGGAACACAAAAATCACAAAGCAGTTTCTGAGAATGCTCCTGTTTAGTTTTTCTGTGAAGATGAACCCGTTTCCAACGAAATCTTCACAGAGGTCCACATATCCACTTGCAGAATCCAAAGAAAGAGAGTTTCAAAACTGCTCCATCAGCAGGATTGTTCACCTCTGTGAGTTGAATGCAGTCATCACAGGAAACATTCTGAGAACGCTTCTGTCTAGGTTTGATGTGAAGATATACCCGTTTCGAAGGAAGGCCACAAAGTGGTCCAAATATCCACTTGCAGATTCTACAAAAAGAGTGTTTGAAAGCTGAACTATGAAAGCAAGGTTCAACTCTGTGAGTTGAATGCAAACATCACAAAGAAGTTTCTCAGAATGCTTCCGTGTAGTTCTGGGAAGTTTATCCCGTTTCCAACGAAATCCTCAGAGAAGTCCAAATATCCACTTGCAGATTCTACAGAAAGTGTGTTTGGAAACTACTCCATCTAAAGGAATGTTCAGCTCTGTTAGTTCAATCCAGTGATCACTAAGAATTGTCTGTGAATGCTTCCGTTTGGTTTTTAGATGAAGTTATTTCCTTTACTACAGTAGGCCTCAAAGCAGTCCAAATCTCCAATCGCAGATTCTAGAAAAAGATTGTTTACAACCTGCTCTATCTATAGGAATGTTCAACTCTGTGAGACGAATGCAACCATCACAAAGTAGTTTCTGAGAATGCTTCCATCTAGTTTTTATGTGAAGATTTTCCTTTTCCACCACAGGCCTCAAAGCCCTCCAAATGTCCACTTGCAGATTCTAGAAAAAGAGGGTTTCAGAGCTGCTCTGTCAAGAGGAAAGTTCAATTCTTGAAGTGGAACACAAACATCACATAGCAGTTTCTGAGAATGCTCCTGTTTAGTTTTTCTGTGAAGATGAACCCGTTTCCAACGAAATCTTCACAGAGGTCCACATATCCACTTGCAGAATCCAAAGAAAGAGAGTTTCAAAACTGCTCCATCAGCAGGATTGTTCACCTCTGTGAGTTGAATGCAGTCATCACAGGAAACATTCTGAGAATGCTTCTGTCTAGGTTTGATGTGAAGATATACCCGTTTCGAAGGAAGGCCACAAAGTGGTCCAAATATCCACTTGCAGATTCTACAAAAAGAGTGTTTGAAAGCTGAACTATGAAAGCAAGGTTCAACTCTGTGAGTTGAATGCAAACATCACAAAGAAGTTTCTCACAATGCTTCCGTGTAGTTCTGGGAAGTTTATCCCGTTTCCAACGAAATCCTCAGAGAAGTCCAAATATCCACTTGCAGATTCTACAGAAAGTGGGTTTGGAAACTGCTCCATCTAAAGGAATGTTCAGTTCTGTTAGTTCAATGCAATGATCACTAAGAATTGTCTGTGAATGCTTCCGTTTGGTTTTTAGATGAAGTTATTTCCTTTACTACTGTAGGCCTCAAAGCAGTCCAAATCTCCAATCGCAGATTCTACAAAAAGATTGTTTACAACCTGCTCTATCTATAGGAATGTTCAACTCTGTGAGTCGAATGCAATCATCACAAAGTAGTTTCTGAGAATGCTTCCATCTAGTTTTTATGTGAAGATTTTCCTTTTCCACCACAGGCCTCAAAGCCCTCCAAATGTCCACTTGCAGATTCTAGAAAAAGAGGGTTGCAGAGCTGCTCTGTCAAGATGAAAGTTCAATTCTTGAAGTGGAACACAAACATCACAAAGTAGTTTCTGAGAATGCTCCTGTTTAGTTTTTCTGTGAAGATGAACCCGTTTCCAACGAAATCTTCACAGAGGTCCACATATCCACTTGCAGAATCCAAAGAAAGAGAGTTTCAAAACTGCTCCATCAGCAGGATTGTTCACCTCTGTGAGTTGAATGCAGTCATCACAGGAAACATTCTGAGAATGCTTCTGTCTAGGTTTGATGTGAAGATATACCCGTTTCGAAGGAAGGCCACAAAGTGGTCCAAATATCCACTTGCAGATTCTACAAAAAGAGTGTTTGAAAGCTGAACTATGAAAGCAAGGTTCAACTCTGTGAGTTGAATGCAAACATCACAAAGAAGTTTCTCACAATGCTTCCGTGTAGTTCTGGGAAGTTTATCCCGTTTCCAACGAAATCCTCAGAGAAGTCCAAATATCCACTTGCAGATTCTACAGAAAGTGGGTTTGGAAACTGCTCCATCTAAAGGAATGTTCAGCTCTGTTAGTTCAATCCAATGATCACTAAGAATTGTCTGTGAATGCTTCCGTTTGGTTTTTAGATGAAGTTATTTCCTTTACTACAGTAGGCCTCAAAGCAGTCCAAATCTCCAATCGCAGATTCTACAAAAAGATTGTTTACAACCTGCTCTATCTATAGGAATGTTCAACTCTGTGAGTCGAATGCAATCATCACAAAGTAGTTTCTGAGAATGCTTCCATCTAGTTTTTATGTGAAGATTTTCCTTTTCCACCACAGGCCTCAAAGCCCTCCAAATGTCCACTTGCAGATTCTAGAAAAAGAGGGTTTCAGAGCTGCTCTGTCAAGAGGAAAGTTCAATTCTTGAAGTGGAACAGAAACATCACAAAGCAGTTTCTGGGAATGCTCCTGTTTAGTTTTTCTGTGAAGATGAACCCGTTTCCAACGAAATCTTCACAGAGGTCCACATATCCACTTGCAGAATCCAAAGAAAGAGAGTTTCAAAACTGCTCCATCAGCAGGATTGTTCACCTCTGTGAGTTGAATGCAGTCATCACAGGAAACATTCTGAGAATGCTTCTGTCTAGGTTTGATGTGAAGATATACCCGTTTCAAAGGAAGGCCACAAAGTGGTCCAAATATCCACTTGCAGATTCTACAAAAAGAGTGTTTGAAAGCTGAACTATGAAAGCAAGGTTCAACTCTGTGAGTTGAATGCAAACATCACAAAGAAGTTTCTCACAATGCTTCCGTGTAGTTCTGGGAAGTTTATCCCGTTTCCAACGAAATCCTCAGAGAAGTCCAAATATCCACTTGCAGATTCTACAGAAAGTGGGTTTGGAAACTGCTCCATCTAAAGGAATGTTCAGCTCTGTTAGTTCAATCCAATGATCACTAAGAATTGTCTCTGAATGCTTCCGTTTGGTTTTTAGATGAAGTTATTTCCTTTACTACAGTAGGCCTCAAAGCAGTCCAAATCTCCAATCGCAGATTCTACAAAAACATTGTTTACAACCTGCTCTATCTATAGGAATGTTCAACTCTGTGAGTCGAATGCAATCATCACAAAGTAGTTTCTGAGAATGCTTCCATCTAGTTTTTATGTGAAGATTTTCCTTTTCCACCACAGGCCTCAAAGCCCTCCAAATGTCCACTTGCAGATTCTAGAAAAAGAGGGTTTCAGAGCTGCTCTGTCAGGAGGAAAGTTCAATTCTTGAAGTGGAACACAAACATCACAAAGCAGTTTCTGAGAATGCTTCTGTTTAGTTTTTCTGTGAAGATGAACCCGTTTCCAACGAAATCTTCACAGAGGTCCACATATCCAGTTGCAGAATCCAAAGAAAGAGAGTTTCAAAACTACTCCATCAACAGGATTGTTCACCTCTGTGAGTTGAATGCAGTCATCACAGGAAACATTCTGAGAATGCTTCTGTGTAGGTTTGAGGTGAAGATATACCCGTTTCGAAGGAAGGCCACAAAGTGGTCCAAATATCCACTTGCAGATTCTACAAAAAGAGTGTTTGAAAGCTGAACTATGAAAGCAAGGTTCAACTCTGTGAGTTGAATGAAAACATCACAAAGAAGTTTCTCACAATGCTTCCGTGTAGTTCTGGGAAGTTTATCCCGTTTCCAACGAAATCCTCAGAGAAGTCCAAATATCCACTTGCAGATTCTAAAGAAAGTGGGTTTGGAAACTGCTCCATCTAAAGGAATGTTCAGCTCTGTTAGTTCAATCCAATGATCACTAAGAATTGTCTGTGAATGCTTCCGTTTGGTTTTTAGATGAAGTTATTTCCTTTACTACAGTAGGCCTCAAAGCAATCCAAATCTCCAATCGCAGATTCTACAAAAACATTGTTTACAACCTGCTCTATCTATAGGAATGTTCAACTCTGTGAGTCGAATGCAATCATCACAAAGTAGTTTCTGAGAATGCTTCCATCTAGTTTTTATGTGAAGAGTTTCCTTTTCCACCACAGGCCTCAAAGCCCTCCAAATGTCCACTTGCAGATTCTAGAAAAAGAGGGTTTCAGAGCTGCTCTGTCAAGAGGAAAGTTCAATTCTTGAAGTGGAACACAAACATCACAAAGCAGTTTCTGAGAATGATTCTGTTTAGTTTTTCTGTGAAGATGAACCCGTTTCCAACGAAATCTTCACAGAGGTCCACATATCCACTTGCAGAATCCAAAGAAAGAGAGTTTCAAAACTGCTCCATCAGCAGGATTGTTCACCTCTGTGAGTTGAATGCAGTCATCACAGGAAACATTCTGAGAATGCTTCTGTCTAGGTTTGATGTGAAGATATACCCGTTTCGAAGGAAGGCCACAAAGTGGTCCAAATATCCACTTGCAGATTCTACAAAAAGAGTGTTTGAAAGCTGAACTATGAAAGCAAGGTTCAACTCTGTGAGTTGAATGCAAACATCACAAAGAAGTTTCTCAGAATGCTTCCCCGTAGTTCTGGGAAGTTTATGCCGTTTCCAAAGAAATCCTCAGAGAAGTCCAAATATCCACTTGCAGATTCTACAGAAAGTGTGTTTGGAAACTGCTCCATCTAAAGGAATGTTCAGCTCTGTTAGTTCAATCCAATGATCACTAAGAATTGTCTGTGAATGCTTCCGTTTGGTTTTTAGATGAATTTATTTCCTTTACTACAGTAGGCCTCAAACCAGTCCAAATCTCCAATCGCAGATTCTACAAAAAGATTGTTTACAACCTGCTCTATCTATAGGAATGTTCAACTCTGTGAGTCGAATGCAATCATCACAAAGTAGTTTCTGAGAATGCTTCCATCTAGTTTTTATGTGAAGATTTTCCTTTTCCACCACAGGCCTCAAATCCCTCCAAATGTCCACTTGCAGATTTTAGAAAAAGAGGTTTTCAGAGCTGCTCTGTCAAGAGGAAAGTTCAATTCCTGAAGTGGAACACAAACATCACAAAGCAGTTTCTGAGAATGCTCCTGTTTAGTTTTTCTGTGAAGATGAACCCGTTTCCAACGAAATCTTCACAGAGGTCCACATATCCACTTGCAGAATCCAAAGAAAGAGAGTTTCAAAACTGCTCCATCAGCAGGATTGTTCACCTCTGTGAGTTGAATGCAGTCATCACAGGAAACATTCTGAGAATGCTTCTGTCTAGGTTTGATGTGAAGATATACCCGTTTCGAAGGAAGGCCACAAAGTGGTCCAAATATCCACTTGCAGATTCTACAAAAAGAGTGTTTGAAAGCTGAACTATGAAACCAAGGTTCAACTCTGTGAGTTGAATGCAAACATCACAAAGAATTTTCTCACAATGCTTCCGTGTATTTCTGGGAAGTTTACCCCGTTTCCAACGAAATCCTCAGAGAGGTCCAAATATCCACTTGCAGATTCTACAGAAAGTGTGTTTGGAAAATGCTCCATCTAAAGGAATGTTCAGCTCTGTTAGTTCAATCCAATGATCACTAAGAATTGTCTGTGAATGCTTCCGTTTGGTTTTTAGATGAAGTTATTTCCTTTACTACAGTAGGCCTCAAAGCTGTCCAAATCTCCAATCGCAGATTCTACAAAAAGATTGTTTACAACCTGCTCTATCTATAGGAATGTTCAACTCTGTGGGTCGAATGCAATCATCACAAAGTAGTTTCTGATAATGCTTCCATCTAGTTTTTATGTGAAGATTTTCCTTTTCCACCACAGAGCTCAAAGCCCTCCAAATGTCCACTTGCAGATTCTAGAAAAAGAGGGTTTCAGAGCTGCTCTGTCAAGAGGAAAGTTCAATTCTTGAAGTGGAACACAAACATCACAAAGCAGTTTCTGAGAATGCTTCTGTTTAGTTTTTCTGTGAAGATGAACCCGTTTCCAACGAAATCTTCACATAGGTCCACATATCAACTTGCAGAATCCAAAGAAAGAGAGTTTCAAAACTGCTCCATCAACAGGATTGTTCAACTCTGTGAGTTGAATGCAGTCATCACAGGAAACATTCTGAGAATGCTTCTGTCTAGGTTTGATGTGAAGATATACCCGTTTCGAAGGAAGGCCACAAAGTGGTCCAAATATCCACTTGCAGATTCTACAAAAAGTGTGTTTGAAAGCTAAACTATGAAAGCAAGGTTCAACTCTGTGAGTTGAATGCAAACATCACAAAGAAGTTTCTCAGAATGCTTCCGTGTAGTTCTGGGAAGTTTATCCCGTTTCCAACGAAATCCTCAGAGAAGTCCAAATATCCACTTGCAGATTCTACAGAAAGTGTGTTTGGAAACTGCGCCGTCTAAAGCAATGTTCAGCTCTGTTAGTTCAATGCAATGATCACTAAGAATTGTCTGTGAATGCTTCCGTTTGGTTTTTAGATGAAGTTATTTCCTTTACTACAGTAGGCCTCAAAGCAGTCCAAATCTCCAATCGCAGATTCTACAAAAAGATTGTTTACAACCTGCTCTATCTATAGGAATGTTCAACTCTGTCGAAGTCGAATGCAATCATCACAAAGTAGTTTCTCAGAATGCTTCCATCTAGTTTTTATGGGAAGATTTTCCTTTTCCACCACAGGCCTCAAAGCCCTCCAAATGTCCACTTGCAGACTCTAGAAAAAGAGGGTTTCAGAGCTGCTCTGTCAAGAGGAAAGTTCAATTCTTGAAGTGGAACACAAACATCACAAAGCAGTTTCTGAGAATGCTTCTTTTTAGTTTTTCTGTGAAGATGAACCCGTTTCCAACGAAATCTTCACAGAGGTCCACATATCCACTTGCAGAATCCAAAGAAAGAGAGTTTCAAAACTGCTCCATCAGCAGGATTGTTCACCTCTGTGAGTTGAATGCAGTCATCACAGGAAACATTCTGAGAATGCTTCTGTCTAGGTTTGACGTGAACATATACCCGTTTCGAAGGAAGGCCACAAAGTGGTCCAAATATCCACTTGCAGATTCTACAAAAAGAGGGTTTGAAAGCTGAACTATGAAAGCAAGGTTCAACTCTGTGAGTTGAATGCAAACATCACAAAGAAGTTTCTCACAATGCTTCCGTGTAGTTCTGGGAAGTTTATCCCGTTTCCAATGAAATCCTCAGAGAAGTCCAAATATCCACTTGCAGATTCTACAGAAAGTGGGTTTGGAAACTGCTCCATCTAAAGGAATGTTCAGCTCTGTTAGTTCAATCCAATGATCACTAAGGATTGTCTGTGAATGCTTCCGTTTGGTTTTTAGATGAAGTTATTTCCTTTACTACAGTAGGCCTCAAAGCAGTCCAAATCTCCAATCGCAGATTCTACAAAAAGATTGTTTACAACCTGCTCTATCTATAGGAATGTTCAACTCTGTGAGTCGAATGCAATCATCACAAAGTAGTTTCTGAGAATGCTTCCATCTAGTTTTTATGTGAAGATTTTCCTTTTCCACCACAGGCCTCAAAGCCCTCCAAATGTCCACTTGCAGATTCTAGAAAAAGAGGGTTTCAGAGCTGCTCTGTCAAGAGGAAAGTTCAATTCTTGAAGTGGAACACAAACATCACAAAGTAGTTTCTGAGAATGCTTCTGTTTAGTTTTTCTGTGAAGATGAACCCATTTCCAACGAAATCTTCACAGAGGTCCACATATCAACTTGCAGAATCCAAAGAAAGAGAGTTTCAAAAGTGCTCCATCAACAGGATTGTTCACCTCTGTGAGTTGAATGCAGTCATCACAGGAAACATTCTGAGAATGCTTCCTGTCTAGGTTTGATGTGAAGATATACCCGTTTCGAAGGAAGGCCACAAAGTGGTCCAAATATCCACTTGCAGATTCTACAAAAAGAGTGTTTGAAAGCTGAACTATGAAAGCAAGGTTCAACTCTGTGAGTTGAATGCAAACATCACAAAGAAGTTTCTCAGAATGCTTCCGTGTAGTTCTGGGAAGTTTATCCCGTTTCCAACGAAATCCTCAGAGAGGTCCAAATATCCACTTGCAGATTCTACAGAAAGTGTGTTTGGAAACTGCGCCATCTAAAGGAATGTTCAGCTCTGTTAGTTCAATGCAATGATCACTAAGAATTGTCTGTGAATGCTTCCGTTTGGTTTTTAGATGAAGTTATTTCCTTTACTACAGTAGGCCTCAAAGCAGTCCAAATCTCCAATCGCAGATTCTACAAAAAGATTGTTTACAACCTGCTCTATGTATAGGAATGTTCAACTCTGTGAGTCGAATGCAATCATCACAAAGTAGTTTCTGAGAATGCTTCCATCTAGTTTTTATGTGAAGATTTTCCTTTTCCACCACAAGCCTCAAAGCCCTCCAAATGTCCACTTGCAGATTCTAGAAAAAGAGGGTTTCAGAGCTGCTCTGTCAAGAGGAAAGTTCAATTCTTGAAGTGGAACACAAACATCACAAAGCAGTTTCTGAGAATGCTTCTGTGTAGTTTTTCTGTGAAGATGAACCCGTTTCCAACGAAATCTTCACAGAGGTCCACATATCAACTTGCAGAATCCAAAGAAAGAGAGTTTCAAAACTGCTCCATCAACAGGATTGTTCACCTCTGTGAGTTGAATGCAGTCATCACAGGAAACATTCTGAGAATGCTTCTGTCTAGGTTTGATGTGAAGATATACCCGTTTCGAAGGAAGGCCACAAAGTGGTCCAAATATCCACTTGCAGATTCTACAAAAAGAGTGTTTGAAAGCTGAACTATGAAAGCAAGGTTCAACTCTGTGAGTTGAATGCAAACATCACAAAGAAGTTTCTCACAATGCTTCCGTGTAGTTCTGGGAAGTTTAGCCCGTTTCCAACGAAATCCTCAGAGAGTTCCAAATATCCAGTGGCAGATTCTACAGAAAGTGTGTTTGGAAACTGCGCCATCTAAAGGAATGTTCAGCTCTGTTAGTTCAATCCAATGATCACTAAGAATTGTCTGTGAATGCTTCCGTTTGGTTTTTAGATGAAGTTATTTCCTTTACTACAGTAGGCCTCAAAGCAGTCCAAATCTCCAATCGCAGATTCTACAAAAACATTGTTTACAACCTGCTCTATCTATAGGAATGTTCAACTCTGTGAGTCGAATGCAATCATCACAAAGTAGTTTCTGAGAATGCTTCCATCTAGTTTTTATGTGAAGATTTTCCTTTTCCACCACAGGCCTCAAAGCCCTCCAAATGTCCACTTGCAGATTCTAGAATAAGAGGGTTTCAGAGCTGCTCTGTCAAGAGGAAAGTTCAATTCCTGAAGTGGAACACAAACATCACAAAGCAGTTTCTGAGAATGCTTCTGTTTAGTTTTTCTGTGAAGATGAACCCGTTTCCAACAAAATCTTCACAGAGGTCCACATATCCACTTGCAGAATCCAAAGAAAGAGAGTTTCAAAACTGCTCCATCAACAGGATTGTTCGCCTCTGTGAGTTGAATGCAGTCATCACAGGAAACATTCTGAGAATGCTTCTGTCTAGGTTTGATGTGAAGATATACCCGTTTCGAAGGAAGGCCACAAAGTGGTCCAAATATCCACTTGCAGATTCTACAAAAAGAGTGTTTGAAAGCTGAACTATGAAAGCAAGGTTCAACTCTGTGAGTTGAATGCAAACATCACAAAGAAGTTTCTCAGAATGCTTCCGTGTAGTTTGGGAAGTTTATCCCGTTTCCAAAGAAATCCTCAGAGAGGTCCAAATATCCTCTTGCAGATTCTACAGAAAGTGTGTTTGGAAACTGCGCCATCTAAAGGAATGTTCAGCTCTGTTAGTTCAATGCAATGATCACTAAGAATTGTCTGTGAATGCTTCCGTTTGGTTTTTAGATGAAGTTATTTCCTTTACTACAGTAGGCCTCAAAGCAGTCCAAATCTCCAATCGCAGATTCTACAAAAAGATTGTTTACAACCTGCTCTACCTATAGGAATGTTCAACTCTGTGAGTCGAATGCAATCATCACAAAGTAGTTTCTGAGAATGCTTCCATCTAGTTTTTATGTGAAGGTTTTCCTTTTCCACCACAGGCCTCAAAGCCCTCCAAATGTCCACTTGCAGATTCTAGAAAAAGAGGGTTTCAGAGCTGCTCTGTCAAGAGGAAAGTTCAATTCCTGAAGTGGAACAAAAACATCACAAAGCAGTTTCTGAGAATGCTTCTGTTTAGTTTTTCTGTGAAGATGAACCCGTTTCCAACGAAATCTTCACAGAGGTCCACATATCCACTTGCAGAATCCAAAGAAAGAGAGTTTCAAAACTGCTCCATCAGCAGGATTGTTCACCTCTGTGAGTTGAATGCAGTCATCACAGGAAACATTCTGAGAATGCTTCTGTCTAGGTTTGATGTGAAGATATACCCGTTTCGAAGGAAGGCCACAAAGTGGTCCAAATATCCACTTGCAGATTCTACAAAAAGAGTGTTTGAAAGCTGAACTATGAAAGCAAGTTTCAACTCTGTGAGTTGAATGCAAACATCAAAAAGAAGTTTCTCAGAATGCTTCCGTGTAGTTCTGGGAAGTTTAGCCCGTTTCCAACGAAATCCTCAGAGAGGTCCAAATATCCAGTGGCAGATTCTACAGAAAGTGTGTTTGGAAACTGCGCCATCTAAAGGAATGTTCAGCTCTGTTAGTTCAATCCAATGATCACTAAGAATTGTCTGGGAATGCTTCCGTTTGGTTTTTAGATGAAGTTATTTCCTTTACTACAGTAGGCCTCAAAGCAGTCCAAATCTCCAATCGCAGATTCTACAAAAAGATTGTTTACAACCTGCTCTATCTATAGGAATGTTCAACTCTGTGAGTCGAATGCAATCATCACAAAGTAGTTTCTGAGAATGCTTCCATCTAGTTTTATGTGAAGATTTTCCTTTTCCACCGCAGGCCTCAAAGCCCTCCAAATGTCCACTTGCAGATTCTGGAAAAGGAGGGTTTCAGAGCTGCTCTGTCAAGAGGAAAGTTCAATTCTTTAGGTGGAACACAAACATCACAAAGCAGTTTCTGAGAATGCTTCTGTTTAGTTTTTCTGTGAAGATGAACCCGTTTCCAACGAAATCTTCACAGAGGTCCACATATCCACTTGCAGAATCCAAAGAAGGAGAGTTTCAAAACTGCTCCATCAACAGGATTGTTCACCTCTGTGAGTTGAATGCAGTCATCACAGGAAACATTCTGAGAATGCTTCTGTCTAGGTTTGATGTGAAGATATACCCGTTTCGAAGGAAGGCCACAAAGTGGTCCAAATATCCACTTGCAGATTCTACAAAAAGAGTGTTTGAAAGCTGAACTATGAAAGCAAGGTTCAACTCTGTGAGTTGAATGCAAACATCACAAAGAAGTTTCTCAGAATGCTTCCGTGTAGTTCTGGGAAGTTTATCCCGTTTCCAACGAAATCCTCAGAGAGGTCCAAATATCCACTTGCAGATTCTACAGAAAGTGTGTTTGGAAACTGCGCCATCTAAAGGAATGTTCAGCTCTGTTAGTTCAATGCAATGATCACTAAGAATTGTCTGTGAATGCTTCCGTTTGGTTTTTAGATGAAGTTATTTCCTTTACTACAGTAGGCCTCAAAGCAGTCCAAATCTCCAATCGCAGATTCTACAAAAAGATTGTTTACAACCTGCTCTATCTATAGGAATGTTCAACTCTGTGAGTCGAATGCAATCATCACAAAGTAGTTTCTGAGAATGCTTCCATCTAGTTTTTATGTGAAGATTTTCCTTTTCCACCACAGGCCTCAAAGCCCTCCAAATGTCCACTTGCAGATTCTAGAAAAAGAGGGTTTCAGAGCTGCTCTGTCAAGAGGAAAGTTCAATTCTTGAAGTGGAACAGAAACATCACAAAGCAGTTTCTGGGAATGCTCCTGTTTAGTTTTTCTGTGAAGATGAACCCGTTTCCAACGAAATCTTCACAGAGTTCCACATATCCACTTGCAGAATCCAAACAAAGGGAGATTCAAAACTGCTCCATCAACAGGATTGTTCACCTCTGTGAGTTGAATGCAGTTATCACAGGAAACATTCTGAGAATGCTTCTGTCTAGGTTTGATGTGAAGATATACCCGTTTCGAAGGAAGGCCACAAAGTGGTCCAAATATCCACTTGCAGATTCTACAAAAAGAGTGTTTGAAAGCTGAACTATGAAAGCAAGGTTCAACTCTGTGAGTTGAATGCAAACATCACAAAGAAGTTTCTCAGCATGCTTCCGTGTAGTTCTGGGAAGTTTATCCCGTTTCCAACGAAATCCTCAGAGAAGTCCAAATATCCACTTGCAGATTCTACAGAAAGTGTGTTTGGAAACTGCGCCATCTAAAAGAATGTTCAGCTCTGTTAGTTCAATCCAATGATCACTAAGAATTGTCTGTGAATGCTTCCGTTTGGTTTTTAGATGAAGTTATTTCCTTTACTACAGTAGGCCTCAAAGCAGTCCAAATCTCCAATCGCAGATTCTACAAAAAGATTGTTTACAACCTGCTCTATGTATAGGAATGTTCAACTCTGTGAGTCGAATGCAATCATCACAAAGTAGTTTCTGAGAATGCTTCCATCCAGTTTTTATGTGAAGATTTTCCTTTTCCACCACAGGCCTCAAAGCCCTCCAAATGTCCACTTGCAGATTCTAGAAAAAGAGGGTTTCAGAGCTGCTCTGTCAAGAGGAAAGTTCAATTCTTGAAGTGGAACACAAACATCACAAAGCAGTTTCTGAGAATGCTTCTGTTTAGTTTTTCTGTGAAGATGAACCCGTTTCCAACGAAATCTTCACAGAGGTCCACATATCCACTTGCAGAATCCAAAGAAAGAGAGTTTCAAAACTGCTCCATCAGCAGGATTGTTCACCTCTGTGAGTTGAATGCAGTCATCACAGGAAACATTCTGAGAATGCTTCTGTCTAGGTTTGATGTGAAGATATACCCGTTTCGAAGGAAGGCCACAAAGTGGTCCAAATATCCACTTGCAGATTCTACAAAAAGAGTGTTTGAAAGCTGAACTATGAAAGCAAGGTTCAACTCTGTGAGTTGAATGCAAACATCACAAAGAAGTTTCTCAGAATGCTTCCGTGTAGTTCTGGGAAGTTTATCCCGTTTCCAACGAAATCCTCAGAGAGGTCCAAATATCCACTTGCAGATTCTACAGAAAGTGTGTTTGGAAACTGCGCCATCTAAAGGAATGTTCAGCTCTGTTAGTTCAATGCAATGATCACTAAGAATTGTCTGTGAATGCTTCCGTTTGGTTTTTAGATGAAGTTATTTCCTTTACTACAGTAGGCCTCAAAGCAGTCCAAATCTCCAATCGCAGATTCTACAAAAAGATTGTTTACAACCTGCTCTATGTATAGGAATGTTCAACTCTGTGAGTCGAATGCAATCATCACAAAGTAGTTTCTGAGAATGCTTCCATCTAGTTTTTATGTGAAGATTTTCCTTTTCCACCACAGGCCTCAAAGCACTCCAAATGTCCACTTGCAGATTCTAGAATAAGAGGGTTTCAGAGCTGCTCTGTCAAGAGGAAAGTTCAATTCTTGAAGTGGAACACAAACATCACAAAGCAGTTTCTGAGAATGCTTCTGTTTAGTTTTTCTGTGAACATGAACCCGTTTCCAACGAAATCTTCAGAGAGGTCCACATATCCACTTGCAGAATCCAAAGAAAGAGATTTTCAAAACTGCTCCATCAGCAGGATTGTTCATCTCTGTGAGTTGAATGCAGTCATCACAGGAAACATTCTGAGAATGCTTCTGTCTAGGTTTGATGTGAAGATATACCCGTTTCGAAGGAAGGCCACAAATTGGTCCAAATATCCACTTGCAGATTCCACAAAAAGAGTGTTTGAAAGCTGAACTATGAAAGCAAGGTTCAACTCTGTGAGTTGAATGCAAACATCACAAAGAAGTTTCTCACAATGCTTCCGTGTAGTTCTGGGAAGTTTATCCCATTTCCAACGAAATCCTCAGAGAGGTCCAAATATCCACTTGCAGATTCTACACAAAGTGTGTTTGGAAACTGCGCCATCTAAAGGAATGTTCAGCTCTGTTAGTTCAATCCAATGATCTCTAAGAATTGGCTGTGAATGCTTCCGTTTGGTTTTTAGATGAAGTTATTTCCTTTACTACAGTAGGCCACAAAGCAGTCCAAATCTCCAATCGCAGATTCTACAAAAAGATTGTTTACAACCTGCTCTATCTATAGGAATGTTCAACTCTGTGAGTCGAATGCAATCATCACAAAGTAGTTTCTGAGAATGCTTCCATCTAGTTTTTATGTGAAGATTTTCCTTTTCCACCACAGGCCTCAAAGCCCTCCAAATGTCCACTTGCAGATTCTAGAATAAGAGGGTTTCAGAGCTGCTCTGTCAAGAGGAAAGTTCAATTCCTGAAGTGGAACACAAACATCACAAAGCAGTTTCTGAGAATGCTCCTGTTTAGTTTTTCTGTGAAGATGAACCCGTTTCCAACGAAATCTTCACAGAGGTCCACATATCCACTTGCAGAATCCAAAGAAAGAGAGTTTCAAAACTGCTCCATCAGCAGGATTGTTCACCTCTGTGAGTTGAATGCAGTCATCACAGGAAACATTCTTAGAATGCTTCTGACAAGGTTTGATGTGAAGATATACCCGTTTCGAAGGAAGGCCACAAAGTGGTCCAAATATCCACTTGCAGATTCTACAAAAAGAGTGTTTGAAAGCTGAACTATGAAAGCAAGGTTCAACTCTGTGAGTTGAATGCAAACATCACAAAGAAGTTTCTCACAATGCTTCCGTGTAGTTCTGGGAAGTTTATCCTGTTTCCAACGAAATCCTCAGAGAAGTCCAAATATCCACTTGCAGATTCTACAGAAAGTGGGTTTGGAAACTGCTCCATCTAAAGGAATGTTCAGCTCTGTTAGTTCAATGCAATGATCACTAAGAATTGTCTGTGAATGCTTCCGTTTGGTTTTTAGATGAAGTTATTTCCTTTACTACAGTAGGCCTCAAAGCAGTCCAAATCTCCAATCGCAGATTCTACAAAAAGATTGTTTGCCACCTGCTCTATCTATAGGAATGTTCAACTCTGTGAGTCGAATGCAATCATCACAAAGTAGTTTCTGAGAATGCTTCCATCTAGTTTTTATGTGAAGATTTTCCTTTTCCACCACAGGCCTCAAAGCCCTCCAAATGTCCACTTGCAGATTCTAGAAAAAGAGGGTTTCAGAGCTGCTCTGTCAAGAGGAAAGTTCAATTCTTGAAGTGGAACACAAACATCACAAAGTAGTTTCTGAGAATGCTCCTGTTTAGTTTTTCTGTGAAGATGAACCCGTTTCCAACGAAATCTTCACAGAGGTCCACATATCCACTTGCAGAATCCAAAGAAAGAGAGTTTCAAAACTGCTCCATCAACAGGATTGTTCACCTCTGTGAGTTGAATGCAGTCATCACAGGAAACATTCTGAGAATGCTTCTGTCTAGGTTTGATGTGAAGATATACCCGTTTCGAAGGAAGGCCACAAAGTGGTCCAAATATCCACTTGCAGATTCCACAAAAAGAGTGTTTGAAAGCTGAACTAGGAAAGCAAGGTTCAACTCTGTGAGCTGAATGCAAACATCACAAAGAAGTTTCTCACAATGCTTCCGTGCAGTTCTGGGAAGTTTATTCCGTTTCCAACGAAATCCTCAGAGAAGTCCAAATATCCACTTGCAGATTCTACAGAAAGTGTGTTTGGAAAATGCTCCATCTAAAGGAATGTTCAGCTCTGTTAGTTCAATCCAATGATCACTAAGAATTGTCTGTGAATGCTTCCGTTTGGTTTTTAGATGATGTTATTTCCTTTACTGCAGTAGGCCTCAAAGCAGTCCAAATCTCCAATCGCAGATTCTTCAAAAAGATTGTTTACAACCTGCTCTATCTATAGGAATGTTCAACTCTGTGAGTCGAATGCAATCATCACAGAGTAGTTTCTGAGAATGCTTCCATCTAGTTTTTATGTGAAGATTTTCCTTTTCCACCACAGGCCTCAAAGCCCTCCAAATGTCCACTTGCAGATTCTAGAAAAAGAGGGTTTCAGAGCTGCTCTGTCAAGAGGAAAGTTCAATTCTTGAAGTGGAACACAAACATCACAAAGCAGTTTCTGAGAATGTTTCTGTTTAGTTTTTCTGTGAAGATGAACCCGTTTCCAACGAAATCTTCACAGAGGTCCACATATCCACTTGCAGAATCCAAAGAAAGAGAGTTTCAAAACTGCTCCATCAGCAGGATTGTTCACCTCTGTGAGTTGAATGCAGTCATCACAGGAAACATTCTGAGAATGCTTCTGTCTAGGTTTGATGTGAAGATATACCTGTTTCGAAGGAAGGCCACAAAGAGGTCCAAATATCCACTTGCAGATTCTACAAAAAGAGTGTTTGAAAGCTGAACTATGAAAGCAAGGTTCAACTCTGTGAGTTGAATGCAAACATCACAAAGAAGTTTCTCACAATGCTTCCGTGTAGTTCTGGGAAGTTTATCCCGTTTCCAACGACATCCTCAGAGAAGTCCAAATATCCACTTGCAGATTCTACAGAAAGTGTGTTTGGAAACTGCTCCATCTAAAGGAATGTTCAGCTCTGTTAGTTCAATCCAATGATCACTAAGAATTGTCTGTGAATGCTTTCCGTTTGTTTTTTAGATGAAGTTATTTCCTTTACTACAGTAGACCTCAAAGCAGTCCAAATCTCCAAACGCAGATTCTACAAAAAGATTGTTTACAACCTACTCTATCTATAGGAATGTTCAACTCTGTGAGTCGAATGCAATCATCACAAAGTAGTTTCTGAGAATGCTTCCATCTAGTTTTTATGTGAAGATTTTCCTTTTCCACCACAGGCCTCAAAGCCCTCCAAATGTCCACTTGCAGATTCTAGAAAAAGAGGGTTTCAGAGCTGCTCTGTCAAGAGGAAAGTTCAATTCTTGAAGTGGAACACAAACATCACAAACCAGTTTCTAAGAATGCTCCTGTTTAGTTTTTCTGTGAAGATGAACCCGTTTCCAACGAAATCTTCACAGAGGTCCACATATCCACTTGCAGAATCCAAAGAAAGAGAGTTTCAAAACTGCTCCATCAGCAGGATTGTTCACCTCTGTGAGTTGAATGCAGTCATCACAGGAAACATTCTGAGAATGCTTCTGTCTAGGTTTGATGTGAAGATATACCCGTTTCGAAGGAAGGCCACAAAGTGGTCCAAATATCCACTTGCAGATTCTACCAAAAGAGTGTTTGAAAGCTGAACTATGAAAGCAAGGTTCAACTCTGTGAGTTGAATGCAAACATCACAAAGAAGTTTCTCACAATGCTTCCGTGTAGTTCTGGGAAGTTTATCCCGTTTCCAACGAAATCCTCACAGAGGTCCAAATATCCACTTGCAGATTCTACAGAAAGTGGGTTTGGAAACTGCTCCATCTAAAGGAATGTTCAGCTCTGTTAGTTCAATCCAATGATCACTAAGAATTGTCTGTGAATGCTTCCGTTTGGTTTTTAGATGAAGTTATTTCCTTTACTACAGTAGGCCTCAAAGCAGTCCAAGTCTCCAATCGCAGATTCTACAAAAAGATTGTTTACAACCTGCTCTATCTATAGGAATGTTCAACTCTGTGAGTCGAATGCAATCATCACAAAGTAGTTTCTGAGAATGCTTCCATTTAGTTTTTATGTGAAGAGTTTCCTTTTCCACCACAGGCCTCAAAGCCCTCCAAATGTCCACTTGCAGATTCTAGAAAAAGAGGGTTTCAGAACTGCTCTGTCAAGAGAAAAGTTCAATTCTTGAAGTGGAACACAAACATCACAAAGCAGTTTCCGAGAATGCTTCCTGTTTATTTTTTCTGTGAAGATGAACCCGTTTCCAACGAAATCTTCACAGAGGTCCTCATATCCACTTGCAGAATCCAAAGAAAGAGAGTTTCAAAACTGCTCCATCAACAGGATTGTTCACCTCTGTGAGTTGAATGCAGTCATCACAGGAAACATTCTGAGAATGCTTCTGTCTAGGTTTGATGTGAAGATATACCCGTTTCGAAGGAAGGCCACAAAGTGGTCCAAATATCCACTTGCAGATTCTACAAAAAGAGTGTTTGAAAGCTGAACTATGAAAGCAAGGTTCAACTCTGTGAGTTGAATGCAAACATCACAAAGAAGATTCTCACAATGCTTCCGTGTAGTTCTGGGAAGTTTATCCCGTTTCCAACGAAATCCTCAGAGAGGTCCAAATATCCACTTGCAGATTCTACAGAAAGTGTGTTTGGAAACTGCGCCATCTAAAGGAATGTTCAGCTCTGTTAGTTCAATCCAATGATCACTAAGAATTGTCTGTGAATGCTTCCGTTTGGTTTTTAGATGAAGTTATTTCCTTTACTACAGTAGGCCTCAAAGCAGTCCAAATCTCCAATCGCAGATTCTACAAAAGATTGTTTACAACCTGCTCTATCTATAGGAATGTTCAACTCTGTGAGTCGAATGCAATCATCACAAAGTAGTTTCTGAGAATGCTTCCATCTAGTTTTTATGTGAAGAGTTTCCTTTTCCACCACAGGCCTCAAAGCCCTCCAAATGACCACTTGCAGATTCTAGAAAAAGAGGGTTTCAGAGCTGCTCTGTCAAGAGGAAAGTTCAATTCTTGAAGTGGAACACAAACATCACAAAGCAGTTTCTCAGAATGCTTCTGTTTAGTTTTTCTGTGAAGATGAACCCGTTTCCAACGAAATCTTCACAGAGTTCCACATATCAACTTGCAGAATCCAAAGAAAGAGAGTTTCAAAACTGCTCCATCAACAGGATTGTTCACCTCTGTGAGTTGAATGCAGTCATCACAGGAAACATTCTGAGAATGCTTCTGTCTAGGTTTGATGTGAAGATATACCCGTTTCGAAGGAAGGCCACAAAGTGGTCCAAATATCCACTTGCAGATTCTATAAAAAGAGTGTTTGAAAGCTGAACTATGAAAGCAAGGTTCAACTCTGTGAGTTGAATGCAAACATCACAAAGAAGTTTCTCACAATGCTTCCGTGTAGTTCTGGGAAGTTTATCCCGTTTCCAACGAAATCCTCAGAGAAGTCCAAATATCCACTTGCAGATTCTACAGAAAGTGTGTTTGGAAACTGCTCCATCTAAAGGAATGTTCAGCTCTGTTAGTTCAATGCAATGATCACTAAGAATTGTCTGTGAATGCTTCCGTTTGGTTTTTAGATGAAGTTATTTCCTTTACTACAGAAGGCCTCAAAGCAGTCCAAATCTCCAATCGCAGATTCTACAAAAAGATTGTTTACAACCTGCTCTATCTATAGGAATGTTCAACTCTGTGAGTCGAATGCAATCATCACAAAGTAGTTTCTGAGAATGCTTCCATCTAGTTTTTATGTGAAGATTTTCCTTTTCCACCACAGACCTCAAAGCCCTCCAAATGTCCACGTGCAGATTCTAGAAAAAGAGGGTTTCAGAGCTGCTCTGTCAAGAGGAAAGTTCAATTCTTGAAGTGGAACACAAACATCACAAAGCAGTTTCTGAGAATGCTTCTGTTTAGGTTTTCTGTGAAGATAAACCCGTTTCCAACGAAATCTTCACAGAGGTCCACATATCCTCTTGCAGAATCCAAAGAAAGAGAGTTTCAAAACTGCTCCATCAGCAGGATTGTTCACCTCTGTGAGTTGAATGCAGTCATCACAGGAAACATTCTGAGAATGCTTCTGTCTAGGTTTGATGTGAAGATATACCCTTTTCGAAGGAAGGCCACAAAGTGGTCCAAATATCCACTTGCAGATTCTACAAAAAGAGTGTTTGAAAGCTGAACTATGAAAGCAAGGTGCAAATCCTGTGAGTTGAATGCAAACATCACAAAGAAGTTTCTCAGAATGCTTTCCGTGTAGTTCTGGGAAGTTTATCCCGTTTCCAACGAAATCCTCAGAGAAGTCCAAATATCCACTTGCAGATTCTACAGAAAGTGTGTTTGGAAACTGCTCCATCTAAAGGAATGTTCAGCTCTGTTAGTTCAATCCAATGATCACTAAGCATTGTCTGTGAATGCTTCCGTTTGGTTTTTAGATGAAGTTATTTCCTTTACTACAGTAGGCCTCAAAGCAGTCCAAATCTCCAATCGCAGATTCTACAAAAAGATTGTTTACAACCTGCTCTATCTATAGGAATGTTCAACTCTGTGAGTCGAATGCAATCATCACAAAGTAGTTTCTGAGAATGCTTCCATCTAGTTTTTATGTGAAGATTTTCCTTTTCCACCACAGGCCTCAAAGCCCTCCAAATGTCCACTTGCAGATTCTAGAAAAAGAGGGTTTCAGAGCTGCTCTGTCAAGAGGAAAGTTCAATTCTTGAAGTGGAACACAAACATCACAAAGCAGTTTCTGAGAATGTTTCTGTTTAGTTTTTCTGTGAAGATGAACCCGTTTCCAACGAAATCTTCACAGAGGTCCACATATCCACTTGCAGAATCCAAAGAAAGAGAGTTTCAAAACTGTTCCATCAGCAGGATTGTTCACCTCTGTGAGTTGAATGCAGTCATCACAGGAAACATTCTGAGAATGCTTCTGTCTAGGTTTGATGTGAAGATATACCCGTTTCGAAGGAAGGCCACAAAGTGGTCCAAATATCCACTTGCAGATTCTACAAAAAGAGTGTTTGAAAGCTGAACTATGAAAGCAAGGTTCAACTCTGTGAGTTGAATGCAAACATCACAAAGAAGTTTCTCACAATGCTTCCGTGTAGTTCTGGGAAGTTTATCCCGTTTCCAACGAAATCCTCAGAGAAGTCCAAATATCCACTTGCAGATTCTACAGAAAGTGGGTTTGGAAACTGCTCCATCTAAAGGAATGTTCAGCTCTGTTAGTTCAATCCAATGATCACTAAGAATTGTCTGTGAATGCTTCCGTTTGGTTTTTAGATGAAGTTATTTCCTTTACTACAGTAGGCCTCAAAGCAGTCCAAATTTCCAATCGCAGATTCTACAAAAAGATTGTTTACAACCTGCTCTATCTATAGGAATGTTCAACTCTGTGAGTCGAATGCAATCATCACAAAGTAGTTTCTGAGAATGCTTCCATCTAGTTTTTATGTGAAGATTTTCCTTTTCCACCACAGGACTCAAAGCCCTCCAAATGTCCACTTGCAGATTCTAGAATAAGAGGGTTTCAGAGCTGCTATGTCAAGAGGAAAGTTCAATTCTTGAAGTGGAAAACAAACATCACAAAGCAGTTTCTGAGAATGCTTCTGTTTAGTTTTTCTGTGAAGATAAACCCGTTTCCAACGAAATCTTCACAGAGGTCCACATATCCACTTGCAGAATCCAAAGAAAGAGAGTTTCAAAACTGCTCCATCAGCAGGATTTTTCACCTCTGTGAGTTGAATGCAGTCATCACAGGAAACATTCTGAGAATGCTTCTGTCTAGGTTTGATGTTTAGATATACCCGTTTCGAAGGAAGGCCACAAAGTGGTCCAAATATCCACTTGCAGATCCTACAAAAAGAGTGTTTGAAAGCTGAACTATGAAAGCAAGGTTCAACTCTGTGAGTTGAATGCAAACATCACAAAGAATTTTCTCAGAATGCTTCCGTGTAGTTCTGGGAAGTTTATCCCTTTTCCAACGAAATCCTCAGAGAGGTCCAAATATCCACTTGCAGATTCTACAGAAAGTGTGTTTGGAAACTGCTCCATCTAAAGGAATGTTCAGCTCTGTTAGTTCAATCCAATGATCACTAAGAATTGTCTGTGAATGCTTCCGTTTGGTTTTTAGATGAAGTTATTTCCTTTACTACAGTAGGCCTCAAAGCAATCCAAATCTCCAATCGCAGATTCTACAAAAACATTGTTTACAACCTGCTCTATCTATAGGAATGTTCAACTCTGTGAGTCGAATGCAATCATCACAAAGTAGTTTCTGAGAATGCTTCCATCTAGTTTTTATGTGAAGATTTTCCTTTTCCACCACAGGCCTCAAAGCCCTCCAAATGTCCACTTGCAGATTCTAGAAAAAGAGGGTTTCAGAGCTGCTCTGTCAAGAGGAAAGTTCAATTCTTGAAGTGGAACACAAACATCACAAAGCAGTTTCTGAGAATGTTTCTGTTTAGTTTTTCTGTGAAGATGAACCCGTTTCCAACGAAATCTTCACAGAGGTCCACATATCCACTTGCAGAATCCAAAGAAAGAGAGTTTCAAAACTGCTCCATCAGCAGGATTGTTCACCTCTGTGAGTTGAATGCAGTCATCACAGGAAACATTCTGAGAATGCTTCTGTCTAGGTTTGATGTGAAGATATACCCGTTTCGAAGGAAGGCCACAAAGTGGTCCAAATATCCACTTGCAGATTCTACAAAAAGAGTGTTTGAAAGCTGAACTATGAAAGCAAGGTTCAACTCTGTGAGTTGAATGCAAACATCACAAAGAA
This sequence comes from Homo sapiens, assembly GCF_000001405.40. Lineage (NCBI taxonomy): Eukaryota > Metazoa > Chordata > Mammalia > Primates > Hominidae > Homo > Homo sapiens. Next base: position 52,773,575 of record NC_000011.10, on the reverse strand, counting down.
GTTTCTCAGAATGCTTCCGTGTAGTTCTGGGAAGTTTATCCCGTTTCCAACGAAATCCTCAGAGAAGTCCAAATATCCACTTGCAGATTCTACAGAAAGTGTGTTTGGAAACTGCTCTATCTAAGGGAATGTTCAGCTCTGTTTGTTCAATCCAATGATCACTAAGAATTGTCTGTGAATGCTTCCGTTTGGTTTTTACATGAAGTTATTTCCTTTACTACAGTAGGCCTCAAAGCACTCCAAATCTCCAATCGCAGATTCTACAAAAAGATTGTTTACAACCTGCTCTATCTATAGGAATGTTCAACTCTATGAGTCGAATGCAATCATCACAAAGTAGTTTCTGAGAATGCTTCCATCTAGTTTTTATGTGAAGATTTTCCTTTTCCACCACAGGCCTCAAAGCCCTCCAAATGTCCACTTGCAGATTCTAGAAAAAGAGGGTTTCAGAGCTGCTCTGTCAAGAGGAAAGTTCAATTCTTGAAGTGGAAAACAAACATCACAAAGCAGTTTCTGAGAATGCTCCTGTTTAGTTTTTCTGTGAAGATGAACCCGTTTCCAACGAAATCTTCACAGAGGTCCACATATCCACTTGCAGAATCCAAAGAAAGAGAGTTTCAAAACTGCTCCATCAGCAGGATTGTTCACCTCTGTGAGTTGAATGCAGTCATCACAGGAAACATTCTGAGAATGCTTCTGTCTAGGTTTGATGTGAAGATATACCCGTTTCGAAGGAAGGCCACAAAGTGGTCCAAATATCCACTTGCAGATTCTACAAAAAGAGTGTTTGAAAGCTGAACTATGAAAGCAAGGTTCAACTCTGTGAGTTGAATGCAAACATCACAAAGAAGTTTCTCAGAATGCTTCCGTGTAGTTCTGGGAAGTTTATCCCGTTTCCAACGAAATCCTCAGAGAAGTCCAAATATCCACTTGCAGATTCTACAGAAAGTGTGTTTGGAAACTGCGCCATCTAAAGGAATGTTCAGCTCTGTTAGTTCAATGCAATGATCACTAAGAATTGTCTGTGAATGCTTCCGTTTGGTTTTTAGATGAAGTTATTTCCTTTACTACAGTAGGCCTCAAAGCAGTCCAAATCTCCAATCGCAGATTCTACAAAAAGATTGTTTACAACCTGCTCTATCTATAGGAATGTTCAACTCTGTGAGTCGAATGCAATCATCACAAAGTAGTTTCTGAGAATGCTTCCATCTAGTTTTTATGTGAAGATTTTCCTTTTCCACCACAGGCCTCAAAGCCCTCGAAATGTCCACTTGCAGATTCTAGAAAAAGAGGGTTTCAGAGCTGCTCTGTCAAGAGGAAAGTTCAATTCTTGAAGTGGAACACAAACATCACAAAGCAGTTTCTGAGAATGATTCTGTTTACTTTTTATGTGAAGAGGAACCCGTTTCCAAGGAAATCTTCAAAGAGGTCCACATATCCACTTGCAGAATCCAAAGAAAGAGCGTTTCAAAACTGCTCCATCAGCAGGATTGTTCAACTCTGTGAGTTGAATGCAGTCATCACAGGAAACATTCTGAGAATGTTTCTGTCTAGGTTTGATGTGAAGATATACCCGTTTCGAAGGAAGGCCACAAAGTGGTCCAAATATCCACTTGCAGATTCTACAAAAAGAGTGTTTGAAAGCTGAACTATGAAAGCAAGGTTCAACTCTGTGAGTTGAATGCAAACATCACAAAGAAGTTTCTGACAATGCTTCCGTGTAGTTCTGGGAAGTTTATCCCGTTTCCAACGAAATCCTCAGAGAGGTCCAAATATCCACTTGCAGATTCTACAGAAAGTGTGTTTGGAAACTGCGCCATCTAAAGGAATGTTCAGCTCTGTTAGTTCAATGCAATGATCACTAAGAATTGTCTGTGAATGCTTCCGTTTGGTTTTTAGATGAAGTTATTTCCTTTACTACAGTAGGCCTCAAAGCAGTCCAAATCTCCAATCGCAGATTCTACAAAAAGATTGTTTACAACCTGCTCTATCTATAGGAATGTTGAACTCTGTGAGTCGAATGCAATCATCACAAAGTAGTTTCTGAGAATGCTTCCATCTAGTTTTTATGTGAAGATTTTCCTTTTCCACCACAGGCCTCAAAGCCCTCCAAATGTCCACTTGCAGATTCTAGAATAAGAGGGTTTCAGAGCTGCTCTGTCAAGAGGAAAGTTCAATTCCTGAAGTGGAACACAAACATCACAAAGCAGTTTCTGAGAATGCTCCTGTTTAGTTTTTCTATGAAGATGAACCCGTTTCCAACGAAATCTTCACAGAGGTCCACATATCCACTTGCAGAATCCAAAGAAAGAGAGTTTCAAAACTGCTCCATCAGCAGGATTGTTCACCTCTGTGAGTTGAATGCAGTCATCACAGGAAACATTCTGAGAATTCTTCTGTCTAGGTTTGATGTGAAGATGTACCCGTTTCAAAGGAAGGCCACAAAGTGGTCCAAATATCCACTTGCAGATTCTACAAAAAGAGTGTTTGAAAGCTGAACTATGAAAGCAAGGTTCAACTCTGTGAGTTGAATGCAAACATCACAAAGAAGTTTCTCACAATGCTTCCGTGTAGTTCTGGGAAGTTTATCCCGTTTCCAACGAAATCCTCAGAGAGGTCCAAATATCCACTTGCAGATTCTACAGAAAGTGTGTTTGGAAACTGCTCCATCTAAAGGAATGTTCAGCTCTGTTAGTTCAATGCAATGATCACTATGAATTGTCTGTGAATGCTTCCGTTTGATTTTTAGATGAAGTTATTTCCTTTACTACAGTAGGCCTCAAAGCAGTCCAAATCTCCAATCGCAGATTCTACAAAAAGATTGTTTACAACCTGCTCTATCTATAGGAATGTTCAACTCTGTGAGTCGAATGCAATCATCACAAAGTAGTTTCTGAGAATGCTTCCATCTAGTTTTTATGTGAAGATTTTCCTTTTCCACCACAGGCCTCAAAGCCCTCCAAATGTCCACTTGCAGATTCTAGAAAAAGAGGGTTTCAGAGCTGCTCTGTCAAGAGGAAAGTTCAATTCTTGAAGTGGAACACAAACATCACAAAGTAGTTTCTGAGAATGCTTCTGTTTAGTTTTTCTGTGAAGATGAACCCGTTTCCAACGAAATCTTCACAGAGGTCCACATATCCACTTGCAGAATCCAAAGAAAGAGAGTTTCAAAACTGCTCCATCAGCAGGATTGTTCACCTCTGTGAGTTGAATGCAGTCATCACAGGAAACATTCTGAGAATGCTTCTGTCTAGGTTTGATGTGAAGATATACCCGTTTCGAAGGAAGGCCACAAAGTGGTCCAAATATCCACTTGCAGATTCTACAAAAAGAGTGTTTGAAAGCTGAAGTATGAAAGCAAGGTTCAACTCTGTGAGTTGAATGCAAACATCACAAAGAAGTTTCTCAGAATGCTTCCCTGTAGTTCTGGGAAGTTTATCCCTTATCCAACGAAATCCTCAGATAAGTCCAAATATCCACTTGCAGATTCTACAGAAAGTGTGTTTGGAAACTGCTCCATCTAAAGGAATGTTCAGCTCTGTTAGTTCAATCCAATGATCACTAAGAATTGTCTGTGAATGCTTCCGTTTGGTTTTTAGATGAAGTTATTTCCTTTACTACAGTAGGCCTCAAAGCAGTCCAAATCTCCAATCGCAGATTCTACAAAAAGATTGTTTACAACCTGCTCTACCTATAGGAATGTTCAACTCTGTGAGTCGAATGCAATCATCACAAAGTAGTTTCTGAGAATGCTTCCATCTAGTTTTTATGTGAAGATTTTCCATTTCCACCACAGGCCTCAAAGCCCTCCAAATGTCCACTTGCAGATTCTAGAATAAGAGGGTTTCAGAGCTGCTCTGTCAAGAGGAAAGTACAATTCTTGAAGTGGAACACAAACATCACAAAGCAGTTTCTGAGAATGCTTCTGTTTAGTTTTTCTGTGAAGATGAACCCGTTTCCAACGAAATCTTCACAGAGGTCCACATATCCACTTGCAGAATCCAAAGAAAGAGAGTTTCAAAACTGCTCCATCAACAGGATTGTTCACCTCTGTGGGTTGAATGCAGTCATCACAGGAAACATTCTGAGAATGCTTCTGTCTAGGTTTGATGTGAAGATATACCCGTTTCGAAGGAAGGCCACAAAGTGGTCCAAATATCCACTTGCAGATTCTACAAAAAGAGTGTTTGAAAGCTGAACTATGAAAGCAAGGTTCAACTCTGTGAGTTGAATGCAAACATCACAAAGAAGTTTCTCAGAATGCTTCCCTGTAGTTCTGGGAAGCATATCCCGTTTCCAACGAAATCCTCAGAGAAGTCCAAATATCCACTTGCAGATTCTACAGAAAGTGGGTTTGGAAACTGCTCCATCTAAAGCAATGTTCAGCTCTGTTAGTTCAATCCAATGATCACTAAGAATTTTCTGTGAATGCTTCCGTTTGGTTTTTAGATGAAGTTATTTCCTTTACTACAGTAGGCCTCAAAGCAGTCCAAATCTCCAATCGCAGATTCTACAAAAAGATTGTTTACAACCTGCTCTATCTATAGGAATGTTCAACTATGTGAGTCGAATGCAATCATCACAAAGTAGTTTCTGAGAATGCTTCCATCTAGTTTTTATGTGAAGATTTTCCTTTTCCACCACAGGCCTCAAAGCCCTCCAAATGTCCACTTGCAGATTCTAGAAAAAGAGGGTTTCAGAGCTGCTCTGTCAAGAGGAAAGTTCAATTCTTGAATTGGAACACAAACATCACAAAGCAGTTTCTGAGAATGCTCCTGTTTAGTTTTTCTGTGAAGATGAACCCGTTTCCAACGAAATCTTCACAGAGGTCCACATATCCACTTGCTGAATCCAAAGAAAGAGAGTTTCAAAACTGCTCCATCAGCAGGATTGTTCACCTCTGTGAGTTGAATGCAGTCATCACAGGAAACATTCTGAGAATGCTTCTGTCTAGGTTTGATGTGAAGATATACCCGTTTCGAAGGAAGGCCACAAAGTGGTCCAAATATCCACTTGCAGATTCTACAAAAAGAGTGTTTGAAAGCTGAACTATGAAAGCAAGGTTCAACTCTGTGAGTTGAATGCAAACATCACAAAGAAGTTTCTCAGAATGCTTCCCTGTAGTTCTGGGAAGTTTATCCCGTTTCCAACGAAATCCTCAGAAAAGTCCAAATATCCACTTGCAGATTCTACAGAAAGTGTGTTTGGAAACTGCTCCATCTAAAGGAATGTTCAGCTCTGTTAGTTCAATGCAATGATCACTAAGAATTGTCTGTGAATGCTTCCGTTTGGTTTTTAGATGAAGTTATTTCCTTTACTACAGTAGGCCTCAAAGCAGTCCAAATCTCCAATCGCAGATTCCACAAAAAGATTGTTTACAACCTGCTCTATCTATAGAAATGTTCAACTCTGTGAGTCGAATGCAATCATCACAAAGTAGTTTCTGAGAATGCTTCTATCTAGGTTTTATGTGAAGATATTTCCTTTTCCACCACAGGCCTCAAAGCCCTCCAAATGTCCACTTGCAGATTCTAGAAAAAGAGGGTTTCAGAGCTGTTCTGTCAAGAGGAAAGTTCAATTCTTGAAGTGGAACACAAACATCACAAAGCAGTTTCTGAGAATGCTCCTGTTTAGTTTTTCTGTGAAGATGAACCCGTTTCCAACGAAATCTTCACAGAGGTCCACATATCCACTTGCAGAATCCAAAGAAAGAGAGTTTCAAAACTGCTCCATCAGCAGGATTGTTCACCTCTGTGAGTTGAATGCAGTCATCACAGGAAACATTCCGAGAATGCTTCTGTCTAGGTTTGATGTGAAGATATACCCGTTTCCAAGGAAGGCCACAAAGTGGTCCAAATATCCACTTGCAGATTCTACAAAAGGAGTGTTTGAAAGCTGAACTATGAAAGCAAGGTTCAACTCTGTGAGTTGAATGCAAACATCACAAAGAAGTTTCTCACAATGCTTCCCTGTAGTTCTGGAAAGTTTATCCCGTTTCCAACGAAATCCTCAGAGAAGTCCAAATATCCACTTGCAGATTCTACAGAAAGTGGGTTTGGAAACTGCTCCATCTAAAGGAATGTTCAGCTCTGTTAGTTCAATCCAATGATCACTAAGAATTGTCTGTGAATGCTTCCGTTTGGTTTTTAGATGAAGTTATTTCCTTTACTACAGTAGGCCTCAAAGCAGTCCAAATCTCCAATCGCAGATTCTACAAAAAGATTGTTTACAACCTGCTCTATCTATAGGAATGTTCAACTCTGTGAGTCGAATGCAATCATCACAAAGTAGTTTCTGAGAATGCTTCCATCTAGTTTTTATGGGAAGATTTTCCTTTTCCACCACAGGCCTCAAAGCCCTCCAAATGTCCACTTGCAGATTCTAGAAAAAGAGGGTTTCAGAGCTGCTCTTTCAAGAGGAAAGTTCAATTCCTGAAGAGGAAGACAAACATCACAAAGCTGTTTCTGAGAATGCTCCTGTTTAGTTTTTCTGTTAAGATGAACCCGTTTCCAACGAAATCTTCACAGAGTTCCACATATCCACTTGCAGAATCCAAAGAAAGGGAGTTTCAAAACGGCTCCATCAACAGGATTGTTCACCTCTGTGAGTTGAATGCAGTCATCACAGGAAACATTCTGAGAATGCTTCTGTCTAGGTTTGATGTGAAGATATACCCGTTTCGAAGGAAGGCCACAAAGTGGTCCAAATATCCACTTGCAGATTCTACAAAAAGAGTGTTTGAAAGCTGAACTATGAAAGCAAGGTTCAACTCTGTGAGTTGAATGCAAACATCACAAAGAAGTTTCTCAGAATGCTTCCGTGTAGTTCTGGGAAGTTTATCCCGTTTCCAACGAAATCCTCAGAGAAGTCCAAATATCCACTTGCAGATTCTACAGAAAGTGTGTTTGGAAAATGCTCCATCTAAAGGAATGTTCAGCTCTGTTAGTTCAATGCAATGATCACTAAGAATTGTACTGTGAATGCTTCCGTTTGGTTTTTAGATGAAGTTATTTCCTTTACTACAGTAGGCCTCAAAGCAGTCCAAATCTCCAATCGCAGATTCTACAAAAAGATTGTTTACAACCTGCTCTATCTATAGGAATGTTCAACTCTGTGAGTCGAATGCAATCATCACAAAGTAGTTTCTGAGAATGCTTCCAACTAGTTTTTATGTGAAGATTTTCCTTTTCCACCACAGGCCTTAAAGGCCTCCAAACGTCCACTTGCAGATTCTAGAAAAAGAGGGTTTCAGAGCTGCTCTGTCAAGAGGAAAGTTCAATTCCTGAAGTGGAACACAAACATCACAAAGCAGTTTCTGAGAATGCTTCTGTTTAGTTTTTCTGTGAAGATGAACCCGTTTCCATCGAAATCTTCACAGAGGTCCACATATCCACTTGCAGAATCCAAAGAAAGAGAGTTTCAAAACTGCTCCATCAGCAGGATTGCTCACCTCTGTGAGTTGAATGCAGTCATCACAGGAAACATTCTGAGAATGCTTCTGTCTAGGTTTGATGTGAAGATATACCCGTTTCGAAGGAAGGCCACAAAGTGGTCCAAATATCCACTTGCAGATTCTACAAAAAGAGTGTTTGAAAGCTGAACTATGAAAGCAAGGTTCAACTCTGTGAGTTGAATGCAAACATCACAAAGAAGTTTCTCAGAATGCTTCCGTGTAGTTCTGGGAAGTTTATCCCGTTTCCAACGAAATCCTGAGAGAAGTCCAAATATCCACTTGCAGATTCTACAGAAAGTGTGTTTGGAAACTGCTCCATCTAAAGGAATGTTCAGCTCTGTTAGTTCAATGCAATGATCACTAAGAATTGTCTGTGAATGCTTCCGTTTGGTTTTTAGATGAAGTTATTTCCTTTACTACAGTAGGCCTCAAAGCAGTCCAAATCTCCAATCGCAGATTCTACAAAAAGATTGTTTACAACCTGCTCTATCTATAGGAATGTTCAACTCTGTGAGTCGAATGCAATCATCACAAAGTAGTTTCTGAGAATGCTTCCATCTAGTTTTTATGTGAAGATTTTCCTTTTCCACCACAGGCCTCAAAGCCCTCCAAATGTCCACTTGCAGATTCTAGAATAAGAGGGTTTTAGAGCTGCTCTGTCAAGAGGAAAGTTCAATTCCTGAAGTGGAACACAAACATCACAAAGCAGTTTCTGAGAATGCTTCTGTTTAGTTTTTCTGTGAAGATGAACCCGTTTTCAACGAAATCTTCACAGAGGTCCACATATCCACTTGCAGAATCCAAAGAAAGAGAGTTTCAAAACTGCTCCATCAGCAGGATTGTTCACCTCTGTGAGTTGAATGCAGTCATCACAGGAAACATTCTGAGAATGCTTCTGTCTAGGTTTGATGTGAAGATATACCCGTTTCGAAGGAAGGCCACAAAGTGGTCCAAATATCCACTTGCAGATTCTACAAAAAGAGTGTTTGAAAGCTGAACTATGAAAGCAAGGTTCAACTCTGTGAGTTGAATGCAAACATCACAAAGAAGTTTCTCAGAATGCTTCCGTGTAGTTCTGGGAAGTTTATCCTGTTTCCAACGAAATCCTCAGAGAGGTCCAAATATCCAGTTGCAGATTCTACAGAAAGTGTGTCTGGAAACTGCGCCATCTAAAGGAATGTTCAGCTCTGTTAGTTCAATCCAATGATCACTAAGAATTGTCTGTGAATGCTTCCGTTTGGTTTTTAGATGAAGTTATTTCCTTTACTACAGTAGGCCTCAAAGCAGTCCAAATCTCCAATCGCAGATTCTACAAAAAGATTGTTTACAACCTGCTCTATCTATAGGAATGTTCAACTGTGTGAGTCGAATGCAATCATCACAAAGTAGTTTCTGAGAATGCTTCCATCTAGTTTTTATGTGAAGATTTTCCTTTTCCACCACAGGCCTCAAAGCCCTCCAAATGTCCACTTGCAGATTCTAGAAAAAGAGGGTTTCAGAGCTGCTCTGTCAAGAGGAAAGTTCAATTCTTGAAGTGGAACACAAACATCACAAAGCAGTTTCTGAGAATGCTTCTGTTTAGTTTTTCTGTGAAGATGAACCCGTTTCCAACGAAATCTTCACAGAGGTCCCCATATCAACTTGCAGAATCCAAAGAAAGAGAGTTTCAAAAGTGCTACATCAACAGGATTGTTCACCTCCGTGAGTTGAATGCAGTCATCACAGGAAACATTCTGAGAATGCTTCTGTCAAGGTTTGATGTGAAGATATACCCGTTTCGAAGGAAGGCCACAAAGTGGTCCAAATATCCACTTGCAGATTCTACAAAAAGAGTGTTTGAAAGCTGAACTATGAAAGCAAGGTTCAACTCTGTGAGTTGAATGCAAACTTCACAAAGAAGTTTCTCCCAATGCTTCCGTGTAGTTCTGGGAAGTTTATCCCGTTTCCAACGAAATCCTCAGAGAAGTCCAAATATCCACTTGCAGATTCTACAGAAAGTGTGTTTGGAAACTGCTCCATCTAAAGGAATGTTCAGCTCTGTTAGTTCAGTGCAATGATCACTAAGAATTGTCTGTGAATGCTTCCGTTTGGTTTTTAGATGAAGTTATTTCCTTTACTACAGTAGGCCTCAAAGCAGTCCAAATCTCCAATCGCAGATTCTACAAAAAGATTGTTTACAACCTGCTCTATCTATAGGAATGTTCAACTCTGTGAGTCGAATGCAATCATCACAAAGTAGTTTCTGAGAATGCTTCCATCTAGTTTTTATGTGAAGATTTTCCTTTTCCACCACAGGCCTCAAAGCCCTCCAAATGTCCACTTGCAGATTCTAGAATAAGAGGGTTTCAGAGCTGCTCTGTCAAGAGGAAAGTTCAATTCCTGAAGTGGAACACAAACATCACAAAGCAGTTTCTGAGAATGCTTCTGTTTAGTTTTTCTGTGAAGATGAACCCGTTTCCAACGAAATCTTCACAGAGGTCCACATATCAACTTGCAGAATCCAAAGAAAGAGAGTTTCAAAACTGCTCCATCAACAGGATTGTTCACCTCTGTGAGTTGAATGCAGTCATCACAGGAAACATTCTGAGAATGCTTTCTGTGTAGGTTTGATGTGAAGATATACCCGTTTCGAAGGAAGGCCACAAAGTGGTCCAAATATCCACTTGCAGATTCTACAAAAAGAGTGTTTGAAAGCTGAACTATGAAAGCAAGGTTCAACTCTGTGAGTTGAATGCAAACATCACAAAGAAGTTTCTCAGAATGCTTCCGTGTAGTTCTGGGAAGTTTATCCCGTTTCCAAAGAAATCCTCAGAGAAGTCCAAATATCCACTTGCAGATTCTACAGAAAGTGTGTTTGGAAACTGCTCCATCTAAAGGAATGTTCAGCTCTGTTAGTTCAATCCAATGATCACTAAGAATTGTCTGTGAATGCTTCCGTTTCGTTTTTAGATGAAGTTATTTCCTTTACTACACTAGGCCTCAAAGCAGTCCAAATCTCCAATCGCAGATTCTACAAAAAGATTGTTTACAACCTGCTCTATCTATAGGAATGTTCAACTCTGTGAGTCGAATGCAATCATCACAAAGTAGTTTCTGAGAATGCTTCCATCTAGTTTTTATGTGAAGATTTTCCTTTTCCACCACAGGCCTCAAAGCCCTCCAAATGTCCACTTGCAGATTCTAGAAAAAGAGGGTTTCAGAGCTGCTCTGTCAAGAGGAAAGTTCAATTCCTGAAGTGGAACACAAACATCACAAAGCAGTTTCTGAGAATGCTTCTGTTTAGTTTTTCTGTGAAGATGAACCCGTTTCCAACGAAATCTTCACAGAGGTCCACATATCCACTTGCAGAATCCAAAGAAAGAGAGTTTCAAAACTGCTCCATCAGCAGGATTGTTCACCTCTGTGAGTTGAATGCAGTCATCACAGGAAACATTCTGAGAATGCTTCTGTCTAGGTTTGATGTGAAGATATACCCGTTTCGAAGGAAGGCCACAAAGTGGTCCAAATATCCACTTGCAGATTCTACAAAAAGAGTGTTTGAAAGCTGAACTATGAAAGCAAGGTTCAACTCTGTGAGTTGAATGCAAACATCACAAAGAAGTTTACTCAGAATGCTTCCGTGTAGTTCTGGGAAGTTTATCCCGTTTCCAACGAAATCCTCAGAGAAGTCCAAATATCCACTTGCAGATTCTACAGAAATTGGGTTTGGAAACTGCTCCATCTAAAGGAATGTTCAGCTCTGTTAGTTCAATCCAATGATCACTAAGAATTGTCTGTGAATGCTTCCGTTTGGTTTTTAGATGAAGTTATTTCCTTTACTACAGTAGGCCTCAAAGCAGTCCAAATCTCCAATCGCAGATTCTACAAAAAGATTGTTTACAACCTGCTCTATGTATAGGAATGTTCAACTCTGTGAGTCGAATGCAATCATCACAAAGTAGTTTCTGAGAATGCTTCCATCTAGTTTTTATGTGAAGATTTTCCTTTTCCACCACAGGCCTCAAAGCCCTCCAAATGTCCACTTGCAGATTCTAGAAAAAGAGGGTTTCAGAGCTGCTCTGTCAAGAGGAAAGTTCAATTCTTGAAGTGGAACACAAACATCACAAAGCAGTTTCTGAGAATGCTCCTGTTTAGTTTTTCTGTGAAGATGAACCCGTTTCCAACGAAATCTTCACAGAGGTCCACATATCCACTTGCAGAATCCAAAGAAAGAGAGTTTCAAAACTGCTCCATCAGCAGGATTGTTCACCTCTGTGAGTTGAATGCAGTCATCACAGGAAACATTCTGAGAATGCTTCTGTCTAGGTTTGATGTGAAGATATACCCGTTTCGAACGAAGGCCACAAAGTGGTCCAAATATCCACTTGCAGATTCTACAAAAAGAGTGTTTGAAAGCTGAACTATGAAAGCAAGGTTCAACTCTGTGAGTTGAATGCAAACATCACAAAGAAGTTTCTCAGAATGCTTCCCTGTAGTTCTGGGAAGTTTATCCCGTTTCCAACGAAATCCTAAGAGAAGTCCAAATATCCACTTGCAGATTCTACAGAAAGTGGGTTTGGAAACTGCTCCATCTAAAGGAATGTTCAGCTCTGTTAGTTCAATCCAATGATCACTAAGAATTGTCTGTGAATGCTTCCGTTTGGTTTTTAGATGAAGTTATTTCCTTTACTACAGTAGGCCTCAAAGCAGTCCAAATCTCCAATCGCAGATTCTACAAAAAGATTGTTTACAACCTGCTCTATCTATAGGAATGTTCAACTCTGTGAGTCGAATGCAATCATCACAAAGTAGTTTCTGAGAATGCTTCCATCTAGTTTTATGTGAAGATTTTCCTTTTCCACCACAGGCCTCAAAGCCCTCCAAATGTCCACTTGCAGGTTCTAGAAAAAGAGGGTTTCAGAGCTGCTCTGTCAAGAGGAAAGTTCAATTCCTGAAGTGGAACACAAACATCATAAAGCAGTTTCTGAGAATACTCCTGTTTAGTTTTTCTGTGAAGATGAACCCGTTTCCAACGAAATCTTCACAGAGGTCCACATATCCACTTGCAGAATCCAAAGAAAGAGAGTTTCATAACTGCTCCATCAGCAGGATTGTTCACCTCTGTGAGTTGAATGCAGTCATCACAGGAAACATTCTGAGAATGCTTCTGTCTAGGTTTGATGTGAAGATATACCCGTTTCGAAGGAAGGCCACAAAGTGGTCCAAATATCCACTTGCAGATTCTACAAAAAGAGTGTTTGAAAGCTGAACTAGGAAAGCAAGGTTCAACTCTGTGAGTTGAATGCAAACATCACAAAGAAGTTTCTCACAATGCTTCCGTGTAGTTCTGGGAAGTTTATCCCGTTTCCAACGAAATCCTCAGAGAAGTCCAAATATCCCCTTGCAGATTCTACAGAAAGTGTGTTTGGAAACTGCGCCATCTAAAGGAATGTTCAGCTCTGTTAGTTCAATCCAATGATCACTAGGAATTGTCTGTGAATGCTTCCGTTTGGTTTTTAGATGAAGTTATTTCCTTTACTACAGTAGGCCTCAAAGCAGTCCAAATCTCCAATCGCAGATTCTTCAAAAAGATTGTTTACAACCTGCTCTATCTATAGGAATGTTCAACTCTGTGAGTCGAATGCAATCATCACAAAGTAGTTTCTGAGAATGCTTCCATCTAGTTTTTATGTGAAGATTTTCCTTTTCCACCACAGGCCTCAAAGCCCTCCAAATGTCCACTTGCAGATTCTAGAATAAGAGGGTTTCAGAGCTGCTCTGTCAAGAGGAAAGTTCAATTCCTGAAGTGGAACACAAACATCACAAAGCAGTTTCCGAGAATGCTTCTGTTTAGTTTTTCTGTGAAGATGAACCCGTATCCAACGAAATCTTCACAGAGGTCCACATATCCACTTGCAGAATCCAAAGAAAGAGAGTTTCAAAACTGCTCCATCAGCAGGATTGTTCACCTCTGTGAGTTGAATGCAGTCATCACAGGAAACATTCTGAGAATGCTTCTGTCTAGGTTTGATGTGAAGATATACCCGTTTCGAAGGAAGGCCACAAAGTGGTCCAAATATCCACTTGCAGATTCTACAAAAAGAGTGTTTGAAAGCTGAACTATGAAAGCAAGGTTCAACTCTGTGAGTTGAATGCAAACATCACAAAGAAGTTTCTCAGAATGCTTCCGTGTAGTTCTGGGAAGTTTATCCCGTTTCCAACGAAATCCTCAGAGAAGTCCAAATATCCACTTGCAGATTCTACAGAAAGTGTGTTTGGAAACTGCGCCATCTAAAGGAATGTTCAGCTCTGTTAGTTCAATGCAATGATCACTAAGAATTGTCTGTGAATGCTTCCGTTTGGTTTTTAGATGAAGTTATTTCCTTTACTACAGTAGGCCTCAAAGCAGTCCAAATCTCCAATCGCAGATTCTACAAAAAGATTGTTTACAACCTGCTCTATCTATAGGAATGTTCAACTCTGTGAGTCGAATGCAATCATCACAAAGTAGTTTCTGAGAATGCTTCCATCTAGTTTTTATGTGAAGATTTTCCTTTTCCACCACAGGCCTCAAAGCCCTCCAAATGTCCACTTGCAGATTCTAGAATAAGAGGGTTTCAGAGCTGCTCTGTCAAGAGGAAAGTTCAATTCCTGAAGTGGAACACAAACATCACAAAGCAGTTTCTGAGAATGCTTCTGTTTAGTTTTTCTGTGAAGATGAACCCGTTTCCAACGAAATCTTCACACAGGTCCACATATCCACTTGCAGAATCCAAAGAAAGAGAGTTTCAAAACTGCTCCATCAGCAGGATTGTTCACCTCTGTGAGTTGAATGCAGTCATCACAGGAAACATTCTGAGAATGCTTCTGTCTAGGTTTGATGTGAAGATATACCCGTTTCGAAGGAAGGCCACAAAGTGGTCCAAATATCCACTTGCAGATTCTACAAAAAGAGTGTTTGAAAGCTGAACTATGAAAGCAAGGTTCAACTCTGTGAGTTGAATGCAAACATCACAAAGAAGTTTCTCAGAATGCTTCCCTGTAGTTCTGGGAAGTTTATCCCTTATCCAACGAAATCCTCAGATAAGTCCAAATATCCACTTGCAGATTCTACAGAAAGTGTGTTTGGAAACTGCTCCATCTAAAGGAATGTTCAGCTCTGTTAGTTCAATCCAATGATCACTAAGAATTGTCTGTGAATGCTTCCGTTTGGTTTTTAGATGAAGTTATTTCCTTTACTACAGTAGGCCTCAAAGCAGTCCAAATCTCCAATCGCAGATTCTACAAAAAGATTGTTTACAACCTGCTCTATGTATAGGAATGTTCAACTCTGTGAGTCGAATGCAATCATCACAAAGTAGTTTCTGAGAATGCTTCCATCTAGTTTTTATGTGAAGATTTTCCTTTTCCACCACAGGCCTCAAAGCCCTCCAAATGTCCACTTGCAGATTCTAGAAAAAGAGGGTTTCAGAGCTGCTCTGTCAAGAGGAAAGTTCAATTCTTGAAGTGGAACACAAACATCACAAAGCAGTTTCTGAGAATGTTTCTGTTTAGTTTTTCTGTGAAGATGAACCCGTTTCCAACGAAATCTTCACAGAGGTCCACATATCCACTTGCAGAATCCAAAGAAAGAGAGTTTCAAAACTGCTCCATCAGCAGGATTGTTCACCTCTGTGAGTTGAATGCAGTCATCACAGGAAACATTCTGAGAATGCTTCTGTCTAGGTTTGATGTGAAGATATACCCGTTTCGAAGGAAGGCCACAAAGTGGTCCAAATATCCACTTGCAGATTCTACAAAAAGAGTGTTTGAAAGCTGAACTATGAAAGCAAGGTTCAACTCTGTGAGTTGAATGCAAACATCACAAAGAAGTTTCTCAGAATACTTCCGTGTAGTTCTGGGAAGTTTATCCCGTTTCCAACGAAATCCTCAGAGAGGTCCAAATATCCACTTGCAGATTCTACAGAAAGTGGGTTTGGAAACTGCGCCATCTAAAGGAATGTTCAGCTCTGTTAGTTCAATCCAATGATCACTAAGAATTGTCTGTGAATGCTTCCGTTTGGTTTTTAGATGAAGTTATTTCCTTTACTACAGTAGGCCTCAAAGCAGTCCAAATCTCCAATCGCAGATTCTACAAAAAGATTGTTTACAACCTGCTCTATCTATAGGAATGTTCAACTCTGTGAGTCGAATGCAATCATCACAAAGTAGTTTCTGAGAATGCTTCCATCTAGTTTTTATGTGAAGATTTTCCTTTTCCACCACAGGCCTCAAAGCCCTCCAAATGTCCACTTGCAGATTCTAGAATAAGAGGGTTTCAGAGCTGCTCTGTCAAGAGGAAAGTTCAATTCCTGAAGTGGAACACAAACATCACAAAGCAGTTTCTGAGAATGCTCCTGTTTAGTTTTTCTGTGAAGATGAACCCGTTTCCAACGAAATCTTCACAGAGGTCCACATATCCACTTGCAGAATCCAAACAAAGAGAGTTTCAAAACTGCTCCATCAGCAGGATTGTTCACCTCTGTGAGTTGAATGCAGTCATCACAGGAAACATTCTGAGAATGCTTCAGTCTAGGTTTGATGTGAAGATATACCCGTTTCGAAGGAAGGCAACAAAGTGGTCCAAATATCCAATTGCAGATTCTACAAAAAGAGTGTTTGAAAGCTGAACTATGAAAGCAAGTTTCAACTCTCTGAGTTGAATGCAAACATCACAAAGAAGTTTCTGAGAATGCTTCCGTGTAGTTCTGGGAAGTTTATCCCGTTTCCAACGAAATCCTCAGAGAAGTCCAAATATCCACTTGCAGATTCTACAGAAAGTGGGTTTGGAAACTGCTCCATCTAAAGGAATGTTCAGCTCTGTTAGTTCAATCCAATGATCACTAAGAATTGTCTGTGAATGCTTCCGTTTGGTTTTTAGATGAAGTTATTTCCTTTACTACAGTAGGCCTCAAAGCAGTCCAAATCTCCAATCGCAGATTCTACAAAAAGATTGTTTACAACCTGCTCTATCTATAGGAATGTTCAACTCTGTGAGTCGAAAGCCATCATCACAAAGTAGTTTCTGAGAATGCTTCCATCTAGTTTTTATGGGAAGATTTTCCTTTTCCACCACAGGCCTCAAAGCCCTCCAAATGTCCACTTGCAGATTCTAGAAAAAGAGGGTTTCAGAGCTGCTCTGTCAAGAGGAAAGTTCAATTCTTGAAGTGGAACACAAACATCACAAAGCAGTTTCTGAGAATGCTTCTGTTTAGTTTTTCTGTGAAGATGAACCCGTTTCCAACGAAATGTTCACAGAGGTCCACATATCCACTTGCAGAATCCAAAGAAAGAGAGTTTCAAAACTGCTCCATCAACAGGATTGTTCACCTCTGTGAGTTGAATGCAGTCATCACAGAAAACATTCTGAGAATGCTTCTGTCTAGGTTTGATGTGAAGATATACCCGTTTCGAAGGAAGGCCACAAAGTGGTCCAAATATCCACTTGCAGATTCTACAAAAAGAGTGTTTGAAAGCTGAACTATGAAAGCAAGGTTCAACTCTGTGAGTTGAATGCAAACATCACAAAGAAGTTTCTCAGAATGCTTCCCTGTAGTTCTGGGAAGTTTATCCCGTTTCCAACGAAATCCTCAGAGAAGTCCAAATATCCACTTGCAGATTCTACAGAAAGTGGGTTTGGAAACTGCGCCATCTAAAGGAATGTTCAGCTCTGTTAGTTCAATCCAATGATCACTAAGAATTCTCTGTGAATGCTTCCGTTTGGTTTTTAGATGAAGTTATTTCCTTTACTACAGTAGGCCTCAAAGCAGTCCAAATCTCCAATCGCAGATTCTACAAAAAGATTGTTTTCAACCTGCTCTATCTATAGGAATGTTCAACTCTGTGAGTCGAATGCAATCATCACAAAGTAGTTTCTGAGAATGCTTCCATCTAGTTTTTATGGGAAGATTTTCCTTTTCCACCACAGGCCTCAAAGCCCTCCAAATGTCCACTTGCAGATTCTAGAAAAAGAGGGTTTCAGAGCTGCTCTGTCAAGAGGAAAGTTCAATTCTTGAAGTGGAACACAAACATCACAAAGCAGTTTCTGAGAATGCTCCTGTTTAGTTTTTCTGTGAAGATGAACACGTTTCCAACGAAATCTTCACAGAGGTCCACATATCCACTTGCAGAATCCAAAGAAAGAGAGTTTCAAAACTGCTCCATCAGCAGGATTGTTCACCTCTGTGAGTTGAATGCAGTCATCACAGGAAACATTCTGAGAATGCTTCTGTCTAGGTTTGAAGTGAAGATATACCCGTTTCGAAGGAAGGCCACAAAGTGGTCCAAATATCCACTTGCAGATTCTACAAAAAGAGTGTTTGAAAGCTGAACTATGAAAGCAAGGTTCAACTCTGTGAGTTGAATGCAAACATCACAAAGAAGTTTCTCAGCATGCTTCCGTGTAGTTCTGGGAAGTTTATCCCGTTTCCAACGAAATCCTCAGAGAGGTCCAAATATCCACTTGCAGATTCTACAGAAAGTGTGTTTGGAAACTGCTCCATCTAAAGGAATGTTCAGCTCTGTTAGTTCAATCCAATGATCACTAAGAATTGTCTGTGAATGCTTCCGTTTGGTTTTTAGATGAAGTTATTTCCTTTACTACAGTAGGCCTCAAAGCAGTCCAAATCTCCAATCGCAGATTCTACAAAAAGATTGTTTACAACCTGCTCTATCTATAGGAATGTTCAACTCTGTGAGTCGAATGCAATCATCACAAAGTAGTTTCTGAGAATGCTTCCATCTAGTTTTTATGTGAAGATTTTCCTTTTCCACCACAGGCCTCAAAGCCCTCCAAATGTCCACTTGCAGATTCTAGAAAAAGAGGGTTTCAGAGCTGCTCTGTCAAGAGGAAAGTTCAATTCCTGAAGTGGAACACAAACATCACAAAGCAGTTTCTGAGAATGCTCCTGTTTAGTTTTTCTGTGAAGATGAACCCGTTTCCAACGAAATCTTCACAGAGGTCCACATATCCACTTGCAGAATCCAAAGAAAGAGAGTTTCAAAACTGCTCCAACAGCAGGATTGTTCACCTCTGTGAGTTGAATGCAGTCATCACAGGAAACATTCTGAGAATGCTTCTGTCTAGGTTTGATGTGAAGATATACCCGTTTCGAAGGAAGGCCACAAAGTGGTCCAAATATCCACTTGCAGATTCTACAAAAAGAGTGTTTGAAAGCTGAACTATGAAAGCAAGGTTCAACTCTGTGAGTTGAATGCAAACATCACAAAGAAATTTCTCACAATGCTTCCGTGTAGTTCTGGGAAGTTTATCCCGTTTCCAACGAAATCCTCAGAGAAGTCCAAATATCCACTTGCAGATTCTACAGAAAGTGTGTTTGGAAACTGCTCCATCTAAAGGAATGTTCAGCTCTGTTAGTTCAATCCAATGATCACTAAGAATTGTCTGTGAATGCTTCCGTTTGGTTTTTAGATGAAGTTATTTCCTTTACTGCAGTAGGCCTCAAAGCAGTCCAAATCTCCAATCGCATATTCTACAAAAAGATTGTTTACAACCTGCTCTATGTATAGGAATGTTCAACTCTGTGAGTCGAATGCAATCATCACAAAGAAGTTTCTGAGAATGCTTCCATCTAGTTTTTATGTGAAGATTTTCCTTTTCCACCACAGGCCTCAAAGCCCTCCAAATGTCCACTTGCAGATTCTAGAAAAAGAGGGTTTCAGAGCTGCTCTGTCAAGAGGAAAGTTCAATTCTTGAAGTGGAACACAAACATCACATAGCATTTTCTGAGAATGCTTCTGTTTAGTTTTTCTGTGAAGATGAACCCGTTTCCAACGAAATCTTCACAGAGGTCCACATATCAACTTGCAGAATCCAAAGAAAGAGAGTTTCAAAAGTGCTCCATCAACAGGATTGTTCACCTCTGTGAGTTGAATGCAGTCATCACAGGAAACATTCTGAGAATGCTTCTGTCTAGGTTTGATGTGAAGATATACCCGTTTCGAAGGAAGGCCACAAAGTGGTCCAAATATCCACTTGCAGATTCTACAAAAAGAGTGTTTGAAAGCTGAACTATGAAAGCAAGGTTCAACTCTGTGAGTTGAATGCAAACATCACAAAGAAGTTTCTCAGAATGCTTCCGTGTAGTTCTGGGAAGTTTATCCCGTTTCCAACGAAATCCTCAGAGAGGTCCAAATATCGACTTGCAGATTCTACAGAAAGTGTGTTTGGAAACTGCTCCATCTAAAGGAATGTTCAGCTCTGTTAGTTCAATACAATGATCACTAAGAATTGTCTGTGAATGCTTCCGTTTGGATTTTAGATGAAGTTATTTCCTTTAGTACCGTAGGCCTCAATGCAGTCCAAATCAGCAATCACAGATTCTACAAAAAGAGTGTTTACAAACTGCTCTATCCATTGGAAGGTTCAAGTCTGTGAGTCTAATGCAATCATCCCAAAGTAGTTTCTGAGAATGCTTCTATCTAGGTTTTATGTGAAGATATTTCCTTTTCCACCACAGGCCTCAAAGCCCTCCAAATGTCCACTTGCAGATTCTAGAAAAAGAGGGTTTCAGAGCTGCTCTGTCAAGAGGAAAGTTCAATTCTTGAAGTGGAACACAAACATCACAAAGCAGTTTCTGAGAATGCTTCTGTTTAGTTTTTATGTGAAGATGAACCCGTTTCCAACGAAATCTTCAAAGAGGTCCACATATCCACTTGCAGATTCCAAAGAAAGAGAGTTTCAAAACTGCTCCATCAGCAGGATTGTTCACCTCTGTGCGTTGAATGCAGTCATCACAGGAAACATTCTGAGAATGCTTCTGTCTAGGTTTGATGTGAAGATATACCCGTTTCGAAGGAAGGCCACAAAGTGGTCCAAATATCCACTTGCAGATTCTACAAAAAGAGTGTTTGAAAGCTGAACTATGAAAGCAAGGTTCAACTCTGTGAGTTGAATGCAAACATCACAAAGAAGTTTCTCACAATGCTTCCGGGTAGTTCTGGGAAGTTTATCCCGTTTCCAACGAAATCCTCAGAGAAGTCCAAATATCCACTTGCAGATTCTACAGAAAGTGGGTTTGGAAACTGCTCCATCTAAAGGAATGTTCAGCTCTGTTAGTTCAATCCAATGATCACTAAGAATTGTCTGTGAATGCTTCCGTTTGGTTTTTAGATGAAGTAATTTCCTTTACTACAGAAGGCCTCAAAGCAGTCCAAATCTCCAATCGCAGATTCTACAAAAAGATTGTTTACAACCTGCTCTATCTATAGGAATGTTCAACTCTGTGAGTCGAATGCAATCATCACAAAGAAGTTTCTGAGAATGCTTCCATCTAGTTTTTATGTGAAGATTTTCCTTTTCCACCACAGGCCTCAAAGCCCTCCAAATGTCCACTTGCAGATTCTAGAAAAAGAGGGTTTCAGAGCTGCTCTGTCAAGAGGAAAGTTCAATTCTTGAAGTGGAACACAAACATCACAAAGCAGTTTCTGAGAATGCTTCTGTTTAGTTTTTCTGTGAAGATGAACCCGTTTCCAACGAAATCTTCACAGAGGTCCACATATCCACTTGCAGAATCCAAAGAAAGAGAGTTTCAAAACTGCTCCATCAGCAGGATTGTTCACCTCTGTGAGTTGAATGCAGTCATCACAGGAAACATTCTGAGAATGCTTCTGTCTAGGTTTGATGTGAAGATATACCCGTTTCCAAGGAAGGCCACAAAGTGGTCCAAATATCCACTTGCAGATTCTACAAAAGGAGTGTTTGAAAGCTGAACTATGAAAGCAAGGTTCAACTCTGTGAGTTGAATGCAAACATCACAAAGAAGTTTCTCACAATGCTTCCGT
The DNA here is from genome assembly GCF_000001405.40 of Homo sapiens. Classification (NCBI taxonomy): domain Eukaryota; kingdom Metazoa; phylum Chordata; class Mammalia; order Primates; family Hominidae; genus Homo; species Homo sapiens. The sequence goes on along the minus strand of NC_000011.10, from coordinate 52,752,301 downwards.
GTAGTTCTGGGAAGTTTATCCCGTTTCCAACGAAATCCTCAGAGAGGTCCAAATATCCACTTGCAGATTCTACAGAAAGTGTGTTTGGAAACTGCGCCATCTAAAGGAATGTTCAGCTCTGTTAGTTCAATCCAATGATCACTAAGAATTGTCTGTGAATGCTTCCGTTTGGTTTTTAGATGAAGTTATTTCCTTTACTACAGTAGGCCTCAAAGCAGTCCAAATCTCCAATCGCAGATTCTACAAAAAGATTGTTTACAACCTGCTCTATCTATAGGAATGTTCAACTCTGTGAGTCGAATGCAATCATCACAAAGTAGTTTCTGAGAATGCTTCCATCTAGTTTTTATATGAAGATTTTCCTTTTCCACCACAGGCCTCAAAGCCCTCCAAATGTCTACTTGCAGATTCTAGAATAAGAGGGTTTCAGAGCTGCTCTGTCAAGAGGAAGGTTCAATTCCTGAAGTGGAACACAAACATCACAAAGCAGTTTCTGAGAATGCTTCTGTTTAGTTTTTCTGTGAAGATGAACCCGTTTCCAACGAAATCTTCACAGAGGTCCACATATCCACTTGCAGAATCCAAAGAAAGAGAGATTCAAAACTGCTCCATCAACAGGATTGTTCACCTCTGTGAGTTGAATGCAGTCATCACATGAAACATTCTGAGAATGCTTCTGTCTAAGTTTGATGTGAAGATATACCCGTTTCGAAGGAAGGCCACAAAGTGGTCCAAATATCCACTTGCAGATTCTACAAAAAGAGTGTTTGAAAGCTGAACTATGAAAGCAAGGTTCAACTCTGTGAGTTGAATGCAAACATCACAAAGAAGTTTCTCAGAATGCTTCCGTGTAGTTCTGGGAATTTTATCCCGTTTCCAACGAAATCCTCAGAGAGGTCCAAATATCCACTTGCGGATTCTACAGAAAGTGTGTTTGGAAACTGCTCCATCTAAAGGAATGTTCAGCTCTGTTAGTTCAATGCAATGATCACTAAGAATTGTCTGTGAATGCTTCCGTTTGGTTTTTAGATGAAGTTATTTCCTTTACTACAGTATGCCTCAAAGCAGTCCAAATCTCCAATCGCAGATTCTACAAAAAGATTGTTTACAACCTGCTCTATCTATAGGAATGTTCAACTCTGTGAGTCGAATGCAATCATCACACAGTAGTTTCTGAGAATGCTTCCATCTAGTTTTTATGTGAAGATTTTCCTTTTCCACCACAGGCCTCAAACCCTCCAAATGTCCACTTGCAGATTCTAGAAAAAGAGGGTTTCAGAGCTGCTCTGTCAAGAGGAAAGTTCAATTCTTGAAGTGGAACACAAACATCACAAAGCAGTTTCTGAGAATGCTCCTGTTTAGTTTTTCTGTGAAGATGAACCCGTTTCCAACGAAATCTTCACAGAGGTCCACATATCCACTTGCAGAATCCAAAGAAAGAGAGTTTCAAAACTGCTCCATCAGCAGGATTGTTCACCTCTGTGAGTTGAATGCAGTCATCACAGGAAACATTCTGAGAATGCTTCTGTCTAGGTTTGATGTGAAGATATACCCGTTTCGAAGGAAGGCCTCAAAGTGGTCCAAATATCCACTTGCAGATTCTACAAAAAGAGTGTTTGAAAGCTGAACTATGAAAGCAAGGTTCAACTCTGTGAGTTGAATGCAAACATCACAAAGAAGTTTCTCACAATGCTTCCCTGTAGTTCTGGGAAGTTTATCCCGTTTCCAACGAAATCCTCAGAGAAGTCCAAATATCCACTTGCAGATTCTACAGAAAGTGTGTTTAGAAACTGCTCCATCTAAAGGAATGTTCAGTTCTGTTAGTTCAATCCAATGATCACTAAGAATTGTCTGTGAATGCTTCCGTTTGGTTTTTAGATGAAGTTATTTCCTTTACTACAGTAGGCCTCAAAGCAGTCCAAATCTCCAATCGCAGATTCTACAAAAAGATTGTTTACAACCTGCTCTATCTATAGGAATGTTCAACTCTGTGAGTCGAATGCAATCATCACAAAGTAGTTTCTGAGAATGCTTCCATCTAGTTTTTATGTGAAGATTTTCCTTTTCCACCACAGGCCTCAAAGCCCTCCAAATGTCCACTTGCAGATTCTAGAAAAAGAGGGTTTCAGAGCTGCTCTGTCAAGAGGAAAGTTCAATTCTTGAAGTGGAACACAAACATCACAAAGTAGTTTCTGAGAATGCTCCTGTTTAGTTTTTCTGTGAAGATGAACCCGTTTCCAACGAAATCTTCACAGAGGTCCACATATCCACTTGCAGAATCCAAAGAAAGAGAGTTTCAAAACTGCTCCATCAGCAGGATTGTTCACCTCTGTGAGTTGAATGCAGTCATCACAGGAAACATTCTGAGAATGCTTCTGTCTAGGTTTGATGTGAAGATATACCCGTTTCGAAGGAAGGCCACAAAGTGGTCCAAATATCCACTTGCAGATTCTACAAAAAGAGTGTTTGAAAGCTGAACTATGAAAGCAAGGTTCAACCCTGTGAGTTGAATGCAAACATCACAAAGAAGTTTCTCAGAATGCTTCTGTGTAGTTCTGGGAATTTATCCCTTTTCCAACGAAATCCTCAGAGAAGTCCCAATATCCACTTGCATATTCTACAGAAAGTGTGTTGGGAAACTGCGCCATCTAAAGGAATGTTCAGCTCTCTTAGTTCAATCCAATGATCACAAAGTATTGTCTGTGAATGCTTCCGCTTGGTTTTTAGATGAAGTTATTTCCTTTACTACAGTAGGCCTCAAAGAAGTCCAAATCTCCAATCGCAGATTCTACAGAAAGATTGTTTACAACCTGCTCTATCTATAGGAATGTTCAACTCTATGAGTCGAATGCAATCATCACAAAGTAGTTTCTGAGAATGCTTCCATCTAGTTTTTATGTGAAGATTTTCCTTTTCCACCACAGGCCTCAAAGCCCTCCAAATGTCCACTTGCAGATTCTAGAAAAAGAGGGTTTCAGAGCTGCTCTGTCAAGAGGAAAGTTCAATTCTTGAAGTGGAACACAAACATCACAAAGCAGTTTCTGAGAATGCTCCTGTTTAGTTTTCCTGTGAAGATGAACCCGTTTCCAACGAAATCTTCACAGAGGTCCACATATCCACTTGCAGAATCCAAAGAAAGAGAGTTTCAAAACTGCTCCATCCACAGGATTGTTCACCTCTGTGAGTTGAATGCAGTCATCACAGGAAACATTCTGAGAATGCTTCTGTTTAGGTTTCATGTGAAGATATACCCGTTTCGAAGGAAGGCCACAAAGTGGTCCAAATATCCACTTGCAGATTCTACAAAAAGAGTGTGTGAAAGCTGAACTATGAAAGCAAGGTTCAACTCTGTGAGTTGAATGCAAACATCACAAAGAAGTTTCTCACAATGCTTCCGTGTAGTTCTGGGAAGTTTATCCCGTTTCCAACGAAATCCTCAGAGAGGTCCAAATATCCACTTGCAGATTCTACAGAAAGTGTGTTTGGAAACTGCTCCATCTAAAGGAATGTTCAGCTCTGTTAGTTCAATCCAATGATCACTAAGAATTGTCAGTGAATGCTTCCGTTTGGTTTTTAGATGAAGTTATTTCCTTTACTACAGTAGGCCTCAAAGCAGTCCAAATCTCCAATCGCAGATTCTACAAAAAGATTGTTTACAACCTGGTCTATCTATAGGAATTTTCAACTCTGTGAGTCGAATGCAATCATCACAAAGTAGTTTCTGAGAATGCTTCCATCTAGTTTTTATGTGAAGATTTTCCTTTTCCACCACAGGCCTCAAAGCCCTCCAAATGTCCACTTGCAGATTCTAGAAAAAGAGGGTTTCAGAGCTGCTCTGTCAAGAGGAAAGTTCAATTCTTGAAGTGGAACACAAACATCACAAAGTAGTTTCTGAGAATGCTCCTGTTTAGTTTTTCTGTGAAGATGAACCCGTTTCCAACGAAATCTTCACAGAGGTCCACATATCCACTTGCAGAATCCAAAGAAAGAGAGTTTCAAAACTGCTCCATCAGCAGGATTGTTCACCTCTGTGAGTTGAATGCAGTCATCACAGGAAACATTCTGAGAATGCTTCTGTCTAGGTTTGATGTGAAGATATACCCGTTTCGAAGGAAGGCCACAAAGTGGTCCAAATATCCACTTGCAGATTCTACAAAAAGAGTGTTTGAAAGCTGAACTATGAAAGCAAGGTTCAACTCTGTGAGTCGAATGCAAACATCACAAAGAAGTTTCTCACAATGCTTCCGTGTAGTTCTGGGAAGTTTATCCCGTTTCCAACGAAATCCTCAGAGAAGTCCAAATATCCACTTGCAGATTCTACAGAAAGTGTGTTTGGAAACTGCTCCATCTAAAGGAATGTTCAGCTCTGTTAGTTCAATCCAATGATCACTAAGAATTGTCTGTGAATGCTTCCGTTTGGTTTTTAGATGAAGTTATTTCCTTTACTACAGTAGGCCTCAAAGCAGTCCAAATCTCCAATCGCAGATTCTACAAAAACATTGTTTACAACCTGCTCTATCTATAGGAATGTTCAACTCTGTGAGTCGAATGCAATCATCACAAAGTAGTTTCTGAGAATGCTTCCATCTAGTTTTTATGGGAAGATTTTCCTTTTCCACCACAGGCCTCAAAGCCCTCCAAATGTCCACTTGCAGATTCTAGAAAAAGAGGGTTTCAGAGCTGCTCTGTCAAGAGGAAAGTTCAATTCTTGAAGTGGAACACAAACATCACAAAGCAGTTTCTGAGAATGCTTCTGTTTAGTTTTTCTGTGAAAATGAACCCGTTTCCAACGAAATCTTCACAGAGGTCCACATATCCACTTGCAGAATCCAAAGAAAGAGAGATTCAAAACTGCTCCATCAACAGGATTGTTCACCTCTGTGAGTTGAATGCAGTCATCACAGGAAATATTCTGAGAATGCTTCTGTCTAGGTTTGATGTGAAGATATACCCGTTTCGAAGGAAGGCCACAAAGTGGTCCAAATATCCACTTGCAGATTCTACAAAAAGAGTGTTTGAAAGCTGAACTATGAAAGCAAGGTTCAACTCTGTGAGTTGAATGCAAACATCACAAAGAAGTTTCTCACAATGCTTCCGTGTAGTTCTGGGAAGTTTATCCCGTTTCCAACGAAATCCTCAGAGAAGTCCAAATATCCACTTGCAGATTCTACAGAAAGTGTGTTTGGAAACTGCGCCATCTAAAGGAATGTTCAGCTCTGTTAGTTCAATGCAATGATCACTAAGAATTGTCTGTGAATGCTTCCGTTTGGTTTTTAGATGAAGTTATTTCCTTTACTACAGTAGGCCTCAAAGCAGTCTAAATCTCCAATCGCAGATTCTACAAAAAGATTGTTTACAACCTGCTCTATCTATAGGAATGTTCAACTGCTGTGAGTCGAATGCAATCATCACAAAGGAGTTTCTGAGAATGCTTCCATCTAGTTTTTATGTGAAGATTTTCCTTTTCCACCACAGGCCTCAAAGCCCTCCAAATGTCCACTTGCAGATTCTAGAAAAAGAGGGTTTCAGATCTGCTCTTTCAAGAGAAAAGTTCAATTCCTGAAGTGGAACACAAACATCACAAAGCAGTTTCTGAGAATGCTCCTGTTTAGTTTTTCTGTGAAGATGAACCCGTTTCCAACGAAATCTACACAGAGGTCCACATATCCACTTGCACAATCCAAAGAAAGAGAGTTTCAAAACTGCTCCATCAGCAGGATTGTTCACCTCTGTGAGTTGAATGCAGTCATCACAGGAAACATTCTGAGAATGCTTCTGTCTAGGTTTGATGTGAAGATATACCCGTTTCGAAGGAAGGCCACAAAGTGGTCCAAATATCCACTTGCAGATTCTACAAAAAGAGTGTTTGAAAGCTGAACTATGAAAGCAAGGTTCAACTCTGTGAGTTGAATGCAAACATCACAAAGAAGTTTCTCACAATGCTTCCGTGTAGTTCTGGGAAGTTTATCCCGTTTCCAACGAAATCCTCAGAGAAGTCCAAATATCCACTTGCAGATTCTACAGAAAGTGTGTTTGGAAACTGCGCCATCTAAAGGAATGTTCAGCTCTGTTAGTTCAATGCAATGATCACTAAGAATTGTCTGTGAATGCTTCCGTTTGATTTTTAGATGAAGTTATTTCCTTTACTACAGTAGGCCTCAAAGCAGTCCAAATCTCCAATCGCAGATTCTACAAAAAGATTGTTTACAACCTGCTCTATCTATAGGAATGTTCAACTCTGTGAGTCGAATGCAATCATCACAAAGTAGTTTCTGAGAATGCTTCCATCTAGTTTTTATGTGAAGATTTTCCTTTTCCACCACAGGCCTCAAAGCCCTCCAAATGTCCACTTGCAGATTCTAGAAAAAGAGGGTTTCAGAGCTGCTCTGTCAAGAGGAAAGTTCAATTCTTGAAGTGGAACACAAACATCACAAAGCAGTTTCTGAGAATGCTTCTGTTTAGTTTTTCTGTGAAGATGAACCCGTTTCCAACGAAATCTTCACATAGGTCCACATATCAACTTGCAGAATCCAAAGAAAGAGAGTTTCAAAACTGCTCCATCAACAGGATTGTTCACCTCTGTGAGTTGAATGCAGTCATCACAGGAAACATTCTGAGAATGCTTCTGTCTAGGTTTGATGTGAAGATGTACCCGTTTCAAAGGAAGGCCACAAAGTGGTCCAAATATCCACTTGCAGATTCTACAAAAAGAGTGTTTGAAAGCTGAACTATGAAAGCAAGGTTCAACTCTGTGAGTTGAATGCAAACATCAGAAATATGATTCTCACAATGCTTCCGTGTAGTTCTGGGAAGTTTATCCCGTTTCCAACGAAATCCTCAGAGAGGTCCAAATATCCAGTTGCAGATTCTACAGAAAGTGTGTTTGGAAACTGCTCCATCTAAAGGAATGTTCAGCTCTGTTAGTTCAATCCAATGATCACTAAGAATTGTCTGTGAATGCTTCCGTTTGGTTTTTAGATGAAGTTATTTCCTTTACTACAGTAGGCCTCAAAGCAGTCCAAATCTCCAATCGCAGATTCTACAAAAAGATTGTTTACAACCTGCTCTATCTATAGGAATGTTCAACTCTGTGAGTCGAATGCAATCATCACAAAGTAGTTTCTGAGAATGCTTCCATCTAGTTTGTATGGGAAGATTTTCCTTTTCCACCACAGGCCTCAAAGCCCTCCAAATGTCCACTTGCAGATTCTAGAATAAGAGGGTTTCAGAGCTGCTCTGTCAAGAGGAAAGTTCAGTTCCTGAAGTGGAACGCAAACATCACAAAGCAGTTTCTGAGAATACTTCTGTTTAGTTTTTCTGTGAAGATGAACCCGTTTCCAACGAAATCTTCACAGAGGTCCACATATCAACTTGCAGAATCCAAAGAAAGAGAGTTTCAAAACTGCTCCATAAACAGGATTGTTCACCTCTGTGAGTTGAATGCAGTCATCACAGGAAACATTCTGAGAATGCTTCTGTCTAGGTTTGATGTGAAGATATACCCGTTTCGAAGGAAGGCCACAAAGTGGTCCAAATATCCACTTGCAGATTCTACAAAAAGAGTGTTTGAAAGCTGAACTATGAAAGCAAGGTTCAACTCTGTGAGTTGAATGCAACCATCACAAAGAAGTTTCTCAGAATGCTTCTGTGTAGTTCTGGGAATTTATCCCGTTTCCAACGAAATCCTCAGAGAGGTCCAAATATCCACTTGCATATTCTACAGAAAGTGTGTTTGGAAACTGCGCCATCTAAAGGAATGCTCAGCTCTCTTAGTTCAATCCAATGATCACAAAGTATTGTCTGTGAATGCTTCCGTTTGGTTTTTAGATGAAGTTATTTCCTTTACTACAGTAGGCCTCAAAGCAGTCCAAATCTCCAATCGCAGATTCTACAAAAAGATTGTTTACAACCTGCTCTATCTATAGGAATATTCAACTCTGTGAGTCGAATGCAATCATCACAAAGTAGTTTCTGAGAATGCTTCCATCTAGTTTTTATGTGAAGATTTTCCTTTTCCACCACAGGCCTCAAAGCCCTCCAAATGTCCACTTGCAGATTCTAGAAAAAGAGGGTTTCAGAGCTGCTCTGTCAAGAGGAAAGTTCAATTCTTGAAGTGGAACACAAACATCACAAAGTAGTTTCTGAGAATGCTTCTGTTTAGTTTTTCTGTGAAGATGAACCCGTTTCCAACGAAATCTTCACAGAGGTCCACATATCCACTTGCAGAATCCAAAGAAAGAGAGTTTCAAAACTGCTCCATCAGCAGGATTGTTCACCTCTGTGAGTTGAATGCAGTCATCACAGGAAACATTCTGAGAATGCTTCTGTCTAGGTTTGATGTGAAGATATACCCGTTTCGAAGGAAGGCCACAAAGTGGTCCAAATATCCACTTGCAGATTCTACAAAAAGAGTGTTTGAAAGCTGAACTATGAAAGCAAGGTTCAACTCTGTGAGTTGAATGCAAACATCACAAAGAAGTTTCCTCAGAATGCTCCCTGTAGTTCTGGGAAGTTTATCCCGTTTCCAACGAAATCCTCAGAGAAGTCCAAATATCCACTTGCAGATTCTACAGAAAGTGGGTTTGCAAACTGCTCCATCTAAAGGAATGTTCAGCTCTGTTAGTTCAATCCAATGATCACTAAGAATTGTCTGTGAATGCTTCCGTTTGGTTTTTAGATGAAGTTATTTCCTTTACTACAGTAGGCCTCAAAGCAGTCCAAATCTCCAATCGCAGATTCTACAAAAAGATTGTTTACAACCTGCTCTATCTATAGGAATGTTCAACTCTGTGAGTCGAATGCAATCATCACAAAGTAGTTTCTGAGAATGCTTCCATCTAGTTTTTATGTGAAGATTTTCCTTTTCCACCACAGGCCTCAAAGCCCTCCAAATGTCCACTTGCAGATTCTAGAATAAGAGGGTTTTAGAGCTGCTCTGTCAAGAGGAAAGTTCAATTCCTGAAGTGGAACACAAACATCACAAAGCAGTTTCTGAGAATGCTTCTGTTTAGTTTTTCTGTGAAGATGAACCCGTTTCCAACGAAATCTTCACAGAGGTCCACATATCCACTTGCAGAATCCAAAGAAAGAGAGTTTCAAAACTGCTCCATCAGCAGGATTGTTCACCTCTGTGAGTTGAATGCAGTCATCACAGGAAACATTCTGAGAATGCTTCTGTCTAGGTTTGATGTGAAGATATACCCGTTTCGAAGGAAGACCACAAAGTGGTCCAAATATCCACTTGCAGATTCTACAAAAAGAGTGTTTGAAAGCTGAACTATGAAAGCAAGGTTCAACTCTGTGAGTTGAATGAAAACATCACAAAGAAGTTTCTCACAATGCTTCCGTGTAGTTCTGGGAAGTTTATCCCGTTTCCAACGAAATCCTCAGAGAAGTCCAAATATCCACTTGCAGATTCTACAGAAAGTGTGTTTGGAAACTGCGCCATCTAAAGGAATGTTCAGCTCTGTTAGTTCAATGCAATGATCACTAAGAATTGTCTGTGAATGCTTCCGTTTGGTTTTTAGATGAAGTTATTTCCTTTACTACAGTAGGCCTCAAAGTAGTCCAAATCTCCAATCGCAGATTCTACAAAAAGATTGTTTACAACCTGCTCTATCTATAGGAATGTTCAACTCTGTGAGTCGAATGCAATCATCACAAAGTAGTTTCTGAGAATGCTTCCATCTAGTTTTTATGTGAAGATTTTCCTTTTCCACCACAGGCCTCAAAGCCCTCCAAATGTCCACTTGCAGATTCTAGAAAAAGAGGGTTTCAGAGCTGCTCTGTCAAGAGGAAAGTTCAATTCTTGAAGTGGAACACAAACATCACAAAGCAGTTTCTGAGAATGCTTCTGTTTAATTTTTCTGTGAAGATGAACCCGTTTCCAACGAAATCTTCACAGAGGTCCACATATCCACTTGCAGAATCCAAAGAAAGAGAGTTTCAAAACTGCTCCATCAGCAGGATTGTTCACCTCTGTGAGTTGAATGCAGTCATCACAGGAAACATTCTGAGAATGCTTCTGTCTAGGTTTGATGTGAAGATATACCCGTTTCGAAGCAAGCCCAGAAAGTGGTCCAAATATCCACTTGCAGATTCTACAAAAAGAGTGTTTGAAAGCTGAACTATGAAAGCAAGGTTCAACTCTCTGAGTTGAATGCAAACATCACAAAGAAGTTTCTCAGAATGCTGCTTCCCTGTAGTTCTGGGAAGTTTATCCCGTTTCCAACGAAATCCTCAGAGAAGTCCAAATATCCACTTGCAGATTCTACAGAAAGTGTGTTTGGAAACTGCTCCATCTAAAGGAATGTTCAGCTCTGTTAGTTCAATCCAATGATCACTAAGAATTGTCTGTGAATGCTTCCGTTTGGTTTTTAGATGAAGTTATTTCCTTTACTACAGTAGGCCTCAAAGCAGTCCAAATCTCCAATCGCAGATTCTACAAAAAGATTGTTTACAACCTGCTCTACCTATAGGAATGTTCAACTCTGTGAGTCGAATGCAATCATCACAAAGTAGTTTCTGAGAATGCTTCCATCTAGTTTTTATGTGAAGATTTTCCTTTTCCACCACAGGCCTCAAAGCCCTACAAATGTCCACTTGCAGATTCTAGAAAAAGAGGGTTTCAGAGCTGCTCTGTCAAGAGGAAAGTTCAATTCTTGAAGTGGAACACAAACATCACAAAGTAGTTTCTGAGAATGCTTCTGTTTAGTTTTTCTGTGAAGATGAACCCGTTTCCAACGAAATCTTCACAGAGGTCCACATATCCACTTGCAGAATCCAAAGAAAGAGAGTTTCAAAACTGCTCCATCAGCAGGATTGTTCACCTCTGTGAGTTGAATGCAGTCATCACAGGAAACATTCTGAGAATGCTTCTGTCTAGGTTTGATGTGAAGATATACCCGTTTCGAAGGAAGGCCACAAAGTGGTCCAAATATCCACTTGCAGATTCTACAAAAAGAGTGTTTGAAAGCTGAACTATGAAAGCAAGGTTCAACTCTGTGAGTTGAATGCAAACATCACAAAGAAGTTTCTCAGAATGCTTCCGTGTAGATCTGGGAAGTTTATCCCGTTTCCAACGAAATCCTCAGAGAGGTCCAAATATCCACTTGCAGATTCTACAGAAAGTGTGTTTGGAAACTGCGCCATCTAAAGGAATGTTCAGCTCTGTTAGTTCAATGCAATGATCACTAAGAATTGTCTGTGAATGCTTCCGTTTGGTTTTTAGATGAAGTTATTTCCTTTACTACAGTAGGCCTCAAAGCAGTCCAAATCTCCAATCGCAGATTCTACAAAAAGATTGTTTACAACCTGCTCTATCTATAGGAATGTTCAACTCTGTGAGTCGAATGCAATCATCACAAAGTAGTTTCTGAGAATGCTTCCATAAAGTTTTTATGTGAAGATTTTCCTTTTCCACCACAGGCCTCAAAGCCCTCCAAATGTCCACTTGCAGATTCTAGAAAAAGAGGGTTTCAGAGCTGCTCTGTCAAGAGGAAAGTTCAACTCTTGAAGTGGAACACAAACATGATAATGCAGTTTCTGAGAATGCTTCTGTTTAGTTTTTCTGTGAAGATGAACCCGTTTCCAACGAAATCTTCACATAGGTCCACATATCAACTTGCAGAATCCAAAGAAAGAGAGTTTCAAAACTGCTCCATCAACAGGATTGTTCACCTCTGTGAGTTGAATGCAGTCATCACAGGAAACATTCTGAGAATGCTTCTGTCTAGGTTTGATGTGAAGATATACCCGTTTCGAAGGAAGGCTACAAAGTGGTCCAAATATCCACTTGCAGATTCTACAAAAAGAGTGTTTGAAAGCTGAACTATGAAAGCAAGGTTCAACTCTGTGAGTTGAATGCAAACATCACAAAGAAGTTTCTCACAATGCTTCCGTGTAGTTCTGGGAAGTTTATCCCTTTTCCAAAGAAATCCTCAGAGAGGTCCAAATATCCACTTGCAGATTCTACAGAAAGTGTGTTTGGAAACTGCGCCATCTAAAGGAATGTTCAGCTCTCTTAGTTCAATCCAATGATCACAAAGAATTGTCTGTGAATGCTTCCGTTTGGTTTTTAGATGAAGTTATTTCCTTTAGCACCGTAGGCCTCAATGCAGTCCAAATCAGCAATCACAGATTCTACAAAAAGAGTGTTTAAAACTGCTCTCTCCATTGGAAGGTTCAACTCTGTGAGTCGAATGCAATCATCACAAAGTAGATTCTCAGAATGCTTCCATCTAGTTTTTATGTGAAGATTTTCCTTTTCCACCACAGGCCTCAAAGCCCTCCAAATGTCCACTTGCAGATTCTAGAAAAAGAGGGTTTCAGAGCTGCTCTGTCAAGAGGAAAGTTCAATTCTTGAAGTGGAACACAAACATCACAAAGCAGTTTCTGAGAATGCTTCTGTTTAGTTTTTCTGTGAAGATGAACCCGTTTCCAACGAAATCTTCACAGAGGTCCACATATCCACTTGCAGAATCCAAAGAAAGAGAGTTTCAAAACTGCTCCATCAGCAGGATTGTTCACCTCTGTGAGTTGAATGCAGTCATCACAGGAAACATTCTGAGAATGCTTCTGTCTAGGTTTGATGTGAAGATATACCCGTTTCGAAGGAAGGCCACAAAGTGGTCCAAATATCCACTTGCAGATTCTACAAAAAGAGTGTTTGAAAGCTGAACTATGAAAGCAAGGTTCAACTCTGTGAGTTGAATGTAAACATCCAAAGAAGTTTCTCAGAATGCTTCCGTGTAGTTCTGGGAAGTTTATCCCGTTTCCAACGAAATCCTCAGAGAGGTCCAAATATCCACTTGCAGATTCTACAGAAAGTGTGTTTGGAAACTGTTCCATCTACAGGAATGTTCAGCTCTGTTAGTTCAATCCAATGATCACTAAGAATTGTCTGTGAATGCTGCCGTTTGGTTTTTAGATGAAGTTATTTCCGTTACTACAGTAGGCCTCAAAGCAGTCCAAATCTCCAATCGCATATTCTACAAAAAGATTGTTTACAACCTGCTCTATCTATAGGAATGTTCTACTCTGTGAGTCGAATGCAATCATCACAAAGTAGTTTCTGAGAATGCTTCCATCTAGTTTTTATGTGAAGATTTTCCTTTTCCACCACAGTCCTCAAAGCCCTCCAAATGTCCACTTACAGATTCTAGAAAAAGAGGGTTTCAGAGCTGCTCTGTCAAGAGCAAAGTTCAATTCTTGAAGTGGAACACAAACATCACAAAGCAGTTTCTGAGAATGCTTCTGTTTAGTTTTTCTGTGAAGATGAACCCGTTTCCAACGAAATCTTCACAGAGGTCCACATATCCACTTGCAGAATCCAAAGAAAGAGAGTTTCAAAACTGCTCCATCAGCAGGATTGTTCACCTCTGTGAGTTGAATGCAGTCATCACAGGAAACATTCTGAGAATGCTTCTGTCTAGGTTTGATGTGAAGATATACCCGTTTCGAAGGAAGGCCACAAAGTGGTCCAAATATCCACTTGCAGATTCTACAAAAAGAGTGTTTGAAAGCTGAACTATGAAAGCAAGGTTCAACTCTGTGAGTTGAATGCAAACATCACAAAGAAGTTTCTCAGAATGCTTCCGTGTAGTTCTGGGAAGTTTATCCCGTTTCCAACGAAATCCTCAGAGAGGTCCAAATATCCACTTGCAGATTCTACAGAAAGTGGGTTTGGAAACTGCGCCATCTAAAGCAATGTTCAGCTCTGTTAGTTCAATGCAATGATCACTAAGAATTGTCTGTGAATGCTTCCGTTTGGTTTTTAGATGAAGTTATTTCCTTTACTACAGTAGGCCTCAAAGCAGTCCAAATCTCCAATCGCAGATTCTACAAAAGATTGTTTACAACCTGCTCTATCTATAGGAATGTTCAACTCTGTGAGTCGAATGCAATCATCACAAAGTAGTTTCTGAGAATGCTTCCATCAATTTTTTATGTGAAGATTTTCCTTTTCCACCACAGGCCTCAAAGCCCTCCAAATGTCCACTTGCAGATTCTAGAAAAAGAGGGTTTCAGAGCTGCTCTGTCAAGAGGAAAGTTCAATTCTTGAAGTGGAACACAAACATCACAAAGCAGTTTCTGAGAATGCTCCTGTTTAGTTTTTCTGTGAAGATGAACCCGTTTCCAACGAAATCTTCACAGAGTTCCACATATCCACTTGCAGAATCCAAAGAAAGGGAGTTTCAAAACTGCTCCATCAACAGGATTGTTCACCTCTGTGAGTTGAATGCAGTTATCACAGGAAACATTCTGAGAATGCTTCTGTCTAGGTTTGATGTGAAGATACACCCGTTTTGAAGGAAGGCCACAAAGTGGTCCAAATATCCACTTGCAGATTCTACAAAAAGAGTGTTTGAAAGGTGAACTATGAAAGCAAGGTTCAACTCTGTGAATTGAATGCAAACATCACAAAGAAGTTTCTCAGAATGCTTCCGTGTAGTTCTGGGAAGTTTATCCCGTTTCCAACGAAATCCTCAGAGAGGTCCAAATATCCACTTGCAGATTCTACAGAAAGTGTGTTTGGAAACTGCGCCATCTAAAGGAATGTTCAGCTCTGTTAGTTCAATGCAATGATCACTAAGAATTGTCTGTGAATGCTTCCGTTTGGTTTTTAGATGAAGTTATTTCCTTTACTACAGTAGGCCTCAAAGCAGTCCAAATCTCCAATCGCAGATTCTACAAAAAGATTGTTTACAACCTGCTCTATCTATAGGAATGTTCAACTCTGTGAGTCGAATGCAATCATCACAAAGTAGTTTCTGAGAATGCTTCCATCTAGTTTTTATGTGAAGATTTTCATTTTCCACCACAGGCCTCAAAGCCCTCCAAATGTCCACTTGCAGATTCTAGAAAAAGAGGGTTTCAGAGCTGCTCTGTCAAGAGGAAAGTTCAACTCTTGAAGTGGAACACAAACATGATAATGCAGTTTCTGAGAATGCTCCTGTTTAGTTTTTCTGTGAAGATGAACCCGTTTCCAACGAAATCTTCACAGAGGTCCACATATCCACTTGCAGAATCCAAAGAAAGAGAGTTTCAAAACTGCTCCATCAGCAGGATTGTTCACCTCTGTGAGTTGAATGCAGTCATCACAGGAAACATTCTGAGAATGCTTCTGTCAAGGTTTGATGTGAAGATATACCCGTTTCGAAGGAAGGCCACAAAGTGGTCCATATATCCACTTGCAGATTCTACAAAAAGAGTGTTTGAAAGCTGAACTATGAAAGCAAGGTTCAACTCTGTGAGTTGAATGCAAACATCACAAAGAAGTTTCTCCCAATGCTTCCGTGTAGTTCTGGGAAGTTTATCCCGTTTCCAACGAAATCCTCAGAGAAGTCCAAATATCCACTTGCAGATTCTACAGAAAGTGTGTTTGGAAACTGCTCCATCTAAAGGAATGTTCAGCTCTCTTAGTTCAATCCAATGATCACTAAGAATTGTCTGTGAATGCTTCCGTTTGGTTTTTAGATGAAGTTATTTCCTTTACTACAGTAGGCCTCAAAGCAGTCCAAATCTCCAATCGCAGATTCTACAAACAGACTGTTTACAACCTGCTCTATCTATAGGAATGTTCAACTCTGTGAGTCGAATGCAATCATCACAAAGTAGTTTCTGAGAATGCTTCCATCTAGTTTTTATATGAAGAGTTTCCTTTTCCACCACAGGCCTCAAAGCCCTCCAAATGTCCACTTGCAGATTCTAGAAAAAGAGGGTTTCAGAGCTGCTCTGTCAAGAGGAAAGTTCAATTCTTGAAGTGGAACACAAACATCGCAAAGCAGTTTCTGAGAATGCTCCTGTTTAGTTTTTCTGTGAAGATGAGCCCGTTTCCAACGAAATCTTCACAGAGGTCCACATATCCACTTGCAGAATCCAAAGAAAGAGAGTTTCAAAACTGCTCCATCAGCAGGATTGTTCACCTCTGTGAGTTGAATGCAGTCATCACAGGAAACATTCTGAGAATGCTTCTGTCTAGGTTTGATGTGAAGATATACCCGTTTCGAAGGAAGGCCACAAAGTGGTCCAAATATCCACTTGCAGATTCTACAAAAAGAGTGTTTGAAAGCTGAACTATGAAAGCAAGGTTCAACTCTGTGAGTTGAATGCAAACATCACAAAGAAGTTTCTCAGAATGCTTCCGTGTAGTTCTGGGAAGTTTATCCCGTTTCCAACGAAATCCTCAGAGAAGTCCAAATATCCACTTGCAGATTCTACAGAAAGTGGGTTTGGAAACTGCTCCATCTAAAGGAATGTTCAGCTCTGTTAGTTCAATCCAATGATCACTAAGAATTGTCTGTGAATGCTTCCGTTTGGTTTTTAGATGAAGTTATTTCCTTTACTACAGTAGGCCTCAAAGCAGTCCAAATCTCCAATCGCAGATTCTACAAAAAGATTGTTTACAACCTGCTCTATCTATAGGAATGTTCAACTCTGTGAGTCGAATGCAATCATCACAAAGTAGTTTCTGAGAATGCTTCCATCTAGTTTTTATGTGAAGATTTTCCTTTTCCACCACAGGCCTCAAAGCCCTCCAAATGTCCACTTGCAGTTTCTAGAATAAGAGGGTTTCAGAGCTGCTCTGTCAAGAGGAAAGTACAATTCCTGAAGTGGAACACAAACATCACAAAGCAGTTTCTGATAATGCTTCTGTTTAGTTTTTCTGTGAAGATGAACCCGTTTCCAACGAAATCTTCACAGAGGTCCACATATCAACTTGCAGAATCCAAAGAAAGAGAGTTTCAAAAGTGCTCCATCAACAGGATTGTTCACCTCTGTGAGTTGAATGCAGTCATCACAGGAAACATTCTGAGAATGCTTCTGTCTAGGTTTGATGTGAAGATGTACCCGTTTCAAAGGAAGGCCACAAAGTGGTCCATATATCCACTTGCAGATTCCACAAAAAGAGTGTTTGAAAGCTGAACTATGAAAGCAAGGTTCAACTCTGTGAGTTGAATGCAAACATCACAAAGAAGTTTCTCAGAATGCTTCCGTGTAGTTCTGGGAAGTTTATCCCTTTTCCAACGAAATCCTCAGAGAGGTCCAAATATCCACTTGCAGATTCTACAGAAAGTGTGTTTGGAAACTACGCCATCTAAAGGAATGTTCAGCTCTGTTAGATCAATGCAATGATCACTAAGAATTGTCTGTGAATGCTTCCGTTTGATTTTTAGATGAAGTTATTTCCTTTACTACAGTAGGCCTCAAAGCAGTCCAAATCTCCAATCGCAGATTCTACAAAAAGATTGTTTACAACCTGCTCTATCTATAGGAATGTTCAACTCTGTGAGTCGAATGCAATCATCACAAAGTAGTTTCTGAGAATGCTTCCATCTAGTTTTTATGTGAAGATTTTCCTTTTCCACCACAGGCCTCAAAGCCCTCCAAATGTCCACTTGCAGATTCTAGAATAAGAGGGTTTCAGAGCTGCTCTGTCAAGAGGAAAGTTCAATTCCTGAAGTGGAACACAAACATCACAAAGCAGTTTCTGAGAATGCTTCTGTTTAGTTTTTCTGTGAAGATGAACCCGTTTCCAACGAAATCTTCACAGAGGTCCACATATCCACTTGCAGAATCCAAAGAAAGAGAGTTTCAAAACTGCTCCATCAGCGGGATTGTTCACCTCTGTGAGTTGAATGCAGTCATCACAGGAAACATTCTGAGAATGCTTCTGTCTAGGTTTGATGTGAAGATATACCCGTTTCGAAGGAAGGCCACAAAGTGGTCCAAATATCCACTTGCAGATTCTACAAAAAGAGTGTTTGAAAGCTGAACTATGAAAGCAAGGTTCAACTCTGTGAGTTGAATGCAAACATCACAAAGAAGTTTCTCAGAATGCTTCCCTGTAGTTCTGGGAAGTTTATCCCGTTTCCAACGAAATCCTCAGAGAAGTCCAAATATCCACTTGCAGATTCTACAGAAAGTGTGTTTGGAAACTGCTCCATCTAAAGGAATGTTCAGCTCTGTTAGTTCAATCCAATGATCACTAAGAATTGTCTGTGAATGCTTCCGTTTGGTTTTTAGATGAAGTTATTTCCTTTACTACAGTATGCCTCAAAGCAGTCCAAATCTCCAATCGCAGATTCTACAAAAAGATTGTTTACAACCTGCTCTATCTATAGGAATGTTCAACTCTGTGAGTCGAATGCAATCATCACAAAGTAGTTTCTGAGAATGCTTCCATCTAGTTTTTATGTGAAGATTTTCCTTTTCCACCACAGGCCTCAAAGCCCTCCAAATGTCCACTTGCAGATTCTAGAAAAAGAGGGTTTCAGAGCTGCTCTGTCAAGAGGAAAGTTCAATTCTTGAAGTGGAACACAAACATCACAAAGCAGTTTCTGAGAATGCTTCTGTTTAGTTTTTCTGTGAAGATGAACCCGTTTCCAACGAAATCTTCACAGAGGTCCACATATCCACTTGCAGAATCCAAAGAAAGAGAGTTTCAAAACTGCTCCATCAGCAGGATTGTTCACCTCTGTGAGTTGAATGCAGTCATCACAGGAAACATTCTGAGAATGCTTCTGTCTAGGTTTGATGTGAAGATATACCCGTTTCGAAGGAAGGCCACAAAGTGGTCCAAATATCCACTTGCAGATTCTACAAAAAGAGTGTTTGAAAGCTGAACTATGAAAGCAAGTTTCAACTCTGTGAGTTGAATGCAAACATCACAAAGAAGTTTCTCAGAATGCTTCCGTGTAGTTCTGGGAAGTTTATCCCGTTTCCAACGAAATCTTCCGAGAGGTCCAAATATCCACTTGCAGATTCTACAGAAAGTGTGTTTGGAAACTGCGCCATCTAAAGGAATGTTCAGCTCTCTGAGTTCAAACCAACCATCACAAAGAATTGTCTGTGAATGCTTCCGTTTGGTTTTTAGATGAAGTTATTTCCTTTACTACAGTAGGCCTCAAAGCAGTCCAAATCTCCAATCGCAGATTCTACAAAAAGATTGTTTACAACCTGCTCTATCTATAGGAATGTTCAACTATGTGAGTCGAATGCAATCATCACAAAGTAGTTTCTGAGAATGCTTCCATCTAGTTTTTATGTGAAGATTTTCCTTTTCCACCACAGGCCTCAAAGCCCTCCAAATGTCCACTTGCAGATTCTAGAAAAAGAGGGTTTCAGAGCTGCTCTGTCAAGAGGAAAGTTCAATTCTTGAAGTGGAACACAAACATCACAAAGCAGTTTCTGAGAATGCTTCTGTTTAGTTTTTCTGTGAAGATGAACCCGTTTCCAACGAAATCTTCACAGAGGTCCACATATCCACATGCAGAATCCAAAGAAAGAGAGTTTCAAAACTGCTCCATCAGCAGGATTGTTCACCTCTGTGAGTTGAATGCAGTCATCACAGGAAACATTCTGAGAATGCTTCTGTCAATGTTTGATGTGAAGATATACCCGTTTCGAAGGAAGGCCACAAAGTGGTCCAAATATCCACTTGCAGATTCTACAAAAAGAGTGTTTGAAAGCTGAACTATGAAAGCAAGGTTCAACTCTGTGAGTTGAATGCAAACATCACAAAGAAGTTTCTCAGAATGCTCCGTGTAGTTCTGGGAAGTTTATCCCGTTTCCAACGAAATCCTCAGAGAAGTCCAAATATCCACTTGCAGATTCTACAGAAAGTGGGTTTGGAAACTGCTCCATCTAAAGGAATGTTCAGCTCTGTTAGTTCAATCCAATGATCACTAAGAATTGTCTGTGAATGCTTCCGTTTGGTTTTTAGATGAAGTTATTTCCTTTACTACAGTAGGCCTCAAAGCAGTCCAAATCTCCAATCGCAGATTCTACAAAAAGATTGTTTACAACCTGCTCTATCTATAGGAATGTTCAACTCTGTGAGTCGAATGCAATCATCACAAAGTAGTTTCTGAGAATGCTTCCATCTAGTTTTTATGTGAAGATTTTCCTTTTCCACCACAGGCCTCAAAGCCCTCCAAATGTCCACTTGCAGATTCTAGAAAAAGAGGGTTTCAGAACTGCTCTGTCAAGAGGAAAGTTCAATTCTTGAAGTGGAACACAAACATCACAAAGCAGTTTCTGAGAATGCTCCTGTTTAGTTTTTCTTTGAAGATGAACCCGTTTCCAACGAAATCTTCACAGAGGTCCACATATCCACTTGCAGAATCCAAAGAAAGAGAGTTTCAAAACTGCTCCATCAGCAGGATTGTTCACCTCTGTGAGTTGAATGCAGTCATCACAGGAAACATTCTGAGAATGCTTCTGTCTAGGTTTGATGTGAAGATATACCCGTTTCGAAGGAAGGCCACAAAGTGGTCCAAATATCCACTTGCAGATTCTACAAAAAGAGTGTTTGAAAGCTGAACAATGAAAGCAAGTTTCAACACTGTGAGTTGAATGCAAACATCACAAAGAAGTTTCTCAGAATGCTTCCCTGTAGTTCTGGGAAGTTTATCCCGTTTCCAACGAAATCCTCAGAGAAGTCCAAATATCCACTTGCAGATTCTACAGAAAGTGGGTTTGGAAACTGCGCCATCTAAAGTAATGTTCAGCTCTGTTAGTTCAATCCAATGATCACTAAGAATTGTCTGTGAATGCCTCCGTTTGGTTTTTAGATGAAGTTATTTCCTTTACTACAGTAGGCCTCAAAGCAGTCCAAATCTCCAATCGCAGATTCTACAAAAAGATTGTTTACAACCTGCTCTATCTATAGGAATGTTCAACTCTGTGAGTCGTTGCAATCATCACAAAGTAGTTTCTGAGAATGCTTCCATCTAGTTTTTATGTGAAGATTTTCCTTTTCCACCACAGGCCTCAAAGCCCTCCAAATGTCCACTTGCAGATTCTAGAATAAGAGGATTTCAGAGCTGCTCTGTCAAGAGGAAAGTTCAATTCCTGAAGTGGAACACAAACATCACAAAGCAGTTTCTGAGAATGCTTCTGTTTAGTTTTTCTGTGAAGATTAACACGTTTCCAACGAAATCTTCACAGAGGTCCAGATATCCACTTGCAGAATCCAAAGAAAGAGAGTTTCAAAACTGCTCCATCAGCAGGATTGTTCACCTCTGTGAGTTGAATGCAGTCATCATAGGAAACATTCTGAGAATGCTTCTGTCTAGGTTTGATGTGAAGATATACCCGTTTCGAAGGAAGGCCACAAAGTGGTCCAAATATCCACTTGCAGATTCTACAAAAAGAGTGTTTGAAAGCTGAACTATGAAAGCAAGGTTCAACTCTGTGAGTTGAATGCAAACATCACAAAGAAGTTTCTCAGAATGCTTCCGTGTAGTTCTGGGAATTTTATCCCGTTTCCAACGAAATCCTTAGAAAGGTCCAAATATCCACTTGCAGATTCTACAGAAAGTGTGTTTGGAAACTGCGCCATCTAAAGGAATGTTCAGCTCTGTTAGTTCAATGCAATGATCACTAAGAATTGTCTGTGAATGCTTCCGTTTGTTTTTTAGATGAAGTTATTTCCTTTACTACAGTAGGCCTCAAAGCAGTCCAAATCTCCAATCGCAGATTCTACAAAAAGATTGTTTACAACCTGCTCTATCTATAGGAATGTTCAACTCTGTGAGTCGAATGCAATCATCACAAAGGAGTTTCTGAGAATGCTTCCATCTAGTTTTTATGTGAAGATTTTCCTTTTCCACCACAGGCCTCAAAGCCCTCCAAATGTCCACTTGCAGATTCTAGAAAAAGAGGGTTTCAGAGCTGCTCTGTCAAGAGGAAAGTTCAATTCCTGAAGTGGAACACAAACATCACAAAGCAGTTTCTGAGAATGCTTCTGTTTAGTTTTTCTGTGAAGATGAACCCGTTTCCAACGAAATCTTCACAGAGGTCCACATATCCACTTGCAGAATCCAAAGAAAGAGAGTTTCAAAACTGCTCCATCAACAGGATTGTTCACCTCTGTGAGTTGAATGCAGTCATCACAGGAAACATTCTGAGAATGCTTCTGTCTGGGTTTGATGTGAAGATATACCCGTTTCGAAGGAAGGCCACAAAGTGGTCCAAATATCAACTTCCAGAGTCTACAAAAAGAGTGTTTGAAAGCTGAATTATGAAAGCAAGGTTCAACTCTGTGATTTGAATGCAAACATCACAAAGAAGTTTCTCAGAATGCGTCCGTGTAGTTCTGGGAATGTTATCCCGTTTCCAACGAAATCCTCAGAGAGGTCCAAATATCCACTTGCAGATTCTACAGAAAGTGTGTTTGGAAACTGCGTCATCTAAAGGAATGTTCAGCACTCTTAGTTCAATCCAATCATCACAAAGAATTTTCTGTGAATGCTTCCGTTTGGATTTTAGATGAAGTTATTTCCTTTAGTACCGTAGGCCTCAATGCAGTCCAAATCAGCAATCACAGATTCTACAAAAAGAGTGTTTACAAACTGCTCTATCCATTGGAAGGTTCAAGTCTGTGAGTCTAATGCAATCATCCCAAAGTAGTTTCTGAGAATGCTTCCATCTAGTTTTTATGTGAAGATTTTCCTTTTCCACCACAGGCCTCAAAACCCTCCAAATGTCCACTTGCAGATTCTAGAAAAAGAGGGTTTCAGAGCTGCTCTGTCAAGAGGAAAGCTCAATTCTTGAAGTGGAACACAAACATCACAAAGCAGTTTCTGAGAATGCCTCTGTTTAGTTTTTCTGTGAAGATGAACCCGTTTCCAACGAAATCTTCACAGAGGTCCACATATCCACTTGCAGAATCCAAAGAAAGAGAGTTTCAAAACTGCTCCATCAACAGGATTGTTCACCTCTGTGAGTTGAATGCAGTCATCACAGGAAACATTCTGAGAATGCTTCTGTCTAGGTTTGATGTGAAGATATACCCGTTTCGAAGGAAGGCCACAAAGTGGTCCAAATATCCACTTGCAGATTCTACAAAAAGAGTGTTTGAAAGCTGAACTATGAAATCAAGGTTCAACTCTGTGAGTTGAATGCAAACATCACAAAGAAGTTTCTCAGAATGCTTCCGTGTAGTTCTGGGACGTTTATCCCGTTTCCAACGAAATCCTCAGAGAAGTCCAAATATCCACTTGCAGATTCTACAGAAAGTGTGTTTGGAAACTGCTCCATCTAAAGGAATGTTCAGCTCTGTTAGTTCAATGCAATGATCACTAAGAATTGTCTGTGAATGCTTCCGTTTGGTTTTTAGATGAAGTTATTTCCTTTACTACAGTAGGCCTCAAAGCAGTCCAAATCTCCAATCGCAGATTCTACAAAAAGATTGTTTTCAACCTGCTCTATCTATAGGAATGTTCAACTCTGTGAGTCGAATGCAATCATCACAAAGTAGTTTCTGAGAATGCTTCCATCTAGTTTTTATGTGAAGATTTTCCTTTTCCACCACAGGCCTCAAAGCCCTCCAAATGTCCACTTGCAGATTCTAGAAAAAGAGGGTTTCAGAGCTGCTCTGTCAAGAGGAAAGTTCAATTCTTGAAGTGGAACACAAACATCACAAAGTAGTTTCTGAGAATGCTTCTGTTTAGTTTTTCTGTGAAGATGAACCCGTTTCCAACGAAATCTTCACAGAGGTCCACATATCAACTTGCAGAATCCAAAGAAAGAGAGTTTCAAAACTGCTCCATCAGCAGGATTGTTCACCTCTGTGAGTTGAATGCAGTCATCACAGGAAACATCCTGAGAATGCTTCTGTCTAGGTTTGATGTGAAGATATACCCGTTTCGAAGGAAGGCCACAAAGTGGTCCAAATATCCACTTGCAGATTCTACAAAAAGAGTGTTTGAAAGCTGAACTATGAAAGCAAGGTTCAACTCTGTGAGTTGAATGCAAACATCACAAAGAAGTTTCTCAGAATGCTTCCGTGTAGTTCTGGGAAGTTTATCCCGTTTCCAACGAAATCCTCAGAGAGGTCCAAATATCCACTTGCAGATTCTACAGAGAGTGAGTTTGGAAACTGCGCTACCTAAAGGAATGTTTAGCTCTGTTAGTTCAATCCAATGATCACTAAGAATTGTCTTTGAATGTCTCCGTTTGGTTTTTAGATGAATTTATTTCCTTTACTACAGTAGGCCTCAAAGCAGTCCAAATCTCCAATCGCAGATTCTACAAAAACATTGTTTACAACCTGCTCTATCTATAGGAATGTTCAACTACTGTGAGTCGAATGCAATCATCACAAAGTAGTTTCTGAGAATGCTTCCATCTAGTTTTTATGTGAAGATTTTCCTTTTCCACCACAGGCCTCTAAGCCCTCCAAATGTCCACTTGCAGTTTCTAGAAAAAGAGGGTTTCAGAGCTGCTCTGTCAAGAGGAAAGTTCAATTCTTGAAGTGGAACACAAACATCACAAAGCAGTTTCTGAGAATGCTCCTGTTTAGTTTTTCTGTGAAGATGAACCCGTTTCCAACGAAATCTTCACAGAGGTCCACATATCCACTTGCAGAATCCAAAGAAAGAGAGTTTCAAAACTGCTCCATCAGCAGGATTGTTCACCTCTGTGAGTTGAATGCAGTCATCACAGGAAACATTCTGAGAATGCTTCTGTCTAGGTTTGATGTGAAGATATACCCGTTTCGAAGGAAGGCCACAAAGTGGTCCAAATATCCACTTGCAGATTCTACAAAAAGAGTGTTTGAAAGCTGAACTAAGAAAGCAAGGTTCAACTCTGTGAGTTGAATGCAAACATCACAAAGAAGTTTCTCAGCATGCTTCCCTGTAGTTCTGGGAAGTTTATCCCCTTTCCAACGAAATCCTCAGAGAAGTCCAAATATCCACTTGCAGATTCTACAGAAAGTGTGTTTGGAAACTGCTCTATCTAAAGGAATGTTCAGCTCTGTTAGTTCAATCGAATGATCACTAAGAATTGTCTGTGAATGCTTCCGTTTGGTTTTTAGATGAAGTTATTTCCTTTACTACAGTAGGCCTCAAAGCAGTCCAAATCTCCAATCGCAGATTCTACAAAAAGATTGTTTACAACCTGCTCTATCTATAGGAATGTTCAACTCTGTGAGTCGAATGCAATCATCACAAAGTAGTTTCTGAGAATGCTTCCATCTAGTTTTTATGTGAAGATTTTCCTTTTGCACCACAGGCCTCAAAGCCCTCCAAATGTCCACTTGCAGATTCTAGAAAAAGAGGGTTTCAGAGCTGCTCTGTCAAGAGGAAAGTTCAATTCTTGATGTGGAACACAAACATCACAAAGCAGTTTCTGAGAATGCTCCTGTTTAGTTTTTCTGTGAAGATGTACCCGTTTCCAACGAAATCTTCACAGAGTTCCACATATCCACTTGCAGAATCCAAAGAAAGAGAGTTTCAAAACTGCTCCAACAGCAGGATTGTTCACCTCTGTGAGTTGAATGCAGTCATCACAGGAAACATTCTGAGAATGCTTCTGTCTAGGTTTAATGTGAAGATATACCCGTTTCGAAGGAAGGCCACAAATTGGTCCAAATATCCAATTGCAGATTCTACAAAAAGAGGGTTTGAAAGCTGAACTATGAAACCAAGGTTCAACTCTGTGAGTTGAATGCAAACATCACGAAGAAGTTTCTCAGAATGCTTCCGTGTAGTTCTGGGAAGTTTATCCCGTTTCCAACGAAATCCTCAGAGAGGTCCAAATATCCACTTGCAGATTCTACAGAAAGTGTGTTTGGAAACTGCGCCATCTAAAGGCATGTTCAGCTCTGTTAGTTCAATCCAATGATCACTAAGAATTGTCTGTGAATGCTTCCGTTTGGTTTTTAGATGAAGTTATTTCCTTTACTACAGTAGGCCTCAAAGCAGTCCAAATCTCCAATCGCAGATTCTACAAAAAGATTGTTTACAACCTGCTCTATGTATAGGAATGTTCAACTCTGTGAGTCGAATGCAATCATCACAAAGTAGTTTCTGAGAATGCTTCCATCTAGTTCTTATGTGAAGATTTTCCTTTTCCACCACAGGCCTCAAAGCCCTCCAAATGTCCACTTGCAGATTCTGGAAAAAGAGGGTTTCAGAGCTGCTCTGTCAAGAGGAAAGTGCAATTCTTGAAGTGGAACACAAACATCACAAAGCAGTTTCTGAGAATGCTCCTGTTTAGTTTTTCTGTGAAGATGAACCCGTTTCCAACGAAATCTTCACAGAGGTCCACATATCCACATGCAGAATCCAAAGAAAGAGAGTTTCAAAACTGCTCCATCAACAGGATTGTTCACGTCTGTGAGTTGAATGCAGTCATCACAGAAAACATTCTGAGAATGCTTCTGTCTAGGTTTGATGTGAAGATATACCCGTTTCGAAGGAAGGCCACAAAGTGGTCCAAATATCCACTTGCAGATTCTACATAAAGAGTGTTTGAAAGCTGAACTATGAAAGCAAGGTTCAACTCTGTGAGTTGAATGCAAACTTCCAAAGAATTTACTCAGAATGCTTCCGTGTAGTTCTGGGAAGTTTATCCCGTTTCCAACGAAATCCTCAGAGAGGTCCAAATATCCACTTGCAGATTCTACAGAAAGTGTGTTTGGAAACTGCGCCATCTAAAGGAATCTTCAGCTCTGTTAGTTCAATCCAATGATCACTAAGAATTGTCTGTGAATGCTTCCGTTTGGTTTTTAGATGAAGTTATTTCCTTTACTACAGTAGGCCTCAAAGCAGTCCAAATCTCCAATCGCAGATTCTACAAAAAGATTGTTTACAACCTGCTCTATCTATAGGAATGTTCAACTCTGTGAGTCGAATGCAATCATCACAAAGTAGTTTCTGAGAATGCTTCCATCTAGTTTTTATGTGAAGATTTTCCTTTTCCACCACAGGCCTCAAAGCCCTCCAAATGTCCACTTGCAGATTCTAGAAAAAGAGGGTTTCAGAGCTGCTCTGTCAAGAGGAAAGTTCAATTCTTGAAGTGGAACACAAACATCACAAAGCAGTTTGCTGAGAATGCTTCTGTTTAGTTTTTCTGTGAAGATGAACCCGTTTCCAACGAAATCTTCACAGAGGTCCACATATCCACTTGCAGAATCCAAAGAAAGAGAGTTTCAAAACTGCTCCATCAGCAGGATTGTTCACCTCTGTGAGTTGAATGCAGTCATCACAGGAAACATTCTGAGAATGCTTCTGTCTAGGTTTGATGTGAAGATATACCCGTTTCGAAGGAAGGCCACAAAGTGGTCCAAATATCCACTTGCAGATTCTACAAAAAGAGTGTTTGAAAGCTGAACTATGAAAGCAAGGTTCAACTCTGTGAGTTGAATGCAAACATCACAAAGAAGTTTCTCACAATGCTTCCGTGTAGTTCTGGGAAGTTTATCCCGTTTCCAACGAAATCCTCAGAGAAGTCCAAATATCCACTTGCAGATTCTACAGAAAGTGTGTTTGGAAACTGCTCCATCTAAAGGAATGTTCAGCTCTGTTAGTTCAATCCAATGATCACTAAGAATTGTCTGTGAATGCTTCCGTTTGGTTTTTAGATGACGTTATTTCCTTTACTACAGTAGGCCTCAAAGCAGTCCAAATCTCCAATCGCAGATTCTACAAAAAGATTGTTTACAACCTGCTCTATCTATAGGAATGTTCAACTCTGTGAGTCGAATGCAATCATCACAAAGTAGTTTCTGAGAATGCTTCCATCTAGTTTTTATGTGAAGATTTCCTTTTCCACCACAGGACCCAAAACCCTCCAAATGTCCACTTGCAGATTCTAGAAAAAGAGGTTTTCAGAGCTGCTCTATCAAGAGGAAAGTTCAATTCCTGAAGTGGAACACAAACATCACAAAGCAGTTTCTGAGAATGCTTCTGTTTAGTTTTTCTGTGAAGATGAACCCGTTTCCAACGAAATCTTCACAGAGGTCCACATATCCACTTGCAGAATCCAAAGAAAGAGAGTTTCAAAACTGCTCCATCAGCAGGATTGTTCACCTCTGTGAGTTGAATGCAGTCATCACAGGAAACATTCTGAGAATGCTTCTGTCTAGGTTTGATGTGAAGATATACCCGTTTCGAAGGAAGGCCACAAAGTGGTCCAAATATCCACTTGCAGATTCTACAAAAAGAGTGTTTGAAAGCTGAACTATGAAAGCAAGGTTCAACTGTGTGAGTTGAATGCAAACATCACAAAGAAGTTTCTCACAATGCTTCCGTGTAGTTCTGGGAAGTTTATCCCGTTTCCAACGAAATCCTCAGAGAAGTCCAAATATCCACTTGCAGATTCTACAGAAAGTGTGTTTGGAAACTGCTCCATCTAAAGGAATGTTCAGCTCTGTTAGTTCAATCCAATGATCACTAAGAATTGTCTGTGAATGCTTCCGTTTGGTTTTTAGGTGAAGTTATTTCCTTTACTACAGTAGGCCTCAAAGCAGTCCAAATCTCCAATCGAAGATTCTACAAAAAGATTGTTTACAACCTGCTCTATCTATAGGAATGTTCAACTCTGTGAGTCGAATGCAATCATCACAAAGTAGTTTCTGAGAATGCTTCCATCTAGTTTTTATGGGAAGATTTTCCTTTTCCACCGCAGGCCTCAAAGCCCTCCAAATGTCCACTTGCAGATTCTAGAAAAAGAGGGTTTCAGAGCTGCTCTGTCAAGAGGAAAGTTCAATTCTTGAAGTGGAACACAAACATCACAAAGCAGTTTCTGAGAATGCTCCTGTTTAGTTTTTCTGTGAAGATGAACCCGTTTCCAACGAAATCTTCACAGAGGTCCACATATCCACTTGCAGAATCCAAAGAAAGAGAGTTTCAAAACTGCTCCATCAGCAGGATTGTTCACCTCTGTGAGTTGAATGCAGTCATCACAGGAAACATTCTGAGAATGCTTCTGTCTAGGTTTGATGTGAAGATATACCCGTTTCGAAGGAAGGCCACAAAGTGGTCCAAATATCCACTTGCAGATTCTACAAAAAGAGTGTTTGAAAGCTGAACTATGAAAGCAAGGTTCAACTCTGTGAGTTGAATGCAAACATCACAAAGAAGTTTCTCACAATGCTTCCGTGCAGTTCTGGGAAGTTTATTCCGTTTCCAACGAAATCCTCAGAGAAGTCCAAATATCCACTTGCAGATTCTACAGAAAGTGTGTTTGGAAAATGCTCCATCTAAAGGAATGTTCAGCTCTGTTAGTTCAATCCAATGATCACTAAGAATTGTCTGTGAATGCTTCCGTTTGGTTTTTAGATGATGTTATTTCCTTTACTGCAGTAGGCCTCAAAGCAGTCCAAATCTCCAATCGCAGATTCTTCAAAAAGATTGTTTACAACCTGCTCTATCTATAGGAATGTTCAACTCTGTGAGTCGAATGCAATCATCACAGAGTAGTTTCTGAGAATGCTTCCATCTAGTTTTTATGTGAAGATTTTCCTTTTCCACCACAGGCCTCAAAGCCCTCCAAATGTCCACTTGCAGATTCTAGAATAAGAGGGTTTCAGAGCTGCTCTGTCAAGAGGAAAGTTCAATTCTTGAAGTGGAACACAAACATCACAAAGCAGTTTCTGAGAATGCTTCTGTTTAGTTTTTCTGTGAAGATGAACCCGTTTCCAACGAAATCTTCACAGAGGTCCACATATCCACTTGCAGAATCCAAAGAAAGAGAGTTTCAAAACTGCTCCATCAGCAGGATTGTTCACCTCTGTGAGTTGAATGCAGTCATCACAGGAAACATTCTGAGAATGCTCTGTCTAGGTTTGATGTGAAGATATACCCGTTTCGAAGGAAGGCCACAAAGTGGTCCAAATATCCACTTGCAGATTCTACAAAAAGAGTGTTTGAAAGCTGAACTATGAAAGCAAGGTTCAACTCTGTGAGTTGAATGCAAACATCACAAAGAAGTTTCTCAGAATGCTTTCCGTGTAGTTCTGGGAAGTTTATCCCGTTTCCAACGAAATCCTCTGAGAAGTCCAAATATCCACTTGCAGATTCTACAGAAAGTGGGTTTGGAAACTGCTCCATCTAAAGGAATGTTCAGCTCTGTTAGTTCAATGCAATGATCACTAAGAATTGTTTGTGAATGCTTCCGTTTGGTTTTTAGATGAAGTTATTTCCTTTAGTACAGTAGGCCTCAAAGCAGTCCAAATCTCCAATCGCAGATTCTACAAAAAGATTGTTTACAACCTGCTCTATCTATAGGAATGTTCAACTCTGTGAGTCGAATGCAATCATCACAAAGTAGTTTCTGAGAATGCTTCCATCTAGTTTTTATGTGAAGATTTTCCTTTTCCACCACAGGCCTCAAAGCCCTCCAAATGTCCACTTGCAGATTCTAGAAAAAGAGGGTTTCAGAGCTGCTCTGTCAAGAGGAAAGTTCAATTCTTGAAGAGGAACACAAACATCACGAAGCAGTTTCTGAGAATGCTCCTGTTTAGTTTTTCTGTGAAGATGAACCCGTTTCCAACGAAATCTTCAGAGAGGTCCTCATATCCACTTGCAGAATCCAAAGAAAGAGAGTTTCAAAACTGTTCCTTCAGCAGGATTGTTCACCTCTGTGAGTTGAATGCAGTCATCACAGGAAACATTCTGAAAATGCTTCTGTCTAGGTTTGATGTGAAGATATACCCGTTTCGAAGGAAGGCCACAAAGTGGTCCAAATATCCACTTGCAGATTCTACAAAAAGAGTGTTTGAAAGCTGAACTATGAAAGCAAGGTTCAACTCTGTGAGTTGAATGCAAACATCACAAAGAAGTTTCTCACAATGCTTCCCTCTAGTTCTGGGAAGTTTATCCCTTTTCCAACGAAATCCTCACAGAAGTCCAAATATCCACTTGCAGATTCTACAGAAAGTGGGTTTGGAAACTGCTCCATCTAAAGGAATGTTCAGCTCTGTTAGTTCAATCCAATGATCACTAAGAATTGTCTGTGAATGCTTCCGTTTGGTTTTTAGATGAAGTTATTTCCTTTACTACAGTAGGCCTCAATGCAGTCCAAATCTCCAATCGCAGATTCTACAAAAAGATTGTTTACAACCTGCTCTATCTATAGGAATGTTCAACTCTGTGAGTCGAATGCAATCATCACAAAGTAGTTTCTGAGAATGCTTCCATCTAGTTTTTATGTGAAGATTTCCCTTTTCCACCACAGGCCTCAAAGCCCTCCAAATGTCCACTTGCAGATTCTAGAATAAGAGGGTTTCAGAGCTGCTCTGTCAAGAGGAAAGTTCAATTCCTGAAGTGGAACACAAACATCACAAAGCAGTTTCTGAGAATGCTTCTGTTTAGTTTTTCTGTGAAGATGAACCCGTTTCCAACGAAATCTTCACAGAGGTCCACATATCAACTTGCAGAATCCAAAGAAAGAGAGTTTCAAAACTGCTCCATCAACAGGATTGTTCACCTGTGTGAGTTGAATGCAGTCATCACAGGAAACATTCTGAGAATGCTTCTGTCTAGGTTTGATGTGAAGATATACCCGTTTCGAAGGAAGGCCACAAAGTGGTCCAAATATCCACTTGCAGATTCTACAAAAAGAGTGTTTGAAAGCTGAACTATGAAAGCAAGGTTCAACTCTGTGAGTTGAATGCAAACATCACAAAGAAGTTTCTCAGAATGCTTCCGTGTAGTTCTGGGAAGTTTATCCCGTTTCCAACGAAATCCTCAGAGAAGTCCAAATATCCACTTGCAGATTCTACAGAAAGTGTGTTTGGAAACTGCTCCATCTAAAGGAATGTTCAGCTCTGTTAGTTCAATCCAATGATCACTAAGAATTGTCTGTGAATGCTTCCGTTTGGTTTTTAGATGAAGTTATTTCCTTTACTACAGTAGGCCTCAAAGCAGTCCAAATCTCCAATCGCAGATTCTACAAAAAGATTGTTTACAACCTGCTCTATCTTTAGGAATGTTCAACTCTGTGAGTCGAATGCAATCATCACAAAGTAGTTTCTGAGAATGCTTCCATCTAGTTTTTATGTGAAGATTTTCCTTTTCCACCACAGGCCTCAAAGCCCTCCAAATGTCCACTTGCAGATTCTAGAAAAAGAGGGTTTCAGAGCTGCTCTGTCAAGAGGAAAGTTCAATTCTTGAAGTGGAACACAAACATCACAAAGCAGTTTCTGAGAATGCTCCTGTTTAGTTTCTCTGTGAAGATGAACCCTTTTCCAACGAAATCTTCACAGAGGTCCACAAATCCACTTGCAGAATCCAAAGAAAGAGAGTTTCAAAACTGCTCCATCAGCAGGATTGTTCACCTCTGTGAGTTGAATGCAGTCATCACAGGAAACATTCTGAGAATGCTTCTGTCTAGGTTTGATGTGAAGATATACCCGTTTCGAAGGAAGGCCACAAAGTGGTCCAAATATCCACTTGCAGATTCTACAAAAAGAGTGTTTGAAAGCTGAACTATGAAAGCAAGGTTCAACTCTGTGAGTTGAATGCAAACATCACAAAGAAGTTTCTCAGAATGCTTCCGTGTAGTTCTGGGAAGTTTATCCCGTTTCCAACGAAATCCTCAGAGAAGTCCAAATATCCACTTGCAGATTCTACAGAAAGTGTGTTTGGAAACTGCTCCATCTAAAGGAATGTTCAGCTCTGTTAGTTCAATGCAATGATCACTAAGAATTGTCTGTGAATGCTTCCGTTTGGTTTTTAGATGAAGTTATTTCCTTTACTACAGTAGGCCTCAAAGCAGTCCAAATCTCCAATCGCAGATTCTACAAAAAGCTTGTTTACAACCTGCTCTATCTATACGAATGTTCAACTCTGTGAGTCGAATGCAATCATCCCAAAGTAGTTTCTGAGAATGCTTCCATCTAGTTTTTATGTGAAGATTTTCCTTTTCCACCACTGGCCTCAAAGCCCTCCAAATGTCCACTTGCAGATTCTAGAATAAGAGGGTTTCAGAGCTGCTCTGTCAAGAGGAAAGTTCAATTCCTGAAGTGGAACACAATAATCACAAAGCAGTTTCTGAGAATGCTTCTTTTTAGTTTTTCTGTGAAGATGAACCCGTTTCCAACGAAATCTTCACAGAGGTCCACATATCCACTTGCAGAATCCAAAGAAAGAGAGTTTCAAAACTGCTCCATCAGCAGGATTGTTCACCTCTGTGAGTTGAATGCAGTCATCACAGGAAACATTCTGAGAATGCTTCTGTCTAGGTTTGATGTGAAGATATACCCGTTTCGAAGGAAGGCCACAAAGTGGTCCAAATATCCACTTTCTGTAGATTCTACAAAAAGAGAGTTTGAAAGCTGAACTATGAAAGCAAGGTTCAACTCTGTGAGTTGAATGCAAACATCACAAAGAAGTTTCTCAGAATGCTTCCGTGTAGTTCTGGGAAGTTTATCCCGTTTCCAACGAAATCCTCAGAGAGGTCCAAATATCCACTTGCAGATTCTACAGAAAGTGTGTTTGGAAACTGCGCCATCTAAAGGAATGTTCAGCTCTGTTAGTTCAATGCAATGATCACTAAGAATTGTCTGTGAATGCTTCCGTTTGGTTTTTAGATGAAGTTATTTCCTTTACTACAGTAGGCCTCAAAGCAGTCCAAATCTCCAATCGCAGATTCTACAAAAAGATTGTTTACAACCTGCTCTATCTATAGGAATGTTCAACTCTGTGAGTCGAATGCAATCATCACAAAGTAGTTTCTGAGAATGCTTCCATCTAGTTTTTATGTGAAGATTTTCCTTTTCCACCACAGGCCTCAAAGCCCTCCAAATGTCCACTTGCAGATTCTAGAAAAAGAGGGTTTCAGAGCTGCTCTGTCAAGAGGAAAGTTCAATTCTTGAAGTGGAACACAAACATCACAAAGCAGTTTCTGAGAATGCTTCTGTTTAGTTTTTCTGTGAAGATGAACCCGTTTCCAACGAAATCTTCACAGAGGTCCACATATCCACTTGCAGAATCCAAAGAAAGAGAGTTTCAAAACTGCTCCATCAGCAGGATTGTTCACCTCTGTGAGTTGAATGCAGTCATCACAGGAAACATTCTGAGAATGCTTCTGTCTAGGTTTGATGTGAAGATATACACGTTTCGAAGGAAGGCCACAAAGTGGTCCAAATATCCACTTGCAGATTCTACAAAAAGAGTGTTTGAAAGCTGAACTATGAAAGCAAGGTTCAACTCTGTGAGTTGAATGCAAACATCACAAAGAAGTTTCTCAGAATGCTTCCGTGTAGTTTGGGAAGTTTATCCCGTTTCCAACGAAATCCTCAGAGAAGTCCAAATATCCACTTGCAGATTCTACAGAAAGTGTGTTTGGAAACTGCTCCATCTAAAGGAATGTTCAGCTCTGTTAGTTCAATCCAATGATCACTAAGAATTGTCTGTGAATGCTTCCGTTTGGTTTTTAGATGAAGTTATTTCCTTTACTACAGTAGGCCTCAAAGCAGTCCAAATCTCCAATCGCAGATTCTACAAAAAGATTGTTTACAACCTGCTCTATCTATAGGAATGTTCAACTCTGTGAGTCGAATGCAATCATCACAAAGTAGTTTCTGAGAATGCTTCCATCTAGTTTTTATGTGAAGATTTTCCTTTTCCACCACAGGCCTCAAAGCCCTCCAAATGTCCACTTGCAGATTCTAGAAAAAGAGGGTTTCAGAGCTGCTCTGTCAAGAGGAAAGTTCAATTCTTGAAGTGGAACACAAACATCACAAAGCAGTTTCTGAGAATGTTCCTGTTTAGTTTTTCTGTGAAGATGAACCCGTTTCCAACGAAATCTTCACAGAGGTCCACATATCCACTTGCAGAATCCAAAGAAAGAGAGTTTCAAAACTGCTCCATCAACAGGATTGTTCACCTCTGTGAGTTGAATGCAGTCATCACAGGAAACATTCTGAGAATGCTTCTGTCTAGGTTTGATGTGAAGATATACCCGTTTCGAAGGAAGGCCACAAAGTGGTCCAAATATCCACTTGCAGATTCTACAAAAAGAGTGTTTGAAAGCTGAACTATGAAAGCAAGGTTCAACTCTGTGAGTTGAATGCAAACATCACAAAGAAGTTTCTCAGAATGCTTCCCTGTAGTTCTGGGGAGTTTATCCCGTTTCCAACGAAATCCTCAGAGAAGTCCAAATATCCACTTGCAGATTCTACAGAAAGTGTGTTTGGAAACTGCTCCATCTAAAGGAATGTTCAGCTCTGTTAGTTCAATCCAATGATCACTAAGAATTGTCTGTGAATGCTTCCGTTTGGTTTTTAGATGAAGTTATTTCCTTTACTACAGTAGGCCTCAAAGCAGTCCAAATCTCCAATCGCAGATTCTACAAAAAGATTGTTTACAACCTGCTCTATCTATAGGAATGTTCAACTCTGTGAGTCGAATGCAATCATCACAAAGTAGTTTCTGAGAATGCTTCCATCTAGTTTTTATGTGAAGATTTTCCTTTTCCACCACAGGCCTCAAAGCCCTCCAAATGTCCACTTGCAGATTCTAGAAAAAGAGGGTTTCAGAGCTGCTCTGTCAAGAGGAAAGTTCAATTCTTGAAGTGGAACACAAACATCACAAAGTAGTTTCTGAGAATGCTTCTGTTTAGTTTTTCTGTGAAGATGAACCCGTTTCCAACGAAATCTTCACAGAGGTCCACATATCCACTTGCAGAATCCAAAGAAAGAGAGTTTCAAAACTGCTCCATCAGCAGGATTGTTCACCTCTGTGAGTTGAATGCAGTCATCACAGGAAACATTCTGAGAATGCTTCTGTCTAGGTTTGATGTGAAGATATACCCGTTTCGAAGGAAGGCCACAAAGTGGTCCAAATATCCACTTGCAGATTCTACAAAAAGAGTGTTTGAAAGCTGAACTATGAAAGCAAGGTTCAACTCTGTGAGTTGAATGAAAACATCACAAGGATGTTTCTCAGAATGCTTCCGTGTAGTTCTGGGAAGTTTATCCCGTTTCCAACGAAATCCTCAGAGAGGTCCAAATATCCACTTGCAGATTCTACAGAAAGTGTGTTTGGAAACTGCGCCATCTACAGGAATGTTCAGCTCTGTTAGTTCAATGCAATGATCACTAAGAATTGTCTGTGAATGCTTCCGTTTGGTTTTTAGATGAAGTTATTTCCTTTACTACAGTAGGCCTTAAAGCAGTCCAAATCTCCAATCGCAGATTCTACAAAAAGATTGTTTACTACCTGCTCTATCTATAGGAATGTTCAACTCTGTGAGTCGAATGCAATCATCGCAAAGTAGTTTCTGAGAATGCTTCCATCTAGTTTTCATGTGAAGATTTTCCTTTTCCACCACAGGCCTCAAAGCCCTCCAAATGTCCACTTGCAGATTCTAGAATAAGAGGGCTTCAGAGCTGCTCTGTCAAGAGGAAAGTTCAATTCCTGAAGTGGAACACAAACATCACAAAGCAGTTTCTGAGAATGCTTCTGTTTAGTTTTTCTGTGAAGATGAACCCGTTTCCAACGAAATCTTCACAGAGGTCCACATATCCACTTGCAGAATCCAAAGAAAGAGAGTTTCAAAACTGCTCCATCAACAGGATTGTTCACCTCTGTGAGTTGAATGCAGTCATCACAGGAAACATTCTGAGAATGCTTCTGTCTAGGTTTGATGTGAAGATATACCCGTTTCGAAGGAAGGCCACAAAGTGGTCCAAATATCCACTTGCAGATTCTACAAAAAGAGTGTTTGAAAGCTGAACTATGAAAGCAAGGTTCAACTCTGTGAGTTGAATGCAAACATCACAAAGAAGTTTCTCAGCATGCTTCCTTGTAGTTCTGGGAAGTTTATCCCCTTTACAACGAAATCCTCAGAGAAGTCCAAATATCCACTTGCAGATTCTACAGAAAGTGTGTTTGGAAACTGCTCCATCTAAAGGAATGTTCAGCTCTGTTAGTTCAATCCAATGATCACTAAGAATTGTCTGTGAATGCTTCCGTTTGGTTTTTAGATGAAGTTATTTCCTTTACTACAGTAGGCCTCAAAGCAGTCCAAATCTCCAATCGCAGATTCTACAAAAAGATTGTTTACAACCTGCTCTATCTATAGGAATGTTCAACTCTGTGAGTCGAATGCAATCATCACAAAGTAGTTTCTGAGAATGCTTCCATCTAGTTTTTATGTGAAGATTTTCCTTTTCCACCACAGGCCTCAAAGCCCTCCAAATGTCCACTTGCAGATTCTAGAATAAGAGGGTTTCAGAGCTGCTCTGTCAAGAGGAAAGTTCAATTCCTGAAGTGGAACACAAACATCACAAAGCAGTTTCTGAGAATGCTTCTGTTTAGTTTTTCTGTGAAGATGAACCCGTTTCCAACGAAATCTTCACAGAGGTCCAAATATCCACTTGCAGAATCCAAAGAAAGAGAGTTTCAAAACTGCTCCATCAGCAGGATTGTTCACCTCTGTGAGTTGAATGCAGTCATCACAGGAAACATTCTGAGAATGCTTCTGTCTAGGTTTGATGTGAAGATATACCCGTTTCGAAGGAAGGCCACAAAGTGGTCCAAATATCCACTTGCAGATTCTACAAAAAGAGTGTTTGAAAGCTGAACTATGAAAGCAAGGTTCAACTCTGTGAGTTGAATGCAAACATCACAAAGAAGTTTCTCACAATGCTTCCGTGTAGTTCTGGGAAGTTTATCCCGTTTCCAACGAAATCCTCAGAGAGGTCCAAATATCCACTTGCAGATTCTACAGAAAGTGTGTTTGGAAACTGCGCCATCTAAAGGAATGTTCAGCTCTGTTAGTTCAATGCCATGATCACTAAGAATTGTCTGTGAATGCTTCCGTTTGGTTTTTAGATGAAGTTATTTCCTTTACTACAGTAGGCCTCAAAGCAGTCCAAATCTCCAATCGCAGATTCTACAAAAAGATTGTTTACAACCTGCTCTATCTATAGGAATGTTCAACTCTGTGAGTCGAATGCAATCATCACAAAGTAGTTTCTGAGAATGCTTCCATCTAGTTTTTATGGGAAGATTTTCCTTTTCCACCACAGGCCTCAAAGCCCTCCAAATGTCCACTTGCAGATTCTAGAAAAAGAGGGTTTCAGAGCTGCTCTGTCAAGAGGAAAGTTCAATTCCTGAAGTGGAACGCAAACATCACAAAGCAGTTTCTGAGAATGCTTCTGTTTAGTTTTTCTGTGAAGATGAACCCGTTTCCAACGAAATCTTCACAGAGTTCAACATATCCACTTGCAGAATCCAAAGAAAGAGAGTTTCAAAACTGCTCCATCAGCAGGATTGTTCACCTCTGTGAGTTGAATGCAGTCATCACAGGAAACATTCTGAGAATGCTTCTGTCTAGGTTTGATGTGAAGATATACCCGTTTCGAAGGAAGGCCACAAAGTGGTCCAAATATCCACTTGCAGATTCTACAAAAAGAGTGTTTGAAAGCTGAACTATGAAAGCAAGGTTCAACTCTGTGAGTTGAATGCAAACATCACAAAGAAGTTTCTCAGAATGCTTCCGTGTAGTTCTGGGAAGTTTATCCCGCTTCCAACGAAATCCTCAGAGAGGTCCAAATATCCACTTGCAGATTCTACAGAAAGTGTGTTTGGAAACTGCGCCATCTAAAGGAATGTTCAGCTCTGTTAGTTCAATCCAATGATCACTAAGAATTGTCTGTGAATGCTTCCGTTTGGTTTTTAGATGAAGTTATTTCGTTTACTACAGTAGGCCTCAAAGCAGTCCAAATCTCCAATCGCAGATTCTACAAAAAGATTGTTTACAACCTGCTCTATCTATAGGAATGTTCAACTCTGTGAGTCGAATGCAATCATCACAAAGTAGTTTCTGAGAATGCTTCCATCTAGTTTTTATGTGAAGATTTTCCTTTTCCACCACAGGCCTCAAAGCCCTCCAAATGTCCACTTGCAGATTCTAGAATAAGAGGGTTTCAGAGCTGCTCTGTCAAGAGGAAAGTTCAATTCCTGAAGTGGAACACAAACATCACAAAGCAGTTTCTGAGAATGCTCCTGTTAAGTTTTTCTGTGAAGATGAACCCGTTTCCAACGAAATCTTCACAGAGGTCCACATATCCACTTGCAGAATCCAAAGAAAGAGAGTTTCAAAACTGCTCCATCAGCAGGATTGTTCACCTCTGTGAGTTGAATGCAGTCATCACAGGAAACATTCTGAGAATGCTTCTGTCTAGGTTTGATGTGAAGATATACCCGTTTCGAAGGAAGGCCACAAAGTGGTCCAAATATCCACTTGCAGATTCTACAAAAAGAGTGTTTGAAAGCTGAACTATGAAAGCAAGGTTCAACTCTGTGAGTTGAATGCAAACATCACAAAGAAGTTTCTCAGAATGCTTCCGTGTAGTTCTGGGAAGTTTATCCCGTTTCCAACGAAATCCTCAGAGAGGTCCAAATATCCACTTGCAGATGCTACAGAAAGTGTGTTTGGAAACTGCGCCATCTAAAGGAATGTTCAGCTCTGTTAGTTCAATGCAATGATCACTAAGAATTGTCTGTGAATGCTTCCGTTTGGTTTTTAGATGAAGTTATTTCCTTTACTACAGTAGGCCTCAAAGCAGTCCAAATCTCCAATCGCAGATTCTACAAAAAGATTGTTTACAACCTGCTCTATCTATAGGAATGTTCAACCCTGTGAGTCGAATGCAATCATCACAAAGTAGTTTCTGAGAATGCTTCCATCTAGTTTTTATGTGAAGGTTTTCCTTTTCCACCACAGGCCTCAAAGCCCTCCAAATGTCCACTTGCAGATTCTAGAAAAAGAGGGTTTCAGAGCTGCTCTGTCAAGAGGAAAGTTCAATTCCTGAAGTGGAACAAAAACATCACAAAGCAGTTTCTGAGAATGCTCCTGTTTAGTTTTTCTGTGAAGATGAACCGGTTTCCAACGAAATCTTCACAGAGGTCCACATATCCTCTTGCAGAATCCAAAGAAAGAGAGTTTCAAAACTGCTCCATCAGCAGGATTGTTCACCTCTGTGAGTTGAATGCAGTCATCACAGGAAACATTCTGAGAATGCTTCTGTCTAGGTTTGATGTGAAGATATACCCGTTTCGAAGGAAGGCCAGAAAGTGGTCCAAATATCCACTTGCAGATTCTACAAAAAGAGTGTTTGAAAGCTGAACTATGAAAGCAAGGTTCAACTCTGTGAGTTGAATGCAAACATCACAAAGAAGTTTCTCAGAATGCTTCCGTGTAGTTCTGGGAAGTTTATCCCGTTTCCAACGAAATCCTCAGAGAGGTCCAAATATCCACTTGCAGATTCTACAGAAAGTGTGTTTGGAAACTGCTCCATCTAAAGGAATGTTCAGCTCTGTTAGTTCAATCCAATGATCACTAAGAATTGTCTGTGAATGCTTCCGTTTGGTTTTTAGATGAAGTTATTTCCTTTACTACAGTAGGCCTCAAAGCAGTCCAAATCTCCAATCGCAGATTCTACAAAAAGATTGTTTACAACCTGCTCTATCTATAGGAATGTTCAACTCTGTGAGTCGAATGCAATCATCACAAAGTAGTTTCTGAGAATGCTTCCATAAAGTTTTTATGTGAAGATTTTCCTTTACCACCAC
Source organism: Homo sapiens (assembly GCF_000001405.40). Taxonomy (NCBI): domain Eukaryota; kingdom Metazoa; phylum Chordata; class Mammalia; order Primates; family Hominidae; genus Homo; species Homo sapiens. The sequence goes on along the minus strand of NC_000011.10, from coordinate 52,711,979 downwards.
AGGCCTCAAAGCCCTCCAAATGTCCACTTGCAGATTCTAGAAAAAGAGGGTTTCAGAGCTGCTCTGTCAAGAGGAAAGTTCAATTCTTGAAGTGGAACACAAACATCACAAAGCAGTTTCTGAGAATGCTCCTGTTTAGTTTTTCTGTGAAGATGAACCCGTTTCCAACGAAATCCTCACAGAGGTCCACATATCCACTTGCAGAATCCAAAGAAAGAGAGTTTCAAAACTGCTCCATCAGCAGGATTGTTCACCTCTGTGAGTTGAATGCAGTCATCACAGGAAACATTCTGAGAATGCTTCTGTCTAGGTTTGATGTGAAGATATACCCGTTTCGAAGGAAGGCCACAAAGTGGTCCAAATATCCACTTGCAGATTCTATAAAAAGAGTGTTTGAAAGCTGAACTATGAAAGCAAGGTTCAACTCTGTGAGTTGAATGCAAACATCACAAAGAAGTTTCTCACAATGCTTCCGTGTAGTTCTGGGAAGTTTATCCCGTTTCCAACGAAATCCTCAGAGAGGTCCAAATATCCACTTGCAGATTCTACAGAAAGTGTGTTTGGAAACTGCGCCATCTAAAGGAATGTTCAGCTCTGTTAGTTCAATGCAATGATCACTAAGAATTGTCTGTGAATGCTTCCGTTTGGTTTTTAGATGAAGTTATTTAATTTACTACAGTAGGCCTCAAAGCAGTCCAAATCTCCAATCGCAGATTCTACAAAAAGATTGTTTACAACCTGCTCTATCTATAGGAATGTTCAACTCTGTGAGTCGAATGCAATCATCCCAAAGTAGTTTCTGAGAATGCTTCCATCTAGTTTTTATGTGAAGATTTTCCTTTTCCACCACAGGCCTCAAAGCCCTCCAAATGTCCACTTGCAGATTCTAGAATAAGAGGGTTTCAGAGCTGCTCTGTCAAGAGGAAAGTTCAATTCCTGAAGTGGAACACAAACATCACAAAGCAGTTTCTGAGAATGCTTCTGTTAATTTTCCTGTGAAGATGAACCCGTTTCCAACGAAATCTTCACAGAGGTCCACATATCCACTTGCAGAATCCAAAGAAAGAGAGTTTCAAAACTGCTCCATCAACAGGATTGTTCACCTCTGTGAGTTGAATGCAGTCATCACAGGAAACATTCTGAGAATGCTTCTGTCTAGGTTTGATGTGAAGATATACCCGTTTCGAAGGAAGGCCACAAAGTGGTCCAAATGTCCACTTGCAGATTCTACAAAAAGAGTGTTTGAAAGCTGAACTATGAAAGCAAGATTCAACTCTGTGAGTTGAATGCAAACATCACAAAGAAGTTTCTCAGCATGCTTCCGTGTAGTTCTGGGAAGTTTATCCCGTTTCCAACGAAATCCTCAGAGTGGTCCAAATATCCACTTGCAGATTCTACAGAAAGTGTGTTTGGAAACTGCACCATCTAAGGGAATGTTCAGCTCTGTTAGTTCAATCCAATGATCACTAAGAATTGTCTGTGAATGCTTCCGTTTGGTTTTTAGATGAAGTTATTTCCTTTACTACAGTAGGCCTCAAAGCAGTCCAAATTTCCAATCGCAGATTCTACAAAAAGATTGTTTACAACCTGCTCTATCTATAGGAATGTTCAACTGTGTGAGTCGAATGCAATCATCACAAAGTAGTTTCTGAGAATGCTTCCATCTAGTTTTTATGTGAAGATTTTCCTTTTCCACCACAGGCCTCAAAGCCCTCCAAATGTCCACTTGCAGATTCTAGAATAAGAGGGTTTCAGAGCTGCTCTGTCAAGAGGAAAGTTCAATTCCTGAAGTCGAACACAGACATCACACAGCAGTTTCTGAGAATGCTTCTGTTTAGTTTTTCTGTGAAGATGAACCCGTTTCCAACGAAATCTTCACAGAGGTCCACATATCCACTTGCAGAATCCAAAGAAAGAGAGTTTCAAAACTGCTCCATCAGCAGGATTGTTCACCTCTGTGAGTTGAATGCAGTCATCACAGGAAACATTCTGAGAATGCTTCTGTCTAGGTTTGATGAGAAGATATACCCGTTTCGAAGGAAGGCCACAAAGTGGTCCAAATATCCACTTGCAGATTCTACAAAAAGAGTGTTTGAAAGCTGAACTATGAAAGCAAGGTTCCACTCTGTGAGTTGAATGCAAACATCACAAAGAAGTTTCCTCAGCATGCTTCCGTGTAGTTCTGAGAAGTTTATCCCGTTTCCAACGAAATCCTCAGGAGAGGTCCAAATATCCACTTGCAGATTCTACAGAAAGTTTGTTTGGAAACTACGCCATCTAAAGGAATGTTCAGCTCTGTTAGATCAATGAAATGATCACTAAGAATTGTCTGTGAATGCTTCCGTTTGGTTTTTAGATGAAGTTATTTCCTTTACTGCAGTAGGCCTCAAAGCATTCCAAATCTCGAATCGCAGATTCTACAAAAAGATTGTTTACAACCTGCTCTATCTATAGGAATGTTCAACTCTGTGAGTCGAATGCAATCATCACAAAGTAGTTTCTGAGAATGCTTCCATCTAGTTTTTATGTGAAGATTTTCCTTTTCCACCACAGGCCTCAAAGCCCTCCAAATGTCCACTTGCAGATTCTAGAAAAAGAGGGTTTCAGAGCTGCTCTGTCAAGAGGAAAGTTCAATTCCTAAAGTGGAACACAAACATCACAAAGCAGTTTCTGAGAATGCTCCTGTTTAGTTTTTCTGTGAAGATGAACCCGTTTCCAACGAAATCTTCACAGAGGTCCACATATCCACTTGCAGAATCCAAAGAAAGAGAGTTTCAAAACTGCTCCATCAGCAGGATTGTTCACCTCTGTGAGTTGAATGCAGTCATCACAGGAAACATTCTGAGAATGCTTCTGTCTAGGTTTGATGTGAAGATATACCCGTTTCGAAGGAAGGCCACAAAGTGGTCCAAATATCCACTTGCAGATTCTACAAAAAGAGTGTTTGAAAGCTGAACTATGAAAGCAAGGTTCAACTCTGTGAGTTGAATGCAAACATCACAAAGAAGTTTCTCACAATGCTTCCGTGTAGTTCTGGGAAGTTTATCCCGTTTCCAACGAAATCCTCAGAGAAGTCCAAATATCCACTTGCAGATTCTACAGAAAGTGTGTTTGGAAACTGCGCCATCTAAAGGAATGTTCAGCTCTGTTAGTTCAATGCAATGATCACTAAGAATTGTCTGTGAATGCTTCCGTTTGGTTTTTAGATGAAGTTATTTCCTTTACTACAGTAGGCCTCAAAGCAGTCCAAATCTCCAATCGCAGATTCTACAAAAACATTGTTCACAACCTGCTCTATCTATAGGAATGTTCAACTCTGCGAGTCGAATGCAATCATCACAAAGTAGTTTCTGAGAATGCTTCCATCTAGTTTTTATGTGAAGATTTTCCTTTTCCACCACAGGCCTCAAAGCCCTCCAAATGTCCACTTGCAGATTCAAGAAAAAGAGGGTTTCAGAGCTGCTCTGTCAAGAGGAAAGTTCAATTCTTGAAGTGGAACACAAACATCACAAAGCAGTTTCAGAGAATGCTCCTGTTTAGTTTTTCTGTGAAGATGAACCCGTTTCCAACGAAATCTTCACAGAGGTCCACATATCCACTTGCAGAATCCAAAGAAAGAGAGTTTCAAAACTGCTCCATCAGCAGGATTGTTCACCTCTGTGAGTTGAATGCAGTCATCACAGGAAACATTCTGAGAATGCTTCTGTCTAGGTTTGATGTGAAGATATACCCGTTTCGAAGGAAGGCCTCAAGGTGGTCCAAATATCCACTTGCAGATTCTACAAATAGAGTGTTTGAAAGCTGAACTATGAAAGGAAGGTTCAACTCTGTGAGCTGAATGCAATCATCACAAAGTAGATTCTCAGAATGCTTCCCTGTAGTTCTGGGAAGTTTATCCCGTTTCCAAGGAAATCCTCAGAGAAGTCCAAATATCCACTTGCAGATTCTACAGAAAGTGTGTTTGGAAACTGCTCCATCTAAAGGAATGTTCAGCTCTGTTAGTTCAATCCAATGATCACTAAGAATTGTCTGTGAATGCTTCCGTTTGGTTTTTAGATGAAGTTATTTCCTTTACTACAATAGGCCTCAAAGCAGTCCAAATCTCCAATCGCAGATTCTACAAAAAGATTGTTTTCAACCTGCTCTATCTATAGGAATGTTCAACTCTGTGAGTCGAATGCAATCATCACAAAGTAGTTTCTGAGAATGCTTCCATCTAGTTTTATGGGAAGATTTTCCTTTTCCACCACAGGCCTCAAAGCCCTCCAAATGTCCACTTGCAGATTCTAGAAAAAGAGGGTTTCAGAGCTGCTCTGTCCAGAGGAAAGTTCAATTCTTGAAGTGGAACACAAACATCACAAAGCAGTTTCTGAGAATGCTCCTGTTTATTTTTTCTGTGAAGATGAACCCGTTTCCAACGAAATCTTCCCAGAGGTCCACATATCCACTTGCAGAATCCAAAGAAAGAGAGTTTCAAAACTGCTCCATCAACAGGATTCTTCACCTCTGTGAGTTGAATGCAGTCATCACAGGAAACATTCTGAGAATGCTTCTGTCTAGGTTTGATGTGAAGATATACCCGTTTCGAAGGAAGGCCACAAGGTGGTCCAAATATCCACTTGCAGATTCTGCAAAAAGAGTGTTTGAAAGCTGAACTATGAAAGCAAGGTTCAACTCTGTGAGTTGAATGCAAACATCACAAAGAAGTTTCTCAGAATGCTTCCGTGTGGTTCTGGGAAGTTTATCCCGTTTCCAACGAAATCCTCAGAGAGGTCCAAATATCCACCTGCAGATTGTACAGAAAGTGTGTTTGGAAACTGCGCCATCTAAAGGAATGTTCACCTCTGTTAGTTCAATGCAATGATCACTAAGAATTGTCTGTGAATGCTTCCGTTTGGTTTTTATATGAAGTTATTTCCTTTACTACAGTAGGCCTCAAAGCAGTCCAAATCTCCAATCGCAGATTCTACAAAAAGATTGTTTACAACCTGCTCTATCTATAGGAATGTTCACCTCTGTGAGTCGAATGCAATCATCACAAAGTAGTTTCTGAGAATGCTTCCATCTAGTTTTTATGTGAAGATTTTCCTTTTGCACCACAGGCCTCAAAGCCCTCCAAATGTCCACTTGCAGATTCTAGAAAAAGAGGGTATCAGAGCTGCTCTGTCAAGAGGAAAGTTCAATTCTTGATGTGGAACACAAACATCACAAAGCAGTTTCTGAGAATGCTCCTGTTTAGTTTTTCTGTGAAGATGAACCCGTTTCCAACGAAATCTTCACAGAGGTCCACATATCCACTTGCAGAATCCAAAGAAAGAGAGTTTCAAAACTGCTCCATCAGCAGGATTGTTCACCTCTGTGAGTTGAATGCAGTCATCACAGGAAACATTCTGAGAATGCTTCTGTCTAGGTTTGATGTGAAGATATACCCGTTTCGAAGGAAGGCCACAAAGTTGTCCAAATATCCACTTGCAGATTCTACAAAAAGAGTGTTTGAAAGCTGAACTATGAAAGCAAGGTTCAACTCTGTGAGTTGAATGCAAACATCACAAATAAGTTTCTCAGCATGCTTCCGTGTAGTTCTGGGAAGTTTATCCCGTTTCCAACGAAATCCTCAGAGAGGTCCAAATATCCACTTGCAGATTCTACAGAAAGTGTGTTTGGAAACTGCGCCATCTAAAGGAATGTTCAGCTCTGTTAGTTCAATGCAATGATCACTAAGAATTGTCTGTGAATGCTTCCGTTTGGTTTTTAGATGAAGTTATTTCCTTTACTACAGTAGGCCTCAAAGCAGTCCAAATCTCCAATCGCAGATTCTACAAAAAGATTGTTTACAACCTGCTCTATCTATAGGAATGTTCAACTCTGTGAGTCGAATGCAATCATCACAAAGTAGTTTCTGAGAATGCTTCCATCTAGTTTTTATGTGAAGATTTTCCTTTTCCACCACAGGCCTCAAAGCCCTCCAAATGTCCACTTGCAGATTCTAGAAAAAGAGGGTTTCAGAGCTGCTCTGTCAAGAGGAAAGTTCAATTCTTGAAGTGGAACACAAACATCACAAAGCAGTTTCTGAGAATGCTCCTGTTTAGTTTTTCTGTGAAGATGAACCCGTTTCCAACGAAATCTTCACAGAGTTCAACATATCCACTTGCAGAATCTAAAGAAAGAGAGTTTCAAAACTGCTCCATCAGCAGGATTGTTCACCTCTGTGAGTTGAATGCAGTCATCACAGGAAACATTCTGAGAATGCTTCTGTCTAGGTTTGATGTGAAGATATACCCGTTTCGAAGGAAGGCCACAAAGTGGTCCAAATATCCACTTGCAGATTCTACAAAAAGAGTGTTTGAAAGCTGAACTATGAAAGCAAGGTTCAACTCTGTGAGTTGAATGCAAACATCACAAAGAAGTTTCTCACAATGCTTCCGTGTAGTTCTGGGAAGTTTATCCCGTTTCCAACGAAATCCTCAGAGAAGTCCAAATATCCACTTGCAGATTCTACAGAAAGTGGGTTTGGAAACTGCTCCATCTAAAGGAATGTTCAGCTCTGTTAGTTCAATCCAATGATCACTAAGAATTGTCTGTGAATGCTTCCGTTTGGTTTTTAGATGAAGTTATTTCCTTTACTACAGTAGGCCTCAAAGCAGTCCAAATCTCCAATCGCAGATTCTACAAAAAGATTGTTTACAACCTGCTCTATCTATAGGAATGTTCAACTCTGTGAGTCGAATGCAATCATCACAAAGTAGTTTCTGAGAATGCTTCCATCTAGTTTTTATGGGAAGATTTTCCTTTTCCACCACAGGCCTCAAAGCCCTCCAAATGTCCACTTGCAGATTCTAGAAAAAGAGGGTTTCAGAGCTGCTCTGTCAAGAGGAAAGTTCAATTCTTGAAGTGGAACACAAACATCACAAAGCAGTTTCTGAGAATGCTCCTGTTTAGTTTTTCTGTGAAGATGAAACCGTTTCCAACGAAATCTTCACAGAGGTCCACATATCCACTTGCAGAATCCAAAGAAAGAGAGTTTCAAAACTGCTCCATCAGCAGGATTGTTCACCTCTGTGAGTTGAATGCAGTCATCACAGGAAACATTCTGAGAATGCTTCTGTCTAGGTTTGATGTGAAGATATACCCGTTTCGAAGGAAGGCCACAAAGTGGTCCAAATATCCACTTGCAGATTCTACAAAAAGAGTGTTTGAAAGCTGAACTATGAAAGCAAGGTTCAACTCTGTGAGTTGAATGCAAACATCACAAAGAAGTTTCTCACAATTCTTCCGTGTAGTTCTGGGAAGTTTATCCCGTTTCCAAAGAAATCCTCAGAGAGGTCCAAATATCCACTTGCAGATTCTACAGAAAGTGTGTTTGGAAACTGCTCCATCTAAAGGAATGTTCAGCTCTGTTAGTTCAATCCAATGATCACTAAGAATTGTCTGTGAATGCTTCTGTTTGGTTTTTAGATGAAGTTATTTCCTTTACTACAGTAGGCCTCAAAGCAGTCCAAATCTCCAATCGCAGATTCTACAAAAAGATTGTTTTCAACCTGCTCTATCTATAGGAATGTTCAACTCTGTGAGTCGAATGCAATCATCACAAAGTAGTTTCTGAGAATGCTTCCATCTAGATTTTATGTGAAGATTTTCCTTTTCCACCACAGGCCTCAAAGCCCTCCAAATGTCCACTTGCAGATTCTAGAAAAAGAGGGTTTCAGAGCTGCTCTGTCAAGAGGAAAGTTCAATTCCTGAAGTGGAACACAAACATCACAAAGCAGTTTCTGAGAATGCTCCTGTTTAGTTTTTCAGTGAAGATGAACCCGTTTCCAACGAAATCTTCACAGAGGTCCACATATCCACTTGCAGAATCCAAAGAAAGAGAGTTTCAAAACTGCTCCATCAACAGGATTGTTCACCTCTGTGAGTTGAATGCAGTCATCACAGGAAACATTCTGAGAATGCTTCTGTCTAGGTTTGATGTGAAGATATACCCGTTTCGAAGGAAGGCCACAAAGTGGTCCAAATATCCACTTGCAGATTCTACAAAAAGAGTGTTTGAAAGCTGAACTATGAAAGCAAGGTTCAACTCTGTGAGTTGAATGCAAACATCACAAAGAAGTTTCTCACAATGCTTCCGTGTAGTTCTGGGAATTTTATCCCGTTTCCAACGAAATCCTCAGAGAGGTCCAAATATCCACTTGCAGATTCTACAGAAAGTGTGTTTGGAAACTGCGCCATCTAAAGGAATGTTCAGCTCTGTTAGTTCAATGCAATGATCACTAAGAATTGTCTGTGAATGCTTCCGTTTGGTTTTTAGATGAAGTTATTTCCTTTACTACAGTAGGCCTCAAAGCAGTCCAAATCTCCAATCGCAGATTCTACAAAAAGATTGTTTACAACCTGCTCTATCTATAGGAATGTTCAACTCTGTGAGTCGAATGCAATCATCACAAAGTAGTTTCTGAGAATGCTTCCATCTAGTTTTTATGTGAAGATTTTCCTTTTCCACCACAGGCCTCAAAGCCCTCCAAATGTCCACTTGCAGATTCTAGAAAAAGAGGGTTTCAGAGCTGCTCTGTCAAGAGGAAAGTTCAATTCTTGAAGTGGAACACAAACATCACAAAGTAGTTTCTGAGAATGCTTCTGTTTAGTTTTTCTGTGAAGATGAACCCGTTTCCAATGAAATCTTCACAGAGGTCCACATATCAACTTGCAGAATCCAAAGAAAGAGAGTTTCAAAACTGCTCCATCAACAGGATTGTTCACCTCTGTGAGTTGAATGCAGTCATCACAGGAAACATTCTGAGAATGCTTCTGTCTAGGTTTGATGTGAAGATATACCCGTTTCGAAGGAAGGCCACAAAGTGGTACAAATATCCACTTGCAGATTCTACAAAAAGAGTGTTTGAAAGCTGAACTATGAAAGCAAGGTTCAACTCTGTGAGTTGAATGAAAACATCACAAAGAAGTTTCTCAGAATGCTTCCGTGTAGTTCTGGGAAGTTTATCCCGTTTCCAACGAAATCCTCAGAGAAGTCCTAATATCCACTTGCAGATTCTACAGAAAGTGTGTTTGGAAACTGCTCCATCTAAAGGAATGTTCAGCTCTGTTAGTTCAATCCATTGATCACTAAGAATTGTCTGTGAATGCTTCCGTTTGGTTTTTAGATGAAGTTATTTCCTTTACTACAGTAGGCCTCAAAGCAGTCCAAATCTCCAATCGCAGATTCTACAAAAAGATTGTTTACAACCTGCTCTATCTATAGGAATGTTCAACTCTGTGAGTCGAATGCAAGCATCACAAAGTAGTTTCTGAGAATGCTTCCATCTAGTTTTTATGGGAAGATTTTCCTTTTCCACCACAGGCCTCAAAGCCCTCCAAATGTCCACTTGCAGATTCTAGAAAAAGAGGATTTCAGAGCTGCTCTGTCAAAAGGAAAGTTCAGTTCTTCAAGTGGAACACAAACATCACAAAGCAGTTTCTGAGAATGCTCCTGTATAGTTTTCCTGTGAAGATGAACCCGTTGCCAACGAAATCTTCACAGAGGTCCACATATCCACTTGCAGAATCCAAAGAAAGAGAGTTTCAAAACTGCTCCATCAACAGGATTGTTCACCTGTGTGAGTTGAATGCAGTCATCACAGGAAACATTCTTGAGAATGCTTCTGTCTAGGTTTGATGTGAAGATATACCCGTTTCGAAGGAAGGCCAGAAAGTGGTCCAAATATCCACTTGCAGATTCTACAAAAAGAGTGTTTGAAAGCTGAACTATGAAAGCAAGGTTCAACTCTGTGAGTTGAATGCAAACATCACAAAGAAGTTTCTCAGAATGCTTCCGTGTAGTTCTGGGAAGTTTATCCCGTTTCCAACGAAATCCTCAGAGAGGTCCAAATATCCACTTGCAGATTCTACAGAAAGTGTGTTTGGAATCAGCGCCATCTAAGGGAATGTTCAGCTCTGTTAGTTCAATCCAATGATCACTAAGAATTGTCTGTGAATGCTTCCGTTTGGTTTTTAGATGAAGTTATTTCCTTTACTACAGTAGGCCTCAAAGGAGTCCAAATCTCCAATCGCAGATTCTACAAAAAGATTGTTTACAACCTACTCTATCTATAGGAATGTTCAACTCTGTGGGTCGAATGCAATCATCACAAAGTAGTTTCTGATAATGCTTCCATCTAGTTTTTATGTGAAGATTTTCCTTTTCCACCACAGGCCTCAAAGCCCTCCAAATGTCCACTTGCAGATTCTAGAATAAGAGGGTTGCAGAGCTGCTCTGTCAAGAGGAAAGTTCAATTCCTGAAGTGGAACACAAACATCACAAAGCAGTTTACTGAGAATGCTCCTGTTTAGTTTTTCTGTGAAGATGAACCCGTTTCCAACGAAATCTTCACAGAGGTCCACATATCAACTTGCAGAATCCAAAGAAAAAGAGTTTCAAAAGTGCTCCATCAACAGGATTGTTCACCTCTGTGAGTTGAATGCAGTCATCAAGGGAACATTCTGAGAATGCTTCTGTCTAGGTTTGATGTGAAGATGTACCCGTTTCAAAGGAAAGCCACAAAGTGGTCCAAATATAAACTTGCAGATTCTACAAAAAGAGTGTTTGAAAGCTGAACTATGAAAGCAAGGTTCAACTCTGTGAGTTGAATGCAAACATCACAAAGATGTTTCTCACAATGCTTCCGTGTAGTTCTGGGAAGTTTATCCCGTTTCCAACGAAATCCTCAGAGAGGTCCAAATATCCACTTGCAGATTCTACAGAAAGTGTGTTTGGAAACTGCTCCATCTAAAGGAATGTTCAGCTCTGTTAGTTCAATCCAATGATCACTAAGAATTGTCTGTGAATGCTTCCGTTTGGTTTTTAGATGAAGTTATTTCCTTTACTACAGTAGGCCTCAAAGCAGTCCAAATCTCCAATCGCAGATTCTACAAAAAGATTGTTTACAACCTGCTCTATCTATAGGAATGTTCAACTCTGTGAGTCGAATGCAATCATCACAAAGTAGTTTCTGAGAATGCTTCCATCTAGTTTTTATGTGAAGATTTTCCTTTTCCACCACAGGCCTCAAAGCCCTCCAAATGTCCACTTGCAGATTCTAGAAAAAGAGGGTTTCAGAGCTGCTCTGTCAAGAGGAAAGTTCAATTCTTGAAGTGGAACACAAACATCACAAAGCAGTTTCTGAGAATGCTCCTGTTTAGTTTTTCTGTGAAGATGAACCCGTTTCCAACGAAATCTTCACAGAGGTCCACATATCCACTTGCAGAATCCAAAGAAAGAGAGTTTCAAAACTGCTCCAACAGCAGGATTGTTCACCTCTGTGAGTTGAATGCAGTCATCACAGGAAACATTCTGAGAATGCTTCTGTCTAGGTTTGATGTGAAGATATACCCGTTTCTAAGGAAGGCCACAAAGTGGTCCAAATATCCACTTGCAGATTCTACAAAAAGAGTGTTTGAAAGCTGAACTATGAAAGCAAGGTTCAACTCTGTGAGTTGAATGCAAACATCACAAAGAAGTTTCTAAGAATGCTTCCGTGTAGTTCTGGGAAGTTTAGCCCGTTTCCAACGAAATCCTCAGAGAAGTCCAAATATCCACTTGCAGATTCTACAGAAAGTGGGTTTGGAAACTGCTCCATCTAAAGGAATGTTCAGCTCTGTTAGTTCAATCCAATAATCACTAAGAATTGTCTGTGAATGCTTCCGTTTGGTTTTTAGATGAAGTTATTTCCTTTACTACAGTAGGCCTCAAAGCAGTCCAAATCTCCAATCGCAGATTCTACAAAAAGATTGTTTACAACCTGCTCTATCTATAGGAATGTTCAACTCTGTGAGTCGAATGCAATCATCACAAAGTAGTTTCTGAGAATGCTTCCATCTAGTTTTTATGTGAAGATTTTCCTTTTCCACCACAGGCCTCAAAGCCCTCCAAATGTCCACTTGCAGATTCTAGAATAAGAGGGTTTTAGAGCTGCTCTGTCAAGAGGAAAGTTCAATTCCTGAAGTGGAACACAAACATCACAAAGCAGTTTCTGAGAATGCTTCTGTTTAGTTTTTCTGTGAAGATGAACCCGTTTCCAACGAAATCTTCACAGAGGTCCACATATCAACTTGCAGAATCCAAAGAAAGAGAGTTTCAAAACTGCTCCATCAACAGGATTGTTCACCTCTGTGAGTTGAATGCAGTCATCACAGGAAACATTCTGAGAATGCTTCTGTCTAGGTTTGATGTGAAGATATACCCGTTTCGAAGGAAGGCCACAAAGTGGTCCAAATATCCACTTGCAGATTCTACAAAAAGAGTGTTTGAAAGCTGAACTATGAAAGCAAGGTTCAACTCTGTGAGTTGAATGCAAACATCACAAAGAAGTTTCTCACAATGCTTCCGTGTAGTTCTGGGAAGTTTATCCCGTTTCCAACGAAATCCTCAGAGAGGTCCAAATATCCACTTGCAGATTCTACAGAAAGTGTGTTTGGAAACTGCTCCATCTAAAGGAATGTTCAGCTCTGTTAGTTCAATGCAATGATCACTAAGAATTGTCTGTGAATGCTTCCGTTTGATTTTTAGATGAAGTTATTTCCTTTACTACAGTAGGCCTCAAAGCAGTCCAAATCTCCAATCGCAGATTCTACAAAAAGATTGTTTACAACCTGCTCTATCTATAGGAATGTTCAACTCTGTGAGTCGAATGCAATCATCACAAAGTAGTTTCTGAGAATGCTTCCATCTAGTTTTTATGTGAAGATTTTCCTTTTCCACCACAGGCCTCAAAGCCCTCCAAATGTCCACTTGCAGATTCTAGAAAAAGAGGGTTTCAGAGCTGCTCTGTCAAGAGGAAAGTTCAATTCTTGAAGTGGAACACAAACATCACAAAGCAGTTTCTGAGAATGCTTCTGTTTAGTTTTTCTGTGAAGATGAACCCGTTTCCAACGAAATCTTCACAGAGGTCCACATATCAACTTGCAGAATCCAAAGAAAGAGAGTTTCAAAAGTGCTCCATCAACAGGATTGTTCACCTCTGTGAGTTGAATGCAGTCATCACAGGAAACATTCTGAGAATGCTTCTGTCTAGGTTTGATGTGAAGATATACCCGTTTCGAAGGAAGGCCACAAAGTGGTCCAAATATCCACTTGCAGATTCTACAAAAAGAGTGTTTGAAAGCTGAACTATGAAAGCAAGGTTCAACTCTGTGAGTTGAATGCAAACATCAAAAAGAAGTTTCTCAGAATGCTTCCGTGTAGTTCTGGGAAGTTTATCCCGTTTCCAACGAAATCCTCAGAGAAGTCCAAATATCCACTTGCAGATTCTACAGAAAGTGTGTTTGGAAACTGCTCCATCTAAAGGAATGTTCAGCTCTGTTAGTTCAATCCAATGATCACTAAGAATTGTCTGTGAATGCTTCCGTTTGGTTTTTAGATGAAGTTATTTCCTTTACTACAGTATGCCTCAAAGCAGTCCAAATCTCCAATCGCAGATTCTACAAAAAGATTGTTTACAACCTGCTCTATCTATAGGAATGTTCAACTACTGTGAGTCGAATGCAATCATCACAAAGTAGTTTCTGAGAATGCTTCCATCTAGTTTTTATGTGAAGATTTTCCTTTTCCACCACAGGCCTCAAAGCCCTCCAAATGTCCACTTGCAGATTCTAGAAAAAGAGGGTTTCAGAGCTGTCCTGTCAAGAGGAAAGTTCAATTCCTGAAGTGGAACACAAACATCACAAAGCAGTTTCTGAGAATGCTCCTGTTTAGTTTTTCTGTGAAGATGAACCCGTTTCCAACGAAATCTTCACAGAGGTCCACATATCCACTTGCAGAATCCAAAGAAAGAGAGTTTCAAAACTGCTCCATCAGCAGGATTGTCCATCTCTGTGAGTTGAATGCAGTCATCACAGGAAACATTCTGAGAATGCTTCTGTCTAGGTTTGATGTGAAGATATACCCGTTTCGAAGGAAGGCCACAAAGTGGTCCAAATATCCACTTGCAGATTCTACAAAAAGAGTGTTTGAAAGCTGAACTATGAAAGCAAGGTTCAACCCTGTGAGTTGAATGCAACCATCACAAAGAAGTTTCTCAGAATACTTCCGTGTAGTTCTTGGAAGTTTATCCCGTTTCCAACGAAATCCTCAGAGAGGTCCAAATATCCACTTGCAGATTCTACAGAAAGTGTGTTTGGAAACTGTGCCATCTAAGGGAATGTTCAGCTCTGTTAGTTCAATCCAATGATCACTAAGAATTGTCTGTGAATGCTTCCGTTTGGTTTTTAGATGAAGTTATTTCCTTTACTACAGTAGGCCTCAAAGCAGTCCAAATCTCCAATCGCAGATTCTACAAAAAGATTGTTTACAACCTGCTCTATCTATAGGAATGTTCAACTCTGTGAGTCGAATGCAATCATCACAAAGTAGTTTCTGAGAATGCTTCCATCTAGTTTTTATGTGAAGATTTTCCTTTTCCACCACAGGCCTCAAAGCCCTCCAAATGTCCACTTGCAGATTCTAGAATAAGAGGGTTTCAGAGCTGCTCTGTCAAGAGGAAAGTTCAATTCCTGAAGTGGAACACAAACATCACAAAGCAGTTTCTGAGAATGCTTCTGTTTAGTTTTTCTGTGAAGATGAACCCGTTTCCAACGAAATCTTCACAGAGGTCCACATATCCACTTGCAGAATCCAAAGAAAGAGAGTTTCAAAACTGCTCCATCAGCAGGATTGTTCACCTCTGTGAGTTGAATGCAGTCATCACAGGAAACATTCTGAGAATGCTTCTGTCTAGGTTTGATGTGAAGATATACCCGTTTCGAAGGAAGGCCACAAAGTGGTCCAAATATCCACTTGCAGATTCTACAAAAAGAGTGTTTGAAAGCTGAACTATGAAAGCAAGGTTCAACTCTGTGAGTTGAATGCAAACATCACAAAGAAGTTTCTCACAATGCTTCCGTGTAGTTCTGGGAAGTTTATCCCGTTTCCAACGAAATCCTGAGAGAGGTCCAAATATCCACTGGCAGATTCTACAGAAAGTGTGTTTGGAAACTGCGCCATCTAAAGGAATGTTCAGCTCTGTTAGTTCAATGCAATGATCACTAAGAATTGTCTGTGAATGCTTCCGTTTGGTTTTTAGATGAAGTTATTTCCTTTACTACAGTAGGCCTCAAAGCAGTCCAAATCTCCAATCGCAGATTCTACAAAAAGATTGTTTACAACCTGCCCTATCTATAGGAATGTTCAACTCTGTGAGTCGAATGCAATCATCACAAAGTAGTTTCTGAGAATGCTTCCATCTAGTTTTTATGGGAAGATTTTCCTTTTCCACCACAGGCCTCAAAGCCCTCCAAATGTCCACTTGCAGATTCTAGAAAAAGAGGGTTTCAGAGCTGCTCTGTCAAGAGGAAAGTTCAATTCTTGAAGTGGAACACAAACATCACAAAGCAGTTTCTGAGAATGCTTCTGTTTAGTTTTTCTGTGAAGATGAACCCGTTTCCAACGAAATCTTCACAGAGGTCCACATATCCACTTGCAGAATCCAAAGAAAGGGAGTTTCAAAACTGCTCCATCAGCACGATTGTTCACCTCTGTGAGTTGAATGCCGTCATCACAGGAAACATTCTGAGAATGCTTCTGTCTAGGTTTGATGTGAAGATATACCCGTTTCGAAGGAAGGCCACAAAGTGGTCCAAATATCCACTTGCAGATTCTACAAAAAGAGTGTTTGAAAGCTGAACTATGAAAGCAAGGTTCAACTCTGTGAGTTGAATGCAAACATCACAAAGATGTTTCTCAGAATACTTCCGTGTAGTTCTGGGAAGTTTATCCCGTTTCCAACGAAATCCTCAGAGAGGTCCAAATATCCACTTGCAGATTCTACAGAAAGTGTGTTTGGAAACTGCGCCATCTTAGGGAATGTTCAGCTCTGTTAGTTCAATCCAATGATCACTAAGAATTGTCTGTGAATGCCTCCATTTGGTTTTTAGATGAAGTTATTTCCTTTACTACAGTAGGCCTCAAAGCAGTCCAAATCTCCAATCGCAGATTCTACAAAAAGATTGTTTTCAACCTGCTCTATCTATAGGAAGGTTCAACTCTGTGAGTCGAATGCAATCATCACAAAGTAGTTTCTGAGAATGCTTCCATCTAGTTTTCATGTGAAGATTTTCCTTTTCCACCACAGGCCTCAAAGCCCTCCAAATGTCCACTTGCAGATTCTAGAAAAAGAGGGTTTCAGAGCTGCTCTGTCAAGAAGAAAGTTCAATTCTTGAAGTGGAACACAAACATCACAAAGCAGTTTCTGAGAATGCTTCTGTTTAGTTTTTCTGTGAAGATGAACCCGTTTCCAACGAAATCTTCACAGAGGTCTACATATCCACTTGCAGAATCCAAAGAAAGAGAGTTTCAAAACTGCTCCATCAGCAGGATTGTTCACCTCTGTGAGTTGAATGCAGTCATCACAGGAAACATTCTGAGAATGCTTCTGTCTAGGTTTGATGTGAAGATATACCCGTTTCGAAGGAAGGCCACAAAGTGGTCCAAATATCCACTTGCAGATTCTACAAAAAGAGTGTTTGAAAGCTGAACTATGAAAGCAAGGTTCAACTCTGTGAGTTGAA
This sequence comes from Homo sapiens, assembly GCF_000001405.40. Lineage (NCBI taxonomy): Eukaryota > Metazoa > Chordata > Mammalia > Primates > Hominidae > Homo > Homo sapiens. Next base: position 52,695,389 of record NC_000011.10, on the reverse strand, counting down.
TGCAAACATCACAAAGAAGTTTCTCAGAATGCTTCCGTGTAGTTCTGGGAAGTTTATCCCGTTTCCAACGAAATCCTCAGAGAAGTCCAAATATCCACTTGCAGATTCTACAGAAAGTGTGTTTGGAAACTGCTCCATCTAAAGGAATGTTCAGCTCTGTTAGTTCAATGCAATGATCACTAAGAATTGTCTGTGAATGCTTCCGTTTGGTTTTTAGATGAAGTTATTTCCTTTACTACAGTAGGCCTCCAAGCAGTCCAAATCTCCAATCGCAGATTCTACAAAAAGATTGTTTACATCCTGCTCTATCTATAGCAATGTTCAACTCTGTGAGTCGAATGCAATCATCACAAAGTAGTTTCTGAGAATGCTTCCATCTAGTTTTTATGGGAAGATTTTCCTTTTCCACCACAGGCCTCAAAGCCCTCCAAATGTCCACTTGCAGATTCTAGAAAAAGAGGGTTTCAGAGCTGCTCTGTCAAGAGGAAAGTTCAATTCTTGAAGTGGAACACAAACATCACAAAACAGTTTCTGAGAACGCTCCTGTTTAGTTTTTCTGTGAAGATGAACCCGTTTCCAACGAAATCTTCACAGAGGTCCACATATCCACTTGCAGAATCCAAAGAAAGAGAGTTTCAAAACTGCTCCATCAACAGGATTGTTCACCTCTGTGAGTTGAATGCAGTCATCACAGGAAACATTCTGAGAATGCTTCTGTCTAGGTTTGATGTGAAGATATACCCGTTTCGAAGGAAGGCCACAAAGTTGTCAAATATCCACTTGCAGATCCTACAAAAAGAGTGTTTGAAAGCTGAACTATGAAAGCAAGGTTCAACTCTGTGAGTTGAATGCAAACATCACAAAGAAGTTTCTCAGAATGCTTCCGTGTAGTTCTGGGAAATTTATCCCGTTTCCAATGAAATCCTCAGAGAGGTCCAAATATCCACTTGCAGATTCTACAGAAAGTGTGTTTGGAAACTGCTCCATCTAAAGGAATGTTCAGCTCTGTTAGTTCAATCCAATAATCACTAAGCATTGTCTGTGAATGCTTCCGTTTGGTTTTTAGATGAAGTTATTTCCTTTACTACAGTAGGCCTCAAAGCAATCCAAATCTCCAATCGCAGATTCTACAAAAACATTGTTTACAACCTGCTCTATCTATAGGAATGTTCAACTCTGTGAGTCGAATGCAATCATCACAAAGTAGTTTCTGAGAATGCTTCCATCTAGTTTTTATGTGAAGATTTTCCTTTTCCACCACAGGCCTCAGAGCCCTCCAAATGTCCACTTGCAGATTCTAGAAAAAGAGGGTTTCAGAGCTGCTCTGTCAAGAGGAAAGTTCAATTCTTTAAGTGGAACACAAACATCACAAAAGCAGTTTCTGAGAATGCTCCTGTTTAGTTTTTCTGTGAAGATGAACCCGTTTCCAACGAAATCTTCACAGAGGTCCACATATCCACTTGCAGAATCCAAAGAAAGAGAGTTTCAAAACTGCTCCATCAGCAGGATTCTTCACCTCTGTGAGTTGAATGCAGTCATCACAGGAAACATTCTGAGAATGCTTCTGTCTAGGTTTGATGTGAAGATATACCCGTTTCGAAGGAAGGCCACAAAGTGGTCCAAATATCCACTTGCAGATTCTACAAAAAGAGTGTTTGAAAGCTGAACTATGAAAGCAAGGTTCAACTCGGTGAGTTGAATGCAAACATCACAAAGAAGTTTCTCACAATGCTTCCGTGTAGTTCTGGGAAGTTTATCCCGTTTCCAAAGAAATCCTCAGAGAAGTCCAAATATCCACTTGCAGATTCTACAGAAAGTGGGTTTGGAAACTGCTCCATCTAAAGGAATGTTCAGCTCTGTTATTTCAATCCAATGATCACTAAGAATTGTCTGTGAATGCTTCCGTTTGGTTTTTAGATGAAGTTATTTCCTTTACTACAGTAGGCCTCAAAGCAGTCCAAATCTCCAATCGCAGATTCTACAAAAAGATTGTTTACAACCTGCTCTATCTATAGGAATGTTCAACTCTGTGAGTCGAATGCAATCATCACAAAGTAGTTTCTGAGAATGCTTCCATCTAGTTTTTATGTGAAGATTTTCCTTTTCCACCACAGGCCTCAAAGCCCTCCAAATGTCCACTTGCAGATTCTAGAAAAAGAGGGTTTCAGAGCTGCTCTGTCAAGAGGAAAGTTCAATTCTTGAAGTGGAACAGAAACATCACAAAGCAGTTTCTGGGAATGCTTCTGTTTAGATTTTCTGTGAAGATGAACCCGTTTCCAACGAAATCTTCACAGAGTTCCACATATCTACTTGCAGAATCCAAAGAAAGAGAGTTTCAAAAGTGCTCCATAAACAGGATTGTTCACCTCTGTGAGTTGAATGCAGTCATCACAGGAAACATTCTGAGAATGCTTCTGTCTAGGTTTGATGTGAAGATATACCCGTTTCGAAGGAAGGCCACAAAGTGGTCCAAATATCCACTTGCAGATTCTACAAAAAGAGTGTTTGAAAGCTGAACTATGAAAGCAAGGTTCAACTCTGTGAGTTGAATGCAAACATCACAAAGAAGTTTCTCACAATGCTTCCGTGTAGTTCTGGGAAGTTTATCCCGTTTCCAAAGAAATCCTCAGAGAGGTCCAAATATCCACTTGCAGATTCTACAGAAAGTGTGTTTGGAAACTGCTCCATCTAAAGGAATGTTCAGCTCTGTTAGTTCGAGATCCAATGATCACTAAGAATTGTCTGTGAATGCTTCCGTTTGGTTTTTAGATGAAGTTATTTCCTTTACTACAGTAGGCCTCAAAGCAGTCCAAATCTCCAATCGCAGATTCTACAAAAAGATTGTTTACAACCTGCTCTATCTATAGGAATGTTCAACTCTGTGAGTCGAATGCAATCATCACAAAGTAGTTTCTGAGAATGCTTCCATCTAGTTTTTATGGGAAGATTTTCCTTTTCCACCACAGGCCTCAAAGCCCTCCAAATGTCCACTTGCAGATTCTAGAAAAAGAGGGTTTCAGAGCTGCTCTGTCAAGAGGAAAGTTCAATTGCTTGAAGTGGAACACAAACATCACAAAGCAGTTTCTGAGAATGCTTCTGTTTAGTTTTTCTGTTAAGATGAATCCGTTTCCAACGAAATCTTCACAGAGGTCCACATATCCACTTGCAGAATCCAAAGAAAGAGAGTTTCAAAACTGCTCCATCAACAGGATTGTTCACCTCTGTGAGTTGAATGCAGTCATCACAGGAAACATTCTGAGAATGCTTCTGTCTAGGTTTGATGTGAAGATATACCCGTTTCGAAGGAAGGACACAAAGTGGTCCAAATATCCACTTGCAGATTCTACAAAAAGAGTGTTTGAAAGCTGAACTATGAAAGCAAGGTTCAACTCTGTGAGTTGAATGCAAACATCACAAAGAAGTTTCTCAGAATGCTTCCCTGTAGTTCTGGGAATCATATCCCGTTTCCAACGAAATCCTCAGAGAAGTCCAAATATCCACTTGCAGATTCTACATAAAGTGGGTTTGGAAACTGCTCCATCTAAAGGAATGTTCAGCTCTGTTAGTTCAATCCAATGATCACTAAGAATTGTCTGTGAATGCTTCCGTTTGGTTTTTAGGTGAAGTTATTTCCTTTACTACAGTAGGCCTCAAAGCAGTCCAAATCTCCAATCGAAGATTCTACAAAAAGATTGTTTACAACCTGCTCTATCTATAGGAATGTTCAACTCTGTGAGTCGAATGCAATCATCACAAAGTAGTTTCTGAGAATGCTTCCATCTAGTTTTTATGTGAAGATTTTCCTTTTCCACCACAGGCCTCAAAGCCCTCCAAATGTCCACTTGCAGATTCTAGAATAAGAGGGTTTCAGAGCTGCTCTGTCAAGAGGAAAGTTCAATTCCTGAAGTGGAACACAAACATCACAAAGCAGTTTCTGAGAATGCTTCTGTTTAGTTTTTCTGTGAAGATGAACCCGTTTCCAACGAAATCTTCACAGAGGTCCACATATCCACTTGCAGAATCCAAAGAAAGAGAGTTTCAAAACTGCTCCATCAACAGGATTGTTCACCTCTGTGAGTTGAATGCAGTCATCACAGGAAACATTCTGAGAATGCTTCTGTCTAGGTTTGATGTGAAGATATACCCGTTTCGAAGGAAGGCCACAAAGTGGTCCAAATATCCACTTGCAGATTCTACAAAAAGAGTGTTTGAAAGCTGAACTATGAAAGCAAGGTTCAACTCTGTGAGTTGAATGCAAACATCACAAAGAAGTTTCTCACAATGCTTCCGTGTAGTTCTGGGAAGTTTATCCCGTTTCCAACGAAATCCTCAGAGAGGTCCAAATATCCACTTGCAGATTCTACAGAAAGTGTGTTTGGAAACTGCTCCATCTAAAGGAATGTTCAGCTCTGTTAGTTCAATCCAATGATCACTAAGAATTGTCTGTGAATGCTTCCGTTTGGTTTTTAGATGAAGTTATTTCCTTTACTACAGTAGGCCTCAAAGCAGTCCAAATCTCCAATCGCAGATTCTACAAAAAGATTGTTTACAACCTGCTCTATCTATAGGAATGTTCACCTCTGTGAGTCGAATGCAATCATCACAAAGTAGTTTCTGAGAATGATTCCATCTAGTTTTTATGTGAAGATTTTCCTTTTCCACCACAGGCCTCAAAGCCCTCCAAATGTCCACATGCAGATTCTAGAAAAAGAGGGTTTCAGAGCTGCTCTGTCAAGAGGAAAGTTCAATTCCTGAAGTGGAACACAAACATCACAAAGCAGTTTCTGAGAATGCTTCTGTTTAGTTTTTCTGTGAAGATGAACCCGTTTCCAACGAAATCTTCACAGAGGTCCACATATCCACTTGCAGAATCCAAAGAAAGAGAGTTTCAAAACTGCTCCATCAGCAGGATTGTTCACCTCTGTGAGTTGAATGCAGTCATCACAGGAAACATTCTGAGAATGCTTCTGTCTAGGTTTGATGTGAAGATATACCCGTTTCGAAGGAAGGCCACAAAGTGGTCCAAATATCCACTTGCAGATTCTACAAAAAGAGTGTTTGAAAGCTGAACTATGAAAGCAAGGTTCAACTCTGTGAGTTGAATGCAAACATCACAAAGAAGTTTCTCAGCATGCTTCCGTGTAGTTCTGGGAAGTTTATCCCGTTTCCAACGAAATCCTCAGAGAGGTCCAAATATCCACTTGCAGATTCTACAGAAAGTGTGTTTGGAAACTGCGCCATCTAAAGGAATGTTCAGCTCTGTTAGTTCAATGCAATGATCACTAAGAATTGTCTGTGAATGCTTCCGTTTGGTTTTTAGATGAAGTTATTTCCTTTACTACAGTAGGCCTCAAAGCAGTCCAAATCTCCAATCGCAGATTCTACAAAAAGATTGTTTACAACCTGCTCTATGTATAGGAATGTTCAACTCTGTGAGTCGAATGCAATCATCACAAAGTAGTTTCTGAGAATGCTTCCATCTAGTTTTTATGTGAAGATTTTCCTTTTCCACCACAGGCCTCAAAGCCCTCCAAATGTCCACTTGCAGATTCTAGAATAAGAGGGTTTCAGAGCTGCTCTGTCAAGAGGAAAGTTCAATTCTTGAAGTGGAACACAAACATCACAAAGCAGTTTCTGAGAATGCTCCTGTTTAGTTTTTCTGTGAAGATGAACCCGTTTCCAACGAAATCTTCACAGAGGTCCACATATCCACTTGCAGAATCCAAAGAAAGAGAGTTTCAAAACTGCTCCATCAGCAGGATTGTTCACCTCTGTGAGTTGAATGCAGTCATCACAGGAAACATTCTGAGAATGCTTCTGTCTAGGTTTGATGTGAAGATATACCCGTTTCGAAGGAAGGCCACAAAGTGGTCCAAATATCCACTTGCAGATTCTACAAAAAGAGTGTTTGAAAGCTGAACTATGAAAGCAGGGTTCAACTCTGTGAGTTGAATGCAAACATCACAAAGAAGTTTCTCAGAATGCTTCCGTGTAGTTCTGGGAAGTTTATCCCGTTTCCAACGAAATCCTCAGAGAAGTCCAAATATCCACTTGCAGATTCTACAGAAAGTGTGTTTGGAAACTGCTCCATCTAAAGGAATGTTCAGCTCTGTTAGTTCAATCCAATGATCACTAAGAATTGTCTGTGAATGCTTCCGTTTGGTTTTTAGATGAAGTTATTTCCTTTACTACAGTAGGCCTAAAGCAGTCCAAATCTCCAATCGCAGATTCTACAAAAAGATTGTTTACAACCTGCTCTATCTATAGGAATGTTCAACTCTGTGAGTCGAATGCAATCATCACAAAGTAGTTTCTGAGAATGCTTCCATCTAGTTTTTATGTGAAGATTTTCCTTTTCCACCACAGGCCTCAAAGCCCTCCAAATGTCCACTTGCAGATTCTAGAAAAAGAGGGTTTCAGAGCTGCTCTGTCAAGAGGAAAGTTCAATTCTTGAAGTGGAACACAAACATCACAAAGCAGTTTCTGAGAATGCTTCTGTTTAGTTTTTCTGTGAAGATGAACCCGTTTCCAACGAAATCTTCACAGAGGTCCACATATCCACTTGCAGAATCCAAAGAAAGAGAGTTTCAAAACTGCTCCATCAGCAGGATTGTTCACCTCTGTGAGTTGAATGCAGTCATCACAGGAAACATTCTGAGAATGCTTCTGTCTAGGTTTGATGTGAAGATATACCCGTTTGGAAGGAAGGCCAAATGTGGTCCAAATATCCACTTGCAGATTCTACAAAAAGAGTGTTTGAAAGCTGAACTATGAAAGCAAGGTTCAACACTGTGAGTTGAATGCAAACATCACAAAGAAGTTTCTCACAATTCTTCCGTGTAGTTCTGGGAAGTTTATCCCGTTTCCAACGAAATCCTCAGAGAGGTCCAAATATCCACTTGCAGATTCTACAGAAAGTGTGTTTGGAAACTGCGCCATCTAAAGGAATGTTCAGCTCTGTTAGTTCAATGCAATGATCACTAAGAATTGTCTGTGAATGCTTCCGTTTGGGTTTTAGATGAAGTTATTTCCTTTACTACAGTAGGCCTCAAAGCAGTCCAAATCTCCAATCGCGGATTCTACAAAAAGATTATTTACAACCTGCTCTATCTATAGGAATGTTCAACTCTGTGAGTCGAATGCAATCATCACAAAGTAGTTTCTGAGAATGCTTCCATCTAGTTTTTATGTGAAGATTTTCCTTTTCCACCACAGGCCTCAAAGCCCTCCAAATGTCCACTTGCAGATTCTAGAAAAAGAGGGTTTCAGAGGTGCTCTGTCAAGAGGAAAGTTCAATTCTTGAAGTGGAACACAAACATCACAAAGCAGTTTCTGAGAATGCTCCTGTTTAGTTTTTCTGTGAAGATGAACCCGTTTCCAACGAAATCTTCACAGAGGTCCACATATCCACTTGCAGAATCCAAAGAAAGAGAGTTTCAAAACTGCTCCATCAGCAGGATTGCTCACCTCTGTGAGTTGAATGCAGTCATCACAGGAAACATTCTGAGAATGCTTCTGTCTAGGTTTGATGTGAAGATATACCCGTTTCGAAGGAAGGCCACAAAGTGGTCCAAGTATCCACTTGCAGATTCTTCAAAAAGAGTGTTTGAAAGCTGAACTATGAAAGCAAGGTTCAACTCTGTGAGTTGAATGCAAACATCCAAAGAAGTTTCTCAGAATGCTTCCGTGTAGTTCTGGGAAGTTTATCCCGTTTCCAACGAAATCCTCAGAGAAGTCCAAATATCCACTTGCAGATTCTGCAGAAAGTGTGTTTGGAAACTGCTCCATCTAAAGGAATGTTCAGCTCTGTTAGCTCAATCCAATGATCACTAAGAATTGTCTGTGAATGCTTCCGTTTGGTTTTTAGATGAAGTTATTTCCTTTACTACAGTACGCCTCAAAGCAGTCCAAATCTCCAATCGCAGATTCTACAAAAAGATTGTTTTCAACCTGCTCTATCTATAGGAATGTTCAACTCTGTGAGTCGAATGCAAACATCACAAAGTAGTTTCTGAGAATGCTTCCATCCAGTTTTTATGTGAAGATTTTCCTTTTCCACCACAGGCCTCAAAGCCCTCCAAATGTCCACTTGCAGATTCTAGAAAAAGAGGGTTTCAGAGCTCCTCTATCAAGAGAAAAGTTCAATTCTTGAAGTGGAACACAAACATCACAAAGCAGTTTCTGAGAATGCTTCTGTTTAGTTTTTCTGTGAAGATGAACCCGTTTCCAACGAAATCTTCACAGAGGTCCACATATCCACTTGCAGAATCCGAAGAAAGAGAGTTTCAAAACTGCTCCATCAACAGGATTGTTCACCTCTGTGAGTTGAATGCAGTCATCACAGGAAACATTCTGAGAATGCTTCTGTCTAGGTTTGATGTGAAGATATACCCGTTTCCAAGGAAGGCCACAAAGTGGTCCAAATATCCACTTGCAGATTCTACAAAAGGAGTGTTTGAAAGCTGAACTATGAAAGCAAGGTTCAACTCTGTGAGTTGAATGCAAACATCACAAAGAAGTTTCTCACAATGCTTCCGTGTAGTTCTGGGAAGTTTATCCCGTTTCCAACGAAATCCTCAGAGAAGTCCAAATATCCACTTGCAGATTCTACAGAAAGTGGGTTTGGAAACTGCTCCATCTAAAGGAATGTTCAGCTCTGTTAGTTCAATCCAATGATCACTAAGAATTGTCTGTGAATGCTTCCGTTTGGTTTTTAGATGAAGTTATTTCCTTTACTACAGTAGGTCTCAAAACAGTCCAAATATCCAATCGCAGATTCTACAAAAAGATTGTTTACAACCTGCTCTATCTATAGGAATGTTCAACTCTGTGAGTCGAATGCAATCATCACAAAGTAGTTTCCTGAGAATGCTTCCATCTAGTTTTTATGTGAAGATTTTCCTTTTCCACCACAGGCCTCAAAGCCCTCCAAATGTCCACTTGCAGATTCTAGAAAAAGAGGGTTTCAGAGCTGCTCTGTCAAGAGGAAAGTTCAATTCCTGAAGTGGAACACAAACATCACAAAGCAGTTTCTGAGAATGCTTCTGTTTAGTTTTCCTGTGAAGATGAACCCGTTTCCAACGAAATCTTCACAGAGGTCCACATATCAACTTGCAGAATCCAAAGAAAGAGAGTTTCAAAACTGCTCCATCAACAGGATTGTTCACCTCTGTGAGTTGAATGCAGTCATCACAGGAAACATTCTGAGAATGCTTCTCTCTAGGTTTGATGTGAAGATATACCCGTTTCGAAGGAAGGCCACAAAGTGGTCCAAATATCCACTTGCAGATTCTACAAAAAGAGTGTTTGAAAGCTGAACTATGAAAGCAAGGTTCAACTCTGTGAGTTGAATGCAAACATCACAAAGAAGTTTCTCAGAATGCTTCCGTGTAGTTCTGGGAAGTTTATCCCGTTTCCAACGAAATCCTCAGAGAGGTCCAAATATCCACTTGCAGATTCTACAGAAAGTGTGTTTGGAAACTGCGCCATCTAAAGGAATGTTCAGCTCTGTTAGTTCAATCCAATGATCACTAAGAATTGTCTGTGAATGCTTCCGTTTGGTTTTTAGATGAAGTTCTTTCCTTTACTACAGTAGGCCTCAAAGCAGACCAAATCTCCAATCGCAGATTCTACAAAAAGATTGTTTACAACCTGCTCTATCTATAGGAATGTTCAACTCTGTGAGTCAAATGCAATCATCGCAAAGTAGTTTCTGAGAATGCTTCCATCTAGTTTTTATGTGAAGATTTTCCTTTTCCACTACAGGCCTCAAAGCCCTCCAATTGTCCACTTGCAGATTCTAGAAAAAGAGGGTTTCAGAGCTGCTCTGTCAAGAGGAAAGTTCAATTCTTCAAGTGGAACACAAACATCACAAAGCAGTTTCTGAGAATGCTCCTGTTTAGTTTTTCTGTGAAGATGAACCCGTTTCCAACGAAATCTTCACAGAGGTCCACATATCCACTTGCAGAATCCAAAGAAAGAGAGTTTCAACACTGCTCCATCAGCAGGATTGTTCACCTCTGTGAGTTGAATGCAGTCATCACAGGAAACATTCTGAGAATGCTTCTGTCTAGGTTTGATGTGAAGATATACCCGTTTCGAAGGAAGGCCACAAAGTGGTCCAAATATCCACTTGCAGATTCTACAAAAAGAGTGTTTGAAAGCTGAACTATGAAAGCAAGTTTCAACTCTGTGAGTTGAATGCAAACATCACAAAGAAGTTTCTCAGAATGCTTCCGTGTAGTTCTGGGAAGTTTATCCCGTTTCCAACGAAATCCTCAGAGAAGTCCAAATATCCACTTGCAGATTCTACAGAAAGTGGGTTTGGAAACTGCTCCATCTAAAGGAATGTTCAGCTCTGTTAGTTCAATCCAATGATCACTAAGAATTGTCTGTGAATGCTTCCGTTTGGTTTTTAGATGAAGTTATTTCCTTTACTACAGTAGGCCTCAAAGCAGTCCAAATATCCAATCGCAGATTCTACAAAAAGATTGTTTACAACCTGCTCTATCTATAGGAATGTTCAACTCTGTGAGTCGAATGCAATCATCACAAAGGAGTTTCTGAGAATGCTTCCATCTAGTTTTTATGTGAAGATTTTCCTTTTCCACCACAGGCCTCAAAGCCCTCCAAATGTCCACTTGCAGATTCTAGAAAAAGAGGGTTTCAGAGCTGCTCTGTCAAGAGGAAAGTTCAATTCTTGAAGTGGAACACAAACATCACAAAGCAGTTTCTGAGAATGCTTCTGTTTAGTTTTTCTGTGAAGATGAACCCGTTTCCAACGAAATCTTCACAGAGGTCCACATATCCACTTGCAGAATCCAAAGAAGGAGAGTTTCAAAACTGCTCCATCAACAGGATTGTTCACCTCTATGAGTTGAATGCAGTCATCACAGGAAACATTCTGAGAATGCTTCTGTCTAGGTTTGATGTGAAGATATACCCGTTTCGAAGGAAGGCCACAAAGTGGTCCAAATATCCACTTGCAGATTCTACAAAAAGAGTGTTTGAAAGCTGAACTATGAAAGCAAGGTTCAACCCTGTGAGTTGAATGCAAACATCACAAAGAAGTTTCTCAGAATGCTTCCGTGTAGTTCTGGGAAGTTTATCCCGTTTCCAACGAAATCCTCAGAGAGGTCCAAATATCCAGTTGCAGATTCTACAGAAAGTGTGTTTGGAATCTGCTCCAACTAAAGGAATGTTCACCTCTGTTAGTTCAATCCAATGATCACTAAGAATTGTCTGTGAATGCTTCCGTTTGGTTTTTAGATGAAGTTATTTCCTTTACTACAGTAGGCCTCAAAGCAGTCCAAATCTCCAATCGCAGATTCTACAAAAACATTGTTTACAACCTGCTCTATCTATAGGAATGTTCAACTCTGTGAGTCGAATGCAATCATCACAAAGTAGTTTCTGAGAATGCTTCCATCTAGTTTTTATGTGAAGATTTTCCTTTTCCACCACAGGCCTCAAAGCCCTCCAAATGTCCACTTGCAGATTCTAGAATAAGAGGGTTTCAGAGCTGCTCTGTCAAGAGGAAAGTTCAATTCCTGAAGTGGAACACAAACATCACAAAGCAGTTTCTGAGAATGCTTCTGTTTAGTTTTTCTGTGAAGATGAACCCGTTTCCAACGAAATCTTCACAGAGGTCCAGATATCCACTTGCAGAATCCAAAGAAAGAGAGTTTCAAAACTGCTCCATCAGCAGGATTGTTCACCTCTGTGAGTTGAATGCAGTCATCACAGGAAACATTCTGAGAATGCTTCTGTCTAGGTTTGATGTGAAGATATACCCTTTTCGAAGGAAGGCCACAAAGTGGTCCAAATATCCACTTGCAGATTCTACAAAAAGAGTGTTTGAAAGCTGAACTTTGAAAGCAAGGTTCAAATCTGTGAGTTGAATGCAAACATCACAAAGAAGTTTCTCAGAATGCTTCCCTGTAGTTCTGGGAAGTTTATCCCTTATCCAACGAAATCCTCAGATAAGTCCAAATATCCACTTGCAGATTCTACAGAAAGTGTGTTTGGAAACTGCTCCATCTAAAGGAATGTTCAGCTCTGTTAGTTCAATCCAATGATCACTAAGAATTGTCTGTGAATGCTTCCGTTTGGTTTTTAGATGAAGTTATTTCCTTTACTACAGTAGGCCTCAAAGCAGTCCAAATCTCCAATCGCAGATTCTACAAAAAGATTGTTTACAACCTGCTCTATGTATAGGAATGTTCAACTCTGTGAGTCGAATGCAATCATCACAAAGTAGTTTCTGAGAATGCTTCCATCTAGTTTTTATGTGAAGATTTTCCTTTTCCACCACAGGCCTCAAAGCCCTCCAAATGTCCACTTGCAGATTCTAGAAAAAGAGGGTTTCAGAGCTGCTCTGTCAAGAGGAAAGTTCAATTCTTGAAGTGGAACACAAACATCACAAAGCAGTTTCTGAGAATGCTTCTGTTTAGTTTTTCTGTGAAGATGAACCCGTTTCCAACGAAATCTTCACAGAGGTCCACATTTCCACTTGCAGAATCCAAAGAAAGAGAGTTTCAAAACTGCTCCATCAGCAGGATTGTTCACCTCTGTGAGTTGAATGCAGTCATCACAGGAAACATTCTGAGAATGCTTCTGTCTAGGTTTGATGTGAAGATATACCCGTTTCGAAGGAAGGCCACAAAGTGGTCCAAATATCCACTTGCAGATTCTACAAAAAGAGTGTTTGAAAGCTGAACTATGAAAGCAAGGTTCAACTCTGTGAGTTGAATGCAAACATCACAAAGAAGTTTCTCAGAATACTTCCGTGTAGTTCTGGGAAGTTTATCCCGTTTCCAACGAAATCCTCGGAGAGGTCCAAATATCCACTTACAGATTCTACAGAAAGTGTGTTTGGAAACTGCGCCATCTAAAGGAATGTTCAGCTCTGTTAGTTCAATCCAATGATCACTAAGAATTGTCTGTGAATGCTTCCGTTTGGTTTTTAGATGAAGTTATTTCCTTTACTACAGTAGGCCTCAAAGCAGTCCAAATCTCCAATCGCAGATTCTACAAAAAGATTGTTTACAACCTGCTCTATCTATAAGAATGTTCAACTCTGTGAGTCGAAAGCAATCATCACAAAGTAGTTTCTGAGAATGCTTCCATCTAGTTTTTATGTGAAGATTTTCCTTTTCCACCACAGGCCTCAAAGCCCTCCAAATGTCCACTTGCAGATTCTAGGAAAAGGGGGTTTCAGAGCTGCTCTATCAAGAGGAAAGTTCAATTCCTGAAGTGGAACACAAACATCACAAAGCAGTTTCTGAGAATGCTCCTGTTTAGTTTTTCTGTGAAGATGAACTTGTTTCCAACGAAATCTTCACAGAGGTCCACATATCCACTTGCAGAATCCAAAGAAAGAGAGTTTCAAAACTGCTCCATCAACAGGATTGTTCACATCTGTGAGTTGAATGCAGTCATCACAGGAAACATTCTGAGACTGCTTCTGTCTAGGTTTGATGTGAAGATATACCCGTTTCGAAGGAAGGCCACAAAGTGGTCCAAATATCCACTTGCAGATTCTACAAAAAGAGTGTTTGAAAGCTGAACTATGAAAGCAAGGTTCAACTCTGTGAGTTGAATGCAAACATCACAAAGAAGTTTATCAGAATGCTTCCATGTAGTTCTGGGAAGTTTATCCCGTTTCCAACGAAATCCTCAGAGAAGTCCAAATATCCACTTGCAGATTCTACAGAAAGTGTGTTTGGAAACTGCTCCATCTGAAGGAATGTTCAGCTCTGTTAGTTCAATCCAATGATCACTAAGAATTGTCTGTGAATGCTTCCGTTTGGTTTTCAGATGAAGTTATTTCCTTTACTACAGTAGGCCTCAAAGCAGTCCAAATCTCCAATCGCAGATTCTACAAAAAGATTGTTTACAACCTGCTCTATCTATAGGAATGTTCAACTCTGTGAGTCGAATGCAATCATCACAAAGTAGTTTCTGAGAATGCTTCCATCTAGTTTTTATGGGAAGATTTTCCTTTTCCACCACAGGCCTCAAAGCCCTCCAAATGTCCACTTGCAGATTCTAGAAAAAGAGGGTTTCAGAGCTGCTCTGTCAAGAGGAAAGTTCAATTCTTGAAGTGGAACACAAACATCACAAAGCAGTTTCTGAGAATGCTTCTGTTTAGTTTTTCTGTGAAGATGAACCCGTTTCCAACGAAATCTTCACAGAGGTCCACATATCCACTTGCAGAATCCAAAGAAAGAGAGTTTCAAAACTGCTCCATCAGCAGGATTGTTCACCTCTGTGAGTTGAATGCAGTCATCACAGGAAACATTCTGAGAATGCTTCTGTCTAGGTTTGATGTGAAGATATACCCGTTTCGTAGGATGGCCACAAAGTGGTCCAAATATCTACTTGCAGATTCTACAAAAAGAGTGTTTGAAAGCTGAACTATGAAAGCAAGGTTCAACTCTGTGAGTTGAATGCAAACATCACAGAGAAGTTTCTCAGAATACTTCCGTGTAGTTCTGGGAAGTATATCCCGTTTCCAACGAAATCCTCAGAGAGGTCCAAATATCCACTTGCAGATTCTACAGAAAGTGGGTTTGGAAACTACTCCATCTAAAGGAATGTTCAGCTCTGTTAGTTTAATCCAATGATCACTAAGCATTGTCTGTGAATGCTTCCGTTTGGTTTTTAGATGAAGTTATTTCCTTTACTACAGTAGGCCTCAAAGCAGTCCAAATCTCCAATCGCAGATTCTACAAAAAGATTATTTACAACCTGCTCTATCTATAGGAATATGCAACTATGTGAGTCGAATGCAATCATCACAAAGTAGTTTCTGAGAATGCTTCCATCTAGTTTTTATGTGAAGATTTTCCTTTTCCACCACAGGCCTCAAAACCCTCCAAATGTCCACATGCAGATTCTAGAAAAAGAAGGTTTCAGAGCTGCTCTGTCAAGAGGAAAGTTCAATTCCTGAAGTGGAACACAAACATCACAAAGCAGTTTCTGAGAATGCTTCTGTTTAGTTTTTCTGTGAAGATGAACCCGTTTCCAACGAAATCTTCACAGAGGTCCACATATCAACTTGCAGAATCCAAAGAAAGAGAGTTTCAAAAGTGCTCCATCAACAGGATTGTTCACCTCTGTGAGTTGAATGCAGTCATCACAGGAAACATTCTGAGAATGCTTCTGTCTAGGTTTGATGTGAAGATATACCCGTTTCGAAGGAAGGCCACAAAGTGGTCCAAATATCCACTTGCAGATTCTACAAAAAGAGTGTTTGAAAGCTGAACTATGAAAGCAAGGTTCAACTCTGTGAGTTGAATGCAAACATCACAAAGAAGTTTCTCACAATGCTTCCGTGTAGTTCTGGGAAGTTTATCCCGTTTCCAACGAAATCCTCAGAGAGGTCCAAATATCCACTTGCAGATTCTACAGAAAGTGTGTTTGGAAACTGCGCCATCTAAAGGACTGTTCAGCTCTGTTAGTTCAATGCAATGATCACTAAGAATTGTCTGTGAATGCTTCCGTTTGGTTTTTAGATGAAGTCATTTCCTTTACTACAGTAGGCCTCAAAGCAGTCCAAATCTCCAATCGCAGATTCTACAAAAAGATTGTTTACAACCTGCTCTATCTATAGGAATGTTCAACTCTGTGAGTCGAATGCAATCATCACAGAGTAGTTTCTGAGAATGCTTCCATCTAGTTTTTATGTGAAGATTTTCCTTTTCCACCACAGTCCTCAAAGCCCTCCAAATGTCCACTTGCAGATTCTAGAAAAAGAGGGTTTCAGAGCTGCTCTGTCAAGAGGAAAGTTCAATTTCTTGAAGTGGAACACAAACATCACAAAGCAGTTTCTGAGAAAGCTTCTGTTTAGTTTTTCTGTGAAGATGAACCCGTTTCCAACGAAATCTTCACAGAGGTCCACATATCAACTTGCAGAATCCAAAGAAAGAGAGTTTCAAAACTACTCCATCAACAGGATTGTTCACCTCTGTGATTTGAATGCAGTCATCACAGGAAACATTCTGAGAATGCTTCTGTCTAGGTTTGATGTGAAGATGTACCCGTTTCAAAGGAAGGCCACAAAGTGGTCCATATATCCACTTGCAGATTCCACAAAAAGAGTGTTTGAAAGCTGAACTATGAAAGCAAGGTTCAACTCTGTGAGTTGAATGCAAACATCACAAAGAAGTTTCTCAGAATGCTTCCGTGTAGTTCTGGGAAGTTTATCCCGTTTCCAACGAAATCCTCAGAGAGGTCCAAATATCCACTTGCAGATTCTACAGAAAGTGTGTTTGGAAACTGCTCCATCTAAAGGAATGTTCAGCTCTGTTAGTTCAATCCAATGATCACTAAGAATTGTCTGTGAATGCTTCCGTTTGGTTTTTAGATGAAGTTATTTCCTTTACTACAGTAGGCCTCAAAGCAGTCCAAATCTCCAATCGCAGATTCTACAAAAAGATTGTTTACAACCTGCTCTATCTATAGGAATGTTCAACTCTGTGAGTCGAATGCAATCATCACAAAGTAGTTTCTGAGAATGCTTCCATCTAGTTTTTATGTGAAGATTTTCCTTTTCCACCACAGGCCTCAAAGCCCTCCACATGTCCACTTGCAGATTCTAGAATAAGAGGGTTTCAGAGCTGCTCTGTCAAGAGGAAAGTTCAATTCCTGAAGTGGAACACAAACATCACAAAGCAGTTTCTGAGAATGCTTCTGTTTAGTTTTTCTGTGAAGATGAACCCGTTTCCAACGAAATCTTCACAGAGGTCCACATATCCACTTGCAGAATCCAAAGAAAGAGAGTTTCAAAACTGCTCCATCAGCAGGATTGTTCACCTCTGTGAGTTGAATGCAGTCATCACAGGAAACATTCTGAGAATGCTTCTGTCTAGGTTTGATGTGAAGATATACCCGTTTCGAAGGAAGGCCACAAAGTGGTCCAAATATCCACTTGCAGATTCTACAAAAAGAGTGTTTGAAAGCTGAACTATGAAAGCAAGGTTCAACTCTGTGAGTTGAATGCAAACATCACAAAGAAGTTTCTCACAATGCTTCCGTGTAGTTCTGGGAAGTTTATCCCGTTTCCAACGAAATCCTCAGAGAAGTCCAAATATCCACTTGCAGATTCTACAGAAAGTGTGTTTGGAAACTGCTCCATCTAAAGGAATGTTCAGCTCTGTTAGTTCAATCCAATGATCACTAAGAATTGTCTGTGAATGCTTCCGTTTGGTTTTTAGATGAAGTTATTTCCTTTACTACAGTAGACCTCAAAGCAGTCCAAATCTCCAATCGCAGATTCTACAAAAAGATTGTTTACAACCTGCTCTATCTATAGGAATGTTCAACTCTGTGAGTCGAATGCAATCATCACAAAGTAGTTTCTGAGAATGCTTCCATCTAGTTTTTATGTGAAGATTTTCCTTTTCCACCACAGGCCTCAAAGCCCTCCAAATGTCCACTTGCAGATTCTAGAATAAGAGGGTTTTAGAGCTGCTCTGTCAAGAGGAAAGTTCAATTCCTGAAGTGGAACACAAACATCACAAAGCAGTTTCTGAGAATGCTCCTGTTTAGTTTTTCTGTGAAGATGAACCCGTTTCCAACGAAATCTTCACAAAGGTCCACATATCCACTTGCAGAATCCAAAGAAAGAGAGTTTCAAAACTGCTCCATCAGCAGGATTGTTCACCTCTGTGAGTTGAATGCAGTCATCACAGGAAACATTCTGAGAATGCTTCTGTCTAGGTTTGATGTGAAGATATACCCGTTTCGAAGGAAGGCCACAAAGTGGTCCAAATATCCACTTGCAGATTCCACAAAATGAGTGTTTGAAAGCTGAACTATGAAAGCAAGGTTCAACTCTGTGAGTTGAATGCAAACACCACAAAGAAGTTTCTCACAATGCTTCCGTGTAGTTCTGGGAAGTTTATCCCGTTTCCAACGAAATCCTCAGAGAAGTCCAAATATCCACTTGCAGATTCTACAGAAAGTGGGTTTGGAAACTGCTCCATCTAAAGGAATGTTCAGCTCTGTTAGTTCAATCCAATGATCACTAAGAATTGTCTGTGAATGCTTCCGTTTGGTTTTTAGATGAAGTTATTTCCTTTACTACAGTACGCCTCAAAGCAGTCCAAATCTCCAATCGCAGATTCTACAAAAAGATTGTTTACAACCTGCTCTATCTATAGGAATGTTCAACTCTGTGAGTCGAATGCAATCATCACAAAGTAGTTTCTGAGAATGCTTCCATCTAGTTTTTACGTGAAGATTTTCCTTTTCCACCACAGGCCTCAAAGCCCTCCAAATGTCCACTTGCAGATTCTAGAATAAGAGGGTTTCAGAGCTGCTCTGTCAAGAGGAAAGTTCAATTCTTGAAGTGGAACACAAACATCACAAAGCAGTTTCTGAGAATGCTTCTGTTTAGTTTTTCTGTGAAGATGAACCCGTTTCCAACGAAATCTTCACAGAGGTCCACATATCAACTTGCAGAATCCAAAGAAAGAGAGTTTCAAAACTGCTCCATCAGCAGGATTGTTCACCTCTGTGAGTTGAATGCAGTCATCACAGGAAACATTCTGAGAATGCTTCTGTCTAGGTTTGATGTGAAGATATACCCGTTTCGAAGGAAGGCCACAAAGTGGTCCAAATATCCACTTGCAGATTCTACAAAAAGAGTGTTTGAAAGCTGAACTATGAAAGCAAGGTTCAACTCTGTGAGTTGAATGCAAACATCACAAAGAAGTTTCTCAGAATGCTTCCGTGTAGTTCTGGGAAGTTTATCCCGTTTCCAACGAAATCCTCAGAGAAGTCCAAATATCCACTTGCAGATTCTACAGAAAGTGGGTTTGGAAACTGCTCCATCTAAAGGAATGTTCAGCTCTGTTAGTTCAATCCAATGATCACTAAGAATTGTCTGTGAATGCTTCCGTTTGGTTTTTAGATGAAGTAATTTCCTTTACTACAGTAGGCCTCAAAGCAGTCCAAATCTCCAATCGCAGATTCTACAAAAAGATTGTTTACAACCTGCTCTATCTATAGGAATGTTCAACTCTGTGAGTCGAATGCAATCATCACAAAGTAGTTTCTGAGAATGCTTCCATAAAGTTTTTATGTGAAGATTTTCCTTTACCACCACAGGCCTCAAAGCCCTCCAAATGTCCACTTGCAGATTCTAGAAAAAGAGGGTTTCAGAGCTGCTCTGTCAAGAGGAAAGTTCAATTCTTGAAGTGGAACACAAACATCACAAAGCAGTTTCTGAGAATGCTCCTGTTTAGTTTTTCTGTGAAGATGAACCCGTTTCCAACGAAATCTTCACAGAGGTCCACATATCCACTTGCAGAATCCAAAGAAAGAGAGTTTCAAAACTGCTCCATCAGCAGGATTGTTCACCTCTGTGAGTTGAATGCAGTCATCACAGGAAGCATTCTGAGAATGCTTCTGTCTAGGTTTGATGTGAAGATATACCCGTTTCGAAGGAAGGCCACAAAGTGGTCCAAATATCCACTTGCAGATTCTACAAAAAGAGTGTTTGAAAGCTGAACTGTGAAAGCAAGGTTCAACTCTGTGCGTTGAATGCAAACATCACAAAGAAGTTTCTCACAATGCTTCCGTGTAGTTCTGGGAAGTTTATCCCGTTTCCAACGAAATCCTCAGAGAGGTCCAAATATCCACTTGCAGATTCTACAGAAAGTGTGTTTGGAAACTGCGCCATCTAAAGGAATGTTCAGCTCTGTTAGTTCAATGCAATGATCACTAAGAATTGTCTGTGAATGCTTCCGTTTGGTTTTTAGATGAAGTTATTTCCTTTACTACAGTAGGCCTCAAAGCAGTCCAAATCTCCAATCGCAGATTCTACAAAAAGATTGTTTACAACCTGCTCTATCTATAGGAATGTTCAACTCTGTGAGTCGAATGCAATCATCACAAAGTAGTTTCTGAGAATGCTTCCATCTAGTTTTTATGTGAAGATTTTCCTTTTCCACCACAGGCCTCAAAGCCCTCCAAATGTCCACTTGCAGATTCTAGAATAAGAGGGTTTCAGAGCTGCTCTGTCAAGAGGAAAGTTCAATTCCTGAAGTGGAACACAAACATCACAAAGCAGTTTCTGAGAATGCTTCTGTTTAGTTTTTCTGTGAACATGAAACCGTTTCCAACGAAATCTTCACAGAGGTCCACATATCAACTTGCAGAATCCAAAGAAAGAGAGTTTCAAAACTGCTCCATCAACAGGATTGTTCACCTCTGTGAGTTGAATGCAGTCATCACAGGAAACATTCTGAGAATGCTTCTGTCTAGGTTTGATGTGAAGATATACCCGTTTCGAAGGAAGGCCACAAAGTGGTCCAAATATCCACTTGCAGATTCTACAAAAAGAGTGTTTGAAAGCTGAACTATGAAAGCAAGGTTCAACTCTGTGAGTTGAATGCAAACATCACAAAGAAGTTTCTCAGAATGCTTCCGTGTAGTTCTGGGAAGTTTATCCCGTTTCCTACGATATCCTCAGAGAAGTCCAAATATCCACTTGCAGATTCTACAGAAAGTGTGTTTGGAAACTGCTCCATCTAAAGGAATGTTCAGCTCTGTTAGTTCAATCCAATGATCACTAAGAATTGTCTGTGAATGCTTCCGTTTGGTTTTTAGATGAAGTTATTTCCTTTACCACAGTAGGCCTCAAAGCAGTCCAAATCTCCAATCGCAGATTCTACAAAAAGATTGTTTACAACCTGCTCTATCTATAGGAATGTTCAACTCTGTGAGTCGAATGCAATCATCTCAAAGTAGTTTCTGAGAATGCTTCCATCTAGTTTTTATGGGAAGATTTTCCTTTTCCACCACAGGCCTCAAAGCCCTCCAAATGTCCACTTGCAGATTCTAAAAAAAGAGGGTTTCAGAGCTGCTCTATCAAGAGGAAAGTTCAATTCTTGAAGTGGAACACAAACATCACAAAGCAGTTTCTGAGAATGCTCCTGTTTAGTTTTTCTGTGAAGATGAACCCATTTCCAACGAAATCTTCACAGAGGTCCACATATCCACCTGCAGAATCCAAAGAAAGAGAGTTTCAAAACTGCTCCATCAACAGGATTGTTCACCTCTGTGAGTTGAATGCAGTCATCACAGGAAACATTCTGAGAATGCTTCTGTCTAGGTTTGATGTGAAGATATACCCGTTTCGAAGGAAGGCCACAAAGTGGTCCAAATATCCACTTGCAGATTCTACAAAAAGAGTGTTTGAAAGCTGAACTATGAAAGCAAGGTTCAACTCTGTGAGTTGAATGCAAACATCACAAAGAAGTTTCTCAGAATGCTTCCGTGTAGTTCTGGGAAGTTTATCCCGTTTCCAACGAAATCCTCAGAGAGGTCCAAATATCCACTTGCAGATTCTACAGAAAGTGTGTTTGGAAACTGCGCCATCTAAAGGAATGTTCAGCTCTGTTAGTTCAATGCAATGATCACTAAGAATTGTCTGTGAATGCTTCCGTTTGGTTTTTAGATGAAGTTATTTCCTTTACTACAATAGGCCTCAAAGCAGTCCAAATCTCCAATCGCAGATTCTACAAAAAGATTGTTTACAACCTGCTCTATCTATAGGAATGTTCAACTCTGTGAGTCGAATGCAATCATCACAAAGTAGTTTCTGAGAATGCTTCTATCTAGGTTTTATGTGAAGATATTTCCTTTTCCACCACAGGCCTCAAAGCCCTCCAAATGTCCACTTGCAGATTCTAGAAAAAGAGGGTTTCAGAGCTGCTCTGTCAAGAGGAAAGTTCAATTCTTGAAGTGGAACACAAACATCACAAAGCAGTTTCTGAGAATGCTTCTGTTTAGTTTTTATGTGAAGATGAACCCGTTTCCAAGGAAATCTTCAAAGAGGTCCACATATCCACTTGCAGATTCCAAAGAAAGAGAGTTTCAAAACTGCTCCATCAACAGGATTGTTCACCTCTGTGCTTTGAATGGAGTCATCACAGGAAACATTCTGAGAATGCTTCTGTCTAGGTTTGATGTGAAGATATACCCGTTTCGAAGGAAGGCCCGAAAGTGGTCCAAATATCCACTTGCAGATTCTACAAATACAGTGTTTGAAAGCTGAAATATGAAAGGAAGGTTCAACTCTGTGAGTTGAATGCAGACATCACAAAGAAGATTCTGAGAATGCTTCCGTGTAGTTCTGGGAAGTTTATCCCGTTTCCAACGAAATCCTCAGAGACGTCCAAATATCCACTTGCAGATTCTACAGAAATTGTGTTTGGAGACTGCTCCATCTAAAGGAATGTTCAGCTCTCTGAGTTCAATCCAATCATCACAAAGAATTTTCTGTGAATGCTTCCGTTTGGTTTTTAGATGAAGTTATTTCCTTTACTACAGTAGGCCTCAAAGCAGTCCAAATCTCCAATCGCAGATTCTACAAAAAGATTGTTTACAACCTGCTCTATCTATAGGAATGTTCAACTCTGTGAGTCGAATGCAATCATCACAAAGTAGTTTCTGAGAATGCTTCCATCTAGTTTTTATGTGAAGATTTTCCTTTTCCACCACAGGCCTCAAAGCCCTCCAAATGTCCACTTGCAGATTCTAGAATAAGAGGGTTTCAGAGCTGCTCTGTCAAGAGGAAAGTTCAATTCCTGAAGTGGAACACAAACATCACAAAGCAGTTTCTGAGAATGCTTCTGTTTAGTTTTTCTGTGAAGATGAACCCGTTTCCAACGAAATCTTCACAGAGGTCCACATATCCACTTGCAGAATCCAAAGAAAGAGAGTTTCAAAACTGCTCCATCAGCAGGATTGTTCACCTCTGTGAGTTGAATGCAGTCATCACAGGAAACATTCTGAGAATGCTTCTGTCTAGGTTTGATGTGAACATATACCCGTTTCGAAGGAAGGCCACAAAGTGGTCCAAATATCCACTTGCAGATTCTACAAAAAGAGTGTTTGAAAGCTGAACTATGAAAGCAAGGTTCAACTCTGTGAGTTGAATGCAAACATCACAAAGAAGTTTCTCAGAATGTTTAAGTGTAGTTCTGGGAAGTTTATCCCGTTTCCAACGAAATCCTCAGAGAAGTCCAAATATCCACTTGCAGATTCTACAGAAAATGTGTTTGGAAACTGCTCCATCTAAAGGAATGTTCAGCTCTGTTAGTTCAATCCAATGATCACTAAGAATTGTCTGTGAATGCTTCCCGTTTGGTTTTTAGATGAAGTTATTTCCTTTACTACAGTAGGCCTCAAAGCAGTCGAAATCTCCAATCGCAGATTCTACAAAAAGATTGTTTACAACCTGCTCTATCTATAGGAATGTTCAACTCTGTGAGTCGAATGCAATCATCACAAAGTAGTTTGTGAGAATGCTTCCATCTAGTTTTTATGTGAAGATTTTCCTTTTCCACCACAGGCCTCAAAGCCCTCCAAATGTCCACTTGCAGATTCTAGAATAAGGGGGTTTCAGAGCTGCTCTGTCAAGAGGAAAGTTCAATTCTTGAAGTGGAACACAAACATCACAAAGCAGTTTCTGAGAATGCTTCTGTTTAGTTTTTCTGTGAAGATGAACCCGTTTCCAACGAAATCTTCACAGAGGTCCACATATCCACTTGCAGAATCCAAAGAAAGAGAGTTTCAAAACTGCTCCATCAGCAGGATTGTTCACCTCTGTGAGTTGAATGCAGTCATCACAGGAAACATTCTGAGAATGCTTCTGTCTAGGTTTGATGTGAAGATATAACCCGTTTCGAAGGAAGGCCACAAAGTGGTCCAAATATCCACTTGCAGATTCTACAAAAAGAGTGTTTGAAAGCTGAACTATGAAAGCAAGGTTCAACTCTGTGAGTTGAATGCAAACATCACAAAGAAGTTTCTCACAATGCTTCCGTGTAGTTCTGGGAAGTTTATCCCGTTTCCAACGAAATCCTCAGAGAGGTCCAAATATCCACTTGCAGATTCTACAGATAGTGTGTTTGGAAACTGCGCCATCTAAAGGAATGTTCAGCTCTGTTAGTTCAATGCAATGATCACTAAGAATTGTCTGTGAATGCTTCCGTTTGGTTTTTAGATGAAGTTATTTCCTTTACTACAGTAGGCCTCAAAGCAGTCCAAATCTCCAATCGCAGATTCTACAAAAAGATTGTTTACAACCTGCTCTATCTATAGGAATGTTCAACTCTGTGAGTCGAATGCAATCATCACAAAGTAGTTTCTGAGAATGCTTCCATCTAGTTTTTATGTGAAGATTTTCCTTTTCCACCACAGGCCTCAAAGCCCTCCAAATGTCCACTTGTAGATTCTAGAATAAGAGGGTTTCAGAGCTGCTCTGTCAAGAGGAAAGTTCAATTCCTGAAGTGGAACACAAACTTCACAAAGCAGTTTCTGAGAATGTTTCTGTTTAGTTTTTCTGTGAAGATGAACCCGTTTCCAACGAAATCTTCACAGAGGTCCACATATCCACTTGCAGAATCCAAAGAAAGAGAGTTTCAAAACTGCTCCATCAGCAGGATTGTTCACCTCTGTGAGTTGAATGCAGTCATCACAGGAAACATTCTGAGAATGCTTCTGTCTAGGTTTGATGTGAAGATATACCCGTTTCGAAGGAAGGCCACAAAGTGGTCCAAATATCCACTTGCAGATTCTACAAAAAGAGTGTTTGAAAGCTGAACTATGAAAGCAAGTTTCAACTCTGTGAGTTGAATGCAAACATCACAGAGAAGTTTCTCAGAATGCTTCCGTGTAGTTCTGGGAAGTTTATCCCGTTTCCAACGAAATCCTCAGAGAAGTCCAAATATCCACTTGCAGATTCTACAGAAAGTGTGTTTGGAAACTGCTCCATCTAAAGGAATGTTCAGCTCTGTTAGTTCAACCCAATGATCACTAAGAATTGTCTGTGAATTCTTCCGTTTGGTTTTTAGATGAAGTTATTTCCTTTACTACAGTAGGCCTCAAAGCAGTCCAAATCTCCAATCGCAGATTCTACAAAAAGATTGTTTACAACCTGCTCTATCTATAGGAATGTTCAACACTGTGAGTCGAATGCAATCATCACAAAGTAGTTTCTGAGAATGCTTCCATCTAGTTTTTATGTGAAGATTTTCCTTTTCCACCACAGGCCTCAAAGCCCTCCAAATGTCCACTTGCAGATTCTAGAATAAGAGGGTTTCAGAGCTGCTCTGTCAAGAGGAAAGTTCAATTCCTGAAGTGGAACACAAACATCACAAAGCAGTTTCTGAGAATGCTCCTGTTAATTTTTCTGTGAAGATGAACCCGTTTCCAACGAAATCTTCACAGAGGTCCACATATCCACTTGCAGAATCCAAAGAAAGAGAGTTTCAAAACTGCTCCATCAGCAGGATTGTTCACCTCTGTGAGTTGAATGCAGTCATCAGAGGAAACATTCTGAGAATGCTTCTGTCTAGGTTTGATGTGAAGATATACCCGTTTCGAAGGAAGGCCACAAAGTGGTCCAAATATCCACTTGCAGATTCTACAAAAAGAGTGTTTGAAAGCTGAACTATGAAAGCAAGGTTCAACTCTGTGAGTTGAATGCAAACATCACAAAGAAGTTTCTCAGAATGCTTCCGTGTAGTTCTGGGAAGTTTATCCCGTTTCCAACGAAATCCTCAGAGAAGTCCAAATATCCACTTGCAGATTCTACAGAAAGTGTGTTTGGAAACTGCGCCATCTAAAGGAATGTTCAGCTCTGTTAGTTCAATGCAATGATCACTAAGAATTGTCTGTGAATGCTTCCGTTTGGTTTTAAATGAAGTTATTACCTCTACTACAGTAGGCCTCAAAGCAGTCCAAATCTCCAATCGCAGATTCTACAAAAAGATTGTTTACAACCTGCTCTATCTATAGGAATGTTCAACTCTGTGAGTCGAATGCAATCATCACAAAGTAGTTTCTGAGAATGCTTCCTCTAGTTTTTATGTGAAGATTTTCCTTTTCCACCACAGGCCTCAAAGCCCTCCAAATGTCCACTTGCAGATTCTAGAATAAGAGGGTTTCAGAGCTGCTCTGTCAAGAGGAAAGTTCAATTCCTGAAGTGGAACACAAACATCACAAAGCAGTTTCTGAGAATGCTCCTGTTTAGTTTTTCTGTGAAGATGAACCCGTTTCCAACGAAATCTTCACAGAGGTCCACATATCCACTTGCAGAATCCAAAGAAAGAGAGTTTCAAAACTGCTCCATCAGCAGGATTGTTCACCTCTGTGAGTTGAATGCAGTCATCACAGGAAACATTCTGAGAATGCTTCTGTCTAGGTTTGATGTGAAGATATACCCGTTTCGAAGGAAGGCCACAAAGTGGTCCAAATATCCACTTGCAGATTCTACAAAAAGAGTGTTTGAAAGCTGAACTATGAAAGCAAGGTTCAACTCTGTGAGTTGAATGCAAACATCACAAAGAAG